>NC_000003.12:54858484-55161515 GCF_000001405.40 Homo sapiens
TTAAAATGTTAACTGCCCAGACAATAGCAGGCAGAACAGCTTGGAGAAAGCCTGAGAAGCAGGCATTGCATTAGAACTTTCATAACTGCAAATTCCAGGAAAGTTTGTTCCTCCTTAAAATAGGAAACAGAGCCATCTGCCTCTAAGAGGAGACTCGACTGGGCTGCTTAAGTGATGTTAGACTTTCCCAAAGAGCACATCTTGTTTGTCTCCGGGGAGATGGACTTGACCGAGAGATAACCTAGCCTTACCCTCACTCTGTTGTGGGCCCTGTAAAACCCTACAGCTGGATCTGACAGCAGAATATCCAAATGGTCCCAACTGGGTAGATGCCCACATTCATTTGAATAACTGAAGAATTCAATCATTTGAATGCCAATGATTATTCCTCTGGGAGTTTACATTTTAGAAAGACCTTCCATCTGAATCCCCATGAGAGCATTAAATTGCTATCTAATTAGCAGTCCCAAATTATATATATTTAAAAGATAATTAGAGGTTTGAAGGCTGTTGGAATAACTGGTTATACATTTAAATGAATCACTAGAAATTTGTTGGTAATGTGTGGAGTTTTCTTTTATTTCTTGCTCCCCTCTTTGAAGTTCAGTAGACCCAACCTCGCGGGGTTAAATCTGGTAGCAGTAAGATGAAGGCAGACTTCTTTAATTACTGCAGCTCAAACCTCCAAATAATTATAAGCAGCTGTCATTTTTACATAATCCTAAATGATAAGACCCAAAGAATGCAAATAAAAATGTTGAGACCATGGGCTCTTTGGCACAATAATTTAATCCGTATCACACCACTGCACTGAGCATTGTACTTCATTGAGGAATGTGCTCCAACCGTGACACACTTAGGTGAACTTTCATCATCATGTGATAGGCACATCTATTTCCAAACACATCTCCCAGGTGCCATTTTTACATTCTCTGTGGAGGTTGCTAGGCAAAGGGAAACACTAATACATTTGGAATTTTGAGGCAAAGAAGGAGCTTGGCTAAGCCAGGCAAGGTTTTTGCTGAAACTTCTTCTCAGCCTCACTTGTCCCTCTCTCCTAGAGATGGAGTCTACCCCGTGCCTGCCCCAGTGGCCCCCTCCCTCCATTATGTAGCATGATAGGATTGTCCCTGGGAGCATTTGTTTGGCCTGTTGCTGGGGTTTTTATTGGCTTGGCCACTTCTGTGTGCCAGCTAACCAAGGACAGAAATCCCAAATGACAAACGGACCTACCAGCTCCAACCTGGTAGCCTCTGGGTTCAGGTCTTAAATTCCATGCTTTTGATGCCTGTCTCTTCCTGGAAGGGCAAGGGCCTCTTGAGGAGCAAGTCAAGGGGACATTTACTGCAGCCATGACAGTTTCTTTCCTTTGAATCCAATGACTATAATACCAAAGTCCATAAGATCAAGGTAGGCAATTCACCCCAGGCAGAGCTGAAGCCCCACTCTGCAAGAGACAAATTTAGAACATCATCTGGAAAGTAGATGCACACACACACACACACACACACACACACACACACACACACAAACACACATATTCCAAATTAGATCGGCAGCCCAAGGATCCCTCTGCTAAGGAATGCTCAAGCTGGATTTAAATTGGGACTGAGACCTGGCTTGGCAGAAATGTGGCCAAGCAGAAAGGTTGGCCCAGTGAGCTAAGCTGGATTCCTTGGGAATGGGAAATAGAAACAGATGAAAGAGGAGAGAAGTCAGACCAAGGGTTTATCTGGAATATTTAGAAGCTGACAGACATCACAGAGTATTTTTACCTCTCCACAGTGAAGAGGTGTAGAGATTTTAGAAATGTATCCTGAATATTAGAACCAGTTAAAATATTCTGATTCTTCCAAATGCCTGCTTCTCCCAAAGGGCCTCTCCTGGAGTTTCTAAGTCTCTAGCTGCACCCCAGGAAGAGGATCTAGTAGTAACTGGGAGGGGCTGGGACTTTTATCTGACTCCCAGGATTGCTGCAGGTTTTTCATGAATATGGGGTTGGACTCCCAAGTTAATGAAGCCCATGTTTATCCAGGCTGAAATACAAATATAAATGTTATGTTCGTATATATTTAAAGGGAAGATTCATTTGAGCGTTAATGATTTGAAACTCAGCTCTGCTCAGTATGGAATTCTAGGGACCTGGTTAATGGTGACTGTAGGTCACCTTGCTGTCATCCCCTTCCTGCGTCCTCAGGATACATCTCAAGTAGGCACTGGGCAGTGATTTCAGCTCCAGACTGGGAGGCTCACTAGTGCCTGTTTCTCTATGGAGCAGAGCAGTCTCTGAGGTCAGATTCTGGGGCTGAAATTCATCCAAGCTACTTAACCTTCCTGACCTCAGTTTCCTCCGCTGAAAAATGAGAACAAAAAAATAGTGCCTACTACATGAGACTGTGATGAGGGTTAAATGAGTTAATGTTCCTAAAACATCTAGAAAAGGCCAAAAACATAGGTCATTGTTATGCATGTGTTTATTAAATGACTACATAGACTAATTTGTTCATTCCCTCGGTCCACTCATTCGTCACATATTCATGGGAACCTGTTCTTTGCCAGGCACTGTCCTAGGCATGTGGTCCGGTGGTGAACCTGAAATAGTCTTTTTACCAAAGATGCTTAGGACCTAGTAGGGGAAACAGGCAAGTAAGCTAATAATTTGCAGTACAATGTGATGGCTGGGGAGATAGGGCCATGGGAGGCTGAGGAGAGTATGGGAAGGACTTGACCTGACCTAGCCTGGCCAGGTCAGGACAGACCTCCAAGAGGAGTTGAAATCCTGAGGGGTTAGCAGAAATTGACCACGACCCTAAGTTGGAGTAAAGAGAATTCAGAGCACATGGGGTGGCATGTGCAGAGGCCTGAAGGCAAGAACGATGATGACATTTTCAGCAGCCAGCTCAGTCTAGCTGGGGAGTACAGTGAGAGGCAGGGAGTGGCGAGAAAGAGGCCAGAACAGCAAGCAGAGGCCAAGTCACAGGGACTTGTGGAATTCTGGACTGTTGGGTGCCATCACCTAGGACATGAGGAGCTATGAGGATTCCAGCCTAAGCAGTGATATGATCTGATTTGGGTTGTGAAAGAATCTCTCTGGCTGGACCCTGGAGAATGGATTGGAAGGGTTAGAGTACAGGCAGGGAGACCGCTTAGGGGATGCCTGCTTGTTATCAAGGGCAGAGCTATCACAGTGGCTGACACTAAGCTGACGGCAAGATTGATATGATCCAATTCCAAGAGGCATTTAGAAGATAGAAGCAATGGACATGGTAGGTTGATGGGTGCTGCTTGCTTTGCCTGGCTCACGCCACTTTCTCTGATTATACTCACCCATTCCAGCTCCTGCCTGTGTTTCCATGGTCACAGGCAAATATAAGACCCAGAGAACTCAGTCTTACAAGGGACATTTGGCTTTCCTCTGAGTTATGAATCACATCAGAGCTCTCTTGGGTTTATTCAGACCAGCATGCATCCAGAAACATTTTTAAAAAGACATATCACTGTAATTGAGAATCACACACACACAAAATCAAAACTGAGTATTTTGCTGGATCACCTATCCGGTCGAGAAGACGGACCAATGATGGACAAGAACCAGCTCAGTTTGGTAGTCGGAACATGGCTGGGGCTTAGAGCATATGTGTACAAAGTGGTCACATACATATTTATACTGTAAAGCACAGTATCCTCAGAGGGTTGCAGAAGAAGGGCCACCCCATTTGAGAAAGGAGAGAGACTCAGCTGGAAGGATCTGGGAAATTTCTTTCATGGAAAAGGTGGCCACAAAGATGGAGCCCTTCATGTCTTTTCTTCCTTCATAAGTATCTTCAACAATTTTTAGCAGGAAAAGCAAAACAAAATAAAGCTATTAAACCAAGCATCTCCCTAAATAAAATTACACACACACACACACACACACACACGCACACACACGCACACGTGATGAAGGCTCAGCATTCTGACGTTGGTTGTTGGTTGATGCTATTACAGGCATAAATCAGGTAATGGCAGTTGGCTTGGAAGAAAGAATTTCTTTCCCTCTTGCCTGCATCCCTTTATTAACTTCACTTGCAAATTCATTGCCAGCTTCCTGCCCTGCTTGTCGTTTAGCATAAAAACCTGAAGTTGAAGGCTCTCTCTGTTCCTCAGCCATCTCAGAGATGGTGAGACTAGAGTCCACTGCCCAGGGACTAAGTTAAGGAGAGGCATTGGAAATGGGGTGACAGGATATGAGTCAATGGGCCCGAACTACTTACCACAGGAGGAAAACCAACAAGAGAGAACTCCCTCTTCCGTGGTGGTTAGCCGTGGCATCTTTCGAAAGTTAACATTTTGTAGTGTTGATGGATACTACTTTGAGATTTTACTTGAGTGAATAAAGGAAGTCAATGTTTTTGCAGTTTCAAAACTAGAATCAATTAGTTGTCCCTAATTGTACCTCATATTCAAAACGGTCTGACGGCTCCACATACCCAAAAGTCTTTTGATATGGTCAACTGCTCAAAGGAATAATGTCAAAGAAAGTTCTGTAAATTTTTTAAAAAGTTACCTGCCAAATGTCACAGACATACTTTCAAATTATAGAGGTCCTCTTTTTTACCCTGGATGTTCTAATGACACAGCAGTTTCTGAAAACTTTTATGAACTTGGCTTTGGAGAAGGCATATATCCACGTTCGAGAACTCAGTGCAGCCCTGTCTGAAATTTATTTCGAGGCTGTCTTGCATCTAACTTTTGTCGAGGAGACTTTAGAGACGGTTTTGTTTGCCTCTAAGTGCTCCAACTCATCAGAGCAGATGCCCCTGGGTGCCCACATGGATCTTTATTTTGCATGCCCATCTGTGTGTGTTCCTTCCTCTTTGCCGAGGAGCATTCTTTTCTCAGCGTTACTCCTTTGCCTACAGCAGAGGTATGGAGTTGCCACTCTCCCTCCCTGCTTTCAGAGTGTCCTGTTCTCTGTCCCATTGCCGGCACGAAAGGTTCCTCCCAGCTCAACTACTCAGCACTATTTTGATTTTTATGTCTAGCTTGCTGTTACAAGACCAACTGGCTTTTTGAGAATGGGAGCTTAAATCCAGCCTCGGTGTGGTAAGCGTGTTTGACCTACAAAAACGGTGGTGGGCTAAGCCGCCTCCTCCCCACACACAGTGCTGTGTGTGACTCATGGCTACCCAGAGGACACTGATTAAGATAAAGGTCATTCAGGTTTTCAAAGCAGCCTGTTAATTGTTGTTTTTTTTTAAAAAAAAAATACCAAAGCTGTTTTAGTTTTACAGCGATCAAAAGGATTTTGTAATCATACTAAGAGAGCACATACAACTTTTCATCTTTGAGATGCTTAAAAACATTAATTAATAAGAGCACAGTACCTTTTAGAAAAAGGAAAGGGCTTGTTGTCTTGACATGCCCCGTTGCCTCCTTCCCACCTTCCTGCTGGTTTTTGACACACCCTCATGACCCTTTTTCTCTGCAGTATATCTGGGCTTCTCATCTTTCCGTGACATGTAAGATTACATCTCCGAATAGAGGCTCATTGGCATTTTTCTCTTGGCATAATGTCTATGTCGTCCCATTGGGCATCTTGTCTAGAGAAATCTGGGCTGTCAGGGAGTCACACATCCAAGGAGACAGCACCATTTCAGTGGAAATCCAAGCTGAAATGATATCCTCCCATACCACAAGGGTTCCCTGAGGCCCTGAGATGGATATTGGTGAAATTGAGTAAGATATTGTAAGTTGGGCATCAGCATATTGCTGCTTAACTCACTGCAGCCACTCAGTTTATTGTAGGTGTTCTTTTTTTTTTTTTTCCAAGACAGTCTCTCTCTGTCGCCCAGGCTGGAGTGCGGTGGCACAATCTCAGCCCACTGCAACCTCCGCCTCCCAGTTTCAAGCAATTTTTGTGCCTCAACCTCCAGAGTAGCTAGGACTACGGCACACACCACTGCGCTCAGCTAATTTTTGTGTTTTTTGGTAGAGATGGGTTTTTGCCATGTTGGCCAGGCTGGTCTCAAACTCCAGACCTGCCTCAGCCTCCGAAAGTGCTGGGATTACAGGCGCGAGCCACTGTGCCTGGCTTTGGCCTAGGTGTTCTTAATCTGACACTGCTTCTCCTCTCCCTGGCCACCAAGCTCAGTTTCAGGGCAGGCCAAATGAGTCAGCTGGTAACAGAGACAAGACCGGCTAGTGGGATTTGACTGCCAATGTGATTCTGTGACTGTTAATGGGTCTTCTGGGTCCAGTCCCATCAGCAGTTGCCACCTGAACCAAGGACCTGCATTAGCCAGGAGAAGAGCACCTCAGGTGAGGCAGTGCCGAGGGCCGGTGACCACCAGACCACAGGCTCAGAAACGAGGTTGGGCTGGCTGCACCACGATGCTGCTGCCTGTCAGCCATGTCACCACGTGACCTGCCTTTCCTGGGTGCTGCGTTTTCCCATCTCTGAAGCAGTTATCCCTCACCTGGAGTTGTGAAAATGAAACGAGACACGTACCGCTGTTAGCACAAAGCCTGGCACCAGAAACATTCACCTTCATGACGAATGATGGGAAGTGCAGGGGGAAACTGCCCAGTGGGGGAATAATCGCTTTTTTATTCTTTTCTAAAGGCACTCACTTGGAAAGCAGAACAAGATTAGTTACTACATTTTATAAATTCCTTTTTAGGAAAACAATGAACCTTGAAAAGTGAAAACAGTAACTGATTCAAAGTACTTTTACCCTTTGGGAAAGAGAGCAGAATGGCAGGTGCCGACGCCGGTGTGGTGTTAGTAAGGGCAATATACTTTTCACTTTGTATACTTTTCATTATTTTCCAAATTTTCAACAATGAGCCGTTATTACATGGATAAGAGGGGGAAAGTAAGGAAACACCAAATGCCCAAAGTACTTAGATTGTGACTCTCTCAAAGTACTTAGATTGTGACTTCATGCCCCCCACCTTCCCGCTACTGATCCCCAAGGGAGTAGGGGCTGACAGAGGCCACTGGGGCTGCCTTTCCCCGGGGCCACCTCCTCTGAGTCTGTTGCAACCAGAGGCCTTGATGTGCAGCTGGCAACATGGAATCAAAGGGGAGGAGGCCCTCACTCTGCCACAGGCCCCTCTGGCCTTCGCCTTGACCTTGAGACAAATGAGCACCAAGTCAGGTCGAACAATCTCCTTAAAGGAATAGGGCTATTTATAAACAAGATACTGTTATGAACTCCCTTTGCCTGTGAAGGAACTTCCTCCCTAGGGGTGAGCTGCATGGGGGCAGGGGCTGCTGCATCTCATCAATCAGTATCAGCCATTGGTACTGGCCAAATGGGCGTGTTTTCAGGCCATATTTATTAAGACACAGGATGTGCTGGGCTCCTTGCTAAACCATGTTTATACCCATTTGCTTCTTAGTGCAGCACTGTAAGCTGAGTGCCCGTACCTCCATCTTACGGATAAGGAAAATGAGGAAAATGAGGCACAGAGACGTGCACACCTAGCCCCAGACCACACAGCATGTAGAACTGATTAGAATCAGAGTCTGACTCCAGGACCCTGGCTTTAAGCACCCTTCTCAATGGGTTCCCTTGATGAAGCCTGATTCACTGGTAGTGAATTGGGATCAAGAACATGAGGGTGGGAGCTCATTCTCCCTGGGTGCTTTTCCATGCCCTCCAAGGCTTGCCCAGGCCTGGCACAGAGCCTGAGAAATATTAGGTGTCCAACAGTATTTTGGATTGTGTAGGTGAACAAATGAGTGAATGAGGGAAAGAATGGATGAGTGAGTGAAGGAATGAAGTGCCCTGTGGCCATTGGTCCTTATCTCTTGCATATGGAGGAGTAAGGCGTACCTACATCCCTTCTCCTGAAATGGTCCCTTGAGCCTTGGGGAGGAGAGAAGACACAGGGCTTCAGAGGAAGTGGTAAAGGTCTTCACCAGCTGAGGACTGCGGCTGCCTGGGAGAGAAACATCTGCCCCAGATAATCGCTGGCTGTCAGCCCTCGGTCACACCCCATGTCCAGATGGCATTAGCTTTGGGCAAAGTTTCTTCCTCTCCCACCCCATCCCCTTCCTTCCTGTTGGCAGCATGGAGTGGCACATATAGATTATCAATTATTAGCACACACAATATTTGTTCCACAGAGGCTGCATGGATGTGTACAGCTGATTTCCTCTGGCCTTTCCCAGAACACAGAAAGAGCAAAGGGTTTTTGTTTTATTTAAATCAACATGGTCATCATCTTGGCCCAGCCCACTGTGCTTCCAAAGTCAGTCTCTAGGTAACGCAAAGGGGTGCTGGTATCCAGACCATTAAATATGGCCAGGAAGGCTCTGTGCTGCAGGCAAGTCCTGGTTCCAGCTTGCTCCTCGGATGAGTGCCCTCTCGTCCCATCCTGCTAGGCCAAGGGCTTGTTTGTGTGTTCCCCACATCTGGCCTTTATTTGAAACTCCACCTCGAAGTATTTCATAGCACAGAATATCTTTCCTTATTAAACTCTCCCCCACAGATTTTTTTCGTAAAACAGGCACCAAAAACTACAAACCTACCTGTGGCTCTCAAAGTATCTGTTTATAAACCTTTGGAAACCGTTTGCAATTAGTTAATCACATTTTCAAAGGAAGTTACAGATTATAGATACACTAACAAATGCCATACACGATGCTTAGGCCCCGGTAACCAACTCCTCACGCAGAAGAAGAAGAAGTGGTGGAGCCGAGGGACCTGGGATTTGTCCCCTTTTAAAACTGCATGGGAGAAGGGAGATTGGGCATGGGAGTTGGACATATGAGAATTTAGTTCTTTTTCTGTCACTCATGGGGGTGAGGGGCGAGGGGGAGTAGGCAAGGAGAAATCAACTGTGCCCAGACGCAATCGTGTATCTTGGAAAACAGTGAGGCATTTTATAAATCACATGTTCCTCAATAATCATGGAAGCACCAGTGTTTGTGAATACTTCACATAACATGTACTTTAAAAGCCATTCATTTGAAAAGAAAAAAATAAAGGAACTAAATATATACAAGTTGGAATTCTGTTGACTACTCAATGCTTAAGATCTAAGCCAGCTTTAAAAAAAAAAAAAAGGCCTTTAAAAGGGAAGGGGGATAATATGGAGATAAAGTATTGATACATGAAACATCCAAGGATTTCAGGTACAGCCTGATCCAGGTGCACACACCACCTTTTCAGGACTCTCTTC
Organism: Homo sapiens; assembly: GCF_000001405.40. Taxonomy (NCBI): domain Eukaryota; kingdom Metazoa; phylum Chordata; class Mammalia; order Primates; family Hominidae; genus Homo; species Homo sapiens. The sequence continues at coordinate 54,867,659 of NC_000003.12, forward strand.
ATATCTTTTCTCTGCTTTCCCTGCACTGGCTTCATGCCCAGGAAGACTCTCTCCAAGTAGTGGCAGAGATGGCCATGAGCTATTCCAAGCTCCCATCCTGGCACCTTAGCAACTCCTCTTTTCCTGGATAAATCCAGGAATGCATCCCAAATTGAATCTCTTGAATCTCATTTGAATTTGCGTGGGTTATGTACCCACCTCTGAACCAGTGACATCCTGGAGCGATGTGGGCCTCCCCCACTGATCAGGCCACATGAAGGATGGTTGTACCTTCACTAGAATTATGCTTAATGGGAGTGGTGCCCAAGGAGTTCCCTACAGGAAAACCGAGGTGATTAACCTGGAAAACATGGGGAATGGGTGGTGGCAGGCCAAAGCATGGGAACCTTCCTAATGGAGTGCCACTCTCTGGCCTTTTAATGTAGTTTCTTAGTAGGGGAAAAGAGGTAGGTGGATTTAGGCTTAGTACATTAGAGTTGTCTCATAGCTCTTGGCCTGTTATATCTATGCAACAGCCCACTGACTTTTCCTTTTCTCACTCAAATTAATCACTCTGCTGCATGACTGTTTATATTCTAAAGGAGCTTATTCTCTAAAAAAGACCCAAATGAAAAGTGTTTCATACCCATTTTACGTACCTGGCTAAGCAGACATTGTAGAAGGGCATTCTTAAACAGTGTTCCAGAGGAAGTATCCCTACCCCCGATCTGTATCTTGCCATGAAATTAGACTATAGAGACTTGCTGGAATATGGTGGCTCATGGGCTAGTATGATGGGAAATCTTTTATTCCATCACTCTCTAATCATTCCAAGTATCTTGAATACCTTTTTGGTGAAATATACTGTATTTATTGAGAGATTATAAAAAACGAATAAAGACATTTGGGGAGGATCAGAAGTCAAGAATTCTCTGCTGATTCCACCTTTGCCAAATACCATCTAAAATGACTTGGGTTCTTTAGCGCAGGTATGAATTTTCGGCCAGGAGAGTCTTCAGTTCAAACTTGTAAGCTCCACACCAAGCAGAGACATATGAATGTGATTGTCTGACACCATCATAGTCAACAAACAGCTTCTGTCTGCCTATGGTTTGCAGAATGGTGACCAGTAAAATTATTGAATGGTCTTCTTCATTTCAGGAAAATGAGATATTAGCCAATTTTATTCAATGAGCCTGTGTCATTCCACAAAATGCATGACTCTCAGGAATCTTGCTAGCTGAATATTAAAATATTTTACTGTGCCTGGGAATGTGTTTGCCATTTTACATACAATATTTCATTTAATACTCTCAACCTTTCTTTGCCATGGAGGTGCTATTGTTTTTACCCATTTTGTAACTGACGAAGGAAGCTTGGAGTAGCTGGATACCTGGCTCAGGATCACACACCCAATGTGATGTGAGTGGTGTGACACGGCAGAGCCACTGTGACCTTCTCCTCTGAAAAAGACACGTGGACACTTTTTTTGAGGACGAAGGAACATTTGTTGCTCTGGAGCTTGTAGTCTTTTTTCAAAGCTCTTTAACAGTGGTTGAAATAACATGAGGCTTAGACATGAAAATTTGACAGAGGCTGGTGTTGGGTGGGGTGTCCTCTACCATACAAGCTATGCGATCTTATTTAACTTGTGATTTAATTTATTTAACTTGTGAGAACCTGTTTTCCCAAATGCATTATGGGCAATAAATTGACCTTAAAGAAGCAGAATTAAGAAGGATAAACCACAAGTAAGTCCTTGGGAAAGAGTGAAGCACTGTTTAATTGACTTTGTATCTTTAGTGCCTTGCACTTAGTAGTAGGTATACAATAAATGTGCATTGAATAAATGAATAAAGAAGCACTTTGAAGTGACCAAAGAAAGAACTTCCTCAAAATAGACAGTTTAGATCCAGTATCAGGCTACCCAAGAAATTACGAAAGTTCTGCATGTGAAGTTCAGGATCTGGGCTGTGTGAGTTTCTGGGGTACCTAATAGTTCTCAGTAATGGTTCTTAGGTAACAGAGGTCCAGAACGACTGTCTGACTCTAAGTCCTCAGGGGGACACTACTATCCCTGCCCCGCACTCCTCCACACTGAGGGGCAAGGCACCGCTGCTGACAACTCCGGTTGACCTCGTTGCTGTTCTTTTCTGTTCAGCCCAAGACTGCATCTCACAAGGACCAGGGCTTCCATGCACACAGGAACTTTCCTTAACAAGATCCAACTGCTAATCTGCTATTGTTTACAGTGGCTTCTGAGGGAACCACTTTCCTTCCCCTTCATCTGGAGTGGATCTGATGTCATAAAACTGACCGTGAATGTCTGTTAATTGAAAACCTAAGAGTAGTGGGGTGGGCTCACCGTTGATCAGGGTGGTAAGAGCCCACTGGCCATAGGAGGCTAGGCACCATCCTAGGTAGTGGTGAGGAGGGGGAGTCTCCAGAGAGGTCGCAGAGTTCCTGAAATGCAGTTGACAGGTAAGAAAAGAGTGCATGCGTGGACACTTGGCCCTGTTTGGCACCACAGTGGTGCAAGATCGACCCCTTCTGGCCCTCCCCTCATCCCACTGGGGGTCAGTTTACACTTGTCTGGTTCAACATATGGGTGGCAGTTTTCTCCTTCATGCCCAGTATGGCCTCAGCACCTGTCTCCATAGTAGCTGATCAGTGTCAAAAATGGCAACCTATGGTTTTGGGGTCTTAAAACACTTAGACTGACCCTGCATCTCACTTAGAACCTTCCAGTTAAATCAAAAGATGACCAAGCTGGAGAGAAAAGTGAAAAAGAAAGCAGTATACATGCATATATATTTTTCCAATGTGCCATTAACCGTAACTGATGAACGTGTAAAGGGGTTGCTAATCCTTAGCCTGCAGCAGAGGGCAGACTTTCCTACATTATAAACACCCCACAACCAGCATGAAAGGCCTCAAGACACAAGAATGTCCAGACACAAGAACGTCCGGTCGATAAAATGGTAGGCTTGCAGGGTGACTAACACCAGTGATTTAGGGGAGAAAACTAAAACCACTTCCCCAGTTATTCATGCACTCATCAGCTTTTCCGGAGAAATGCCCTAACAGCCATTACATCTGGCTATGATTCCCAATACCCTCATCTACTCCAGGTAAAGGAGCCATGCTTAGTTCAGTACTGCTGTGGCCAGTGTGACAGCGAATAGATGGTTCTGTGTGTCTGCAAAATGCCACCAGTATGCTGAGCCCAGCCCCAGCTCTGGAGATCAGTGCTTTTGCTTCCTAGCTAAGGAGTACGGGTAGGTTTGAGACAAAAGGTAGAGGAGAGAGAATTATAAAGTATAGGGGGATATGACTAGATTCTTTGGTAAATGTAAGTAAGAAGCCCTTTCTCGTATCACGGACTGAGTTTTAGCAGCTTTGGGATACACACACACACACACACACACACACACACACACACACACACACACACACCATTCAATGGGAAGACAAATCCAACTGCTAACTAGTCTGCTATGATTTACAGAATTTACATTGTTTACATGTATACCATATAGGTGGAGACACACACACACACACACACACACACACACACACACACACACCCCCCATTCAAGGAGGGGACAGATTTTCCTTTGCATCTGGTGTTTTGGAAACCAAGAAGTCTACAAGGTAAATTCATATCAAGCAAAGAGTTAACTTTTCTACTCCCAACTTGGAGCCAATGTTTAGAGGCATCTGACCTTGGCTTTCCTGTCATTAAAAGTCCCTAGGACTGTCACCCTGCTGGGCTTCTCACCCTCATCGGTCCACTCCCAAGCCCTGTCCATGAAACAGGACTTGGGAAGGTAAAGATTGCCCTGGCTGATGACTTCACGGACTTTTGTTTTTCTTTTCTTTTTCTTCTTCCCCTTGCTAGTACGAAGAAGGAAAAAAGCGAAGGAAACCTAACTATAGTAGCGTTGACCTCTCTGAGGTGGAGTGGGAAGACCGAGATGACGTGGTAAGTGATTTGTTTTCAGGCCTCGTGGAGAAGGACCTGCATTGTACCCACTTCTGTACCTGGGGGCGATCCCAGGAGTTGGCCAAGAGGCCCACTGAAGGGACACCTGGCTACCAGAGGGACGTGGAGACAAGGGGCCTTTGTACCATGTGTGGAGTTTTATAACTCTTCAGCCGGTCAGTCGGACCAGTTGCAGACAGGCCAGCCACCCCAGCTGCTTGTGCAGTCTACTAAAACCATCCCCCTGCGGACGCTGGTCCCCTCTGCAGCTGATGACTCCAGCCTTCTTCCCAGTACAGTGGATGGCCCCTGACATCTTCAGTGGAACCTGGCTGGGCAACAGCAGGCTCTGCCTGGTGCAAAGTCAGGGTGCCTGCAGGCCAAGCAGGCAGGTTCCTGGGCAGCAAGAATTCACCTGTCAGGACCTCATTGGCACAGCCCTTGTTTTCAGAGTACAGCCCAGGGCTCTGCAGGCTCACTTTTCTCCTGCTTGGTCGGCTGCCCATTTCCTGTACCTTCCCAGCCTTTCATTCTGCTCTGGCCTTGCTGCAATTGCACCCCATGCTTTTTCCCCACGTAGATTCAGCCTATGGTGCTCTATCAAAAGCTCTCCTTATACCCATGACTTAACCCTGTCAGGTCTTCTTGGTACTTCCTCAATAAATCAGATTTCTTAGACACGGCTGCCTTTGTGTGAATCCAGGTGGACTCTCCTTAATTAAATCATAACTTCCCAGGTGTTTCCATCTGGGTCCCTACTCTTCCCTTTTTCTAAGAGTGTGTCTGTGCTGAGGCCACGTTTCTCTGCCCTACCCTCCCAGATTCGTCTAGGGTCCTTTCTTAAGTTCCACTGTTGAGTTGGCGTTGTTTCCATCTCTCACTGCATCCTGCTCTCCAAAGGGATGTTGAGGAGAACCATTTGAAAGCCCAGCCTGGGTTCTCATGCCTTCCAGAACAGGGGGCCAGCATCACAGTGCTTCCGCTGCAGCTTTCCTTCTTTCCACACGCTCTGCACTTTGTCACCAGCTCAACTAGCATAAATCTCTCATTTTCATCCTTGCTGGTAAAATGTGAGAGCCATACCTGTTTTAGAAACTTAGCCTCTTTTCTTCTTCATCTGCTCTAAGTCTACTTAAACCCAAGTTTAGACAAAATAACTTTGCCATTTGATAAAAGCTCCTTCCTCCTCCATACCCTTTTCCCCGCAAGCCAATGAGCTGACATAGTGTCAGCTCAATAGCATGGTCGAGTTTTCTATCTTCTTATTCCTTAAACACTGTCACAAGGATCCGGTCAGTTCTTAGGACTGTCCTGCACCTAATGTGCCCACCCTGGCTTAGCGCAATTGTGAGGAGTGCCACTCAGGTTTTAGACTCCTGCCAGGTTCAAATCCCGCCTTCTCTGCTTGCCGGATGTTTGTCTTGGGTGAGTGATTATGCCTCTCTAGACTTCAGTTTTATTTTGTGTTCTTTGTTTTATTTTTCCCCAAGAAAATGAGTGTGATGGCAGTTGTCCCCACCTCATAGAGCTGTTCTGAGGATTAAATGGATTAATAGATTGAAAAACAGAGAAGTACTTGCACTGTTCTGGGGAGTAAGTAAGCATTCTACAAGTGGTAGCCATTGTTAGTATTATTCTGACCTCCTCAGTCCTCAGGGGACCCTGTCATGAATGAATGTCCTGTGGATTTACAGTTGCTAGGAATCTTTGGAGGGGACTTTCCATTGTTGCCCTTCCTCTTCCTTCTTCACTTTATCTGTTGATTTATTTTTTTTGTTGTTTGCTTGTTTGTGACCTCACTGAATCGTCTCCCTTTTTGCATGCTACTTGAAGAGATGTATGACTCAGCTCACTCCAGTCATCACCTGTGCCCCAGCTAATTTTCAGTGAGCGAATGTCTCCTTTAGTAATCACAGTTTGGGAACACTTTGTATCTCCTCATCCTACTTTGCTTTCTCGTTGGAGCTGCAGGCATTGGATTCGCAGCCTCACGTGTGTGTTCTTCACCTCCACATGACACCCAGGACTGCGTTCTGTCTGTCCAACTTCAGAGTTGGACATCTCAAGCAAGTCCAGTGCTTTTGTTCTGCACAAATTGTTCTCTGGTTACGTCTTTGGTTTGAGTCTCTTAACTTGTCGCCTTGGAATATGGTGCATTTGGAATGTGAATTCCTTCTCTATCAACATATTTGACTTGGGAAAACCCAAACCACCATTTCTCTCCTGGGGATTTGCATGTCACTAATTGGAGAATTCTGGAATCTACAGAAAGCATCATTGTGAAGTCTGCACAAAATCTTACATATCCATGTGCTGGGCCTTGGGATTTGCACCTGAGTAGCAGAGGACAGGGTTTAGGTTGAAATCTAGGAAAGAACATGTAAGCACAGCCCACTGAGGAAGAAGCAGTAGAGTCTGCCCAGATGCAGAGAATTTCTTGGAAGGTGAGTTCTACTTCTCTAGGAAGTAGGCTCCTGAATTTAGTAACCACAGTTATAACCTGCATACTTCCAAAAATGAAGTAAGTTCATATATACTGTTACAATGTATATAAAATAGACTGGCTAAAATTAAAAGAAAAAAAGACAACAATTTAAAACTATTTATAGCAGTATGAGCAGGACTTCTGTCCCACTCTGCAGGATGAGTTAGGCATCAGGGCAGGAATACAATAAGTAGGGCAGATCTTTGGCGGACCCGTGTGCCAGCAGGGGATTTTGAGACATGCATAGCCCAGTCTGAATTGCCAGTGTAGATCCCCTCTGGGAAGGGAAAATTATCTTAAAAATAGCGTTTATCCTTTGGTTATAAATTCTCAGAGATGGCACAAGGAATTGAGGGTGATTTTTTTGTTTTGTTCCTATTAACTTCCAGTCATTCCCAAGCTTTCCACATTGAATGTGATTATTAATAGAAAAAAACTCATAAAAATAATAACTGCCATATATTAGCTCTTCCTGTACACCAGTACCATTCTAAGTTCATGAGTGAACTTATTTATTTATCACAGTGAACCTATGAAATGGGTGTTTTATCTCCATTGTACAGGTGAGGAAACTGAGGCAGAGAATGGATGTAATGGCCTAAGGACATAGAGTGTGGATTCCAACTCAGGCAGCCTGGCCCACAGAGCCGTGGTCTTGACACTTGGATATTCCATGGAGAGAGCCCTTAAGTCCTTGAGTCCAGGAGTCCTTGAAGACTCTATTTCAGTGACGCATAGTATATGGGTTATCCTCCTCGGGGGGTGCAGAAAAGATAGGGAGTGCCTTGCACATAGTAGCTGCTAAACAGATGTTTGTCTGCATGGTATTGTTGTGAGTACTGCCCCATAGATGCTGCTTTGAATCTAACTACAATCCCTTCTGTTGTGGTAAAAGCCTTTTTTCCCCTACTACCCTCTAGGCAACTACATTGCTTCATACCCATGATGACTCTGATGGAAAATTTCTCCGGAGTCTTTTTTGCCCGAAGCCCTATAAGGCAAAAAAGCCTTTTTCATGGGACATATTTCTGAGACCTTAGTCCATTTATTTGATTCTTTTTTATACCCTTCCCAGAGTGTCTCTCCAGCTCATGCTTGAGCTCTGGACACCCAAACTAAGCACAGCACTCCCCCACCCCCTCCAAACCCAAACTGACACATAGGGGAGGAGGAAGAGAGAGAGAATGTTTTGCAGGTTCTCCATGCTCAAGTCTGTTTTCCTACGCTGGTTGAATGCTTGCTTGGGAATGACAGACCTGTTTATCCACTGTGTCTCCCTTCCTCTTTAAACTGCCAGCTTGTCTGTGGTTGCATGTCATTAGGGGCTTAGAAATGCAGGCTGCCTGTGCACCAGAAAAGGTGAGGCTCACGTTCTAATGTGGACAATGAGCCACCATTAGGAGCACGAGCTATCATTCCATAATCATACACACAACTTAAGGTGGCCAGTGAATCTCTGGGGAAAGCTTCCTTAATGAACTGTAACATGGCTGGTCAGAGTAGCAGACTAACAATGAAACAGGAAACGTGGCTTCCACCTGTAACGAGGTTGGCAGGAAAGTGGGTGCTTTGAGTGGTTATCCAAGGAGCTTCTGCTTCAGCACTGCAGAAGAGAGACACATTCACCAGGGGCTCTGGAGAAGCACATCTGAACTGGACAATGCAGGGCCCAGGGGAAAGGGTGGTTCCCAGAGAGCGGAGAGGCTGATCACTGTCGCCAGATGAGTATTTTCAGCTTGAGGAGATTTTACCTTTTATTTTATTGAGTACACTGTGGTACAAGCTGCTTTAATGTCCATTGCATTACCACACTTGCGAATGCTTGATATCTGATATGGAAAAATCAAGGTATGCCACTGATGTTTTAATTTGCCTTTCTCTGACTATGTGTTAAGTTGAACAGCTGCACATGGGTTTTTTAATGACTACATAATATGCTAACATATGGGCACATCAAAACTTGTTTGGAAATTTTCCTCCGCCAGGCCATTTGCATTTTTCCAGTTGTTCACTGTTGTAAATCCAAGCAGTGGCAAGTTCAAAGCAGTGAACATCTTGCCCTCCCCGCCTTAGGTGGGGACTGATTGCATTGCTCTTCCCCATCACTTTGGCCTGTGCTTAGGACTCCTCTGCCGTCTTACAACCTAGGGGTGCCACTCACTGTGATTCTGGGCAAGTTGCTCCTCTTCTCAAGCCGCAGCTTCCTAAGATAAAAAAGTGACATTTCTAGAATGTTCCAGCCTCACAGTGCTGTATTCTCACAGGGCAGTCTATTAAGTCATCAAACTCCCTTTCCTCCTCTGGCAAGGAGGACAGAAAGCCACCTTCCTGTCAACCCTAGATCATAGTACTTAGAGCTCGTAGAAGAGTCTGCCAGGAAGTTAGGACCTCAGACTATGACGTGGTCAATTGTTAAAACATTTTATTTGATTTTTAAAAACTCAGAAATAATATATGATTTTTATATTAATGCTATAAAGTATTTAATGTTGTCCAAGTGCTTTCTCTTCTGATTTGGGAAGCAGAGGTTAAGAGCATGGGCTCAAGAGGCAGAGGCCTCGTTACCCTGGGCAAACTTCTTATCTGTGCCTATTTCTCCACCTGTAAAATGGAGATAATAACAGCACCTCAGAAGATAAGTTTGAGGGGTTTAAAATCTGTGCCTGACACACAGTAAGAGCTCAGTAAGAACTCAGTAAACAGTATCTCTCAGTAGTATCCGAATTTCATAGGAATCTGATGACCTCCCTTTTTATAGCCCCTGACAGGATCCCTGGGATCTGGGAGTCCTCACTCATGAACACTTTAGACAGAATGAATGAAACAGGAAGAAAGTGAGCCACAGAGAGGTCACGGGACAGCTGGCTTGTGTCAGTGGCAAAACTTGAACATCGATATCGTGGTTTACCTCTTTACCTGGGGCTGTCTCCTTTTCGGTCTATGTAAACCTACAGGCAGTTAAGAGCAGCAGTTTTCAATGTGGGGAGTTGGAGGAGAGGTCACAAAATCCATTTAGTGGTTCATGAGCAACATAGCAACGAAATCTACTAAAATAGGAGATAGAGAGGGGCTCATCAGAGTAAGATGTATTTCTTACATGGCTCAAAGTCAAAACAGTTTGGAAAACATTGAGCTTGGGCATCTGCCTCAAGCAAACTCAAGTCCGAATCCTGATGCTTTAAGCTACTGAAAGGTGTCTGACACTAAGTGAAAATGAGCAAGATGGTAATGAGGATGACGATGATACAGATACTGTTGACTGTGGTGTTGATGATGATGGAGGATAGCTAGCATGTATTGAGTGCTTGGGAGGCACCAGACACTCTTCTAAATATTGACTCGTCAGTCTTCACTACAACTTAATGGGATGGGTGCTGGCATTAGTTCCATTTTTCAGAAGAGGAAGCTGAGTCACAGAGATGGTAAGTGATCGAGATACCCAAGATCATAAAGCTCTGGCTCCAGAGTCCATTCCTTAACTACAGTGCCATCCTGCTTCACTAGTAGGTTCAATAAGTATAACCTGTTTTTGTTATGATTTAAGACAAGGGCAAGACTAAAGGAGGCATCAGTGACCCTGGCCTTGGACACTCCCAGACCCCCATGTTGATTGTTCTGTGCTACTGGGAGTTGGGGGTGGGGTGGCATGGAGACACAGCGAGGCTTACCTAATCTCTAGTTTGCCTGGGGAATGTGAGAGGAGAAGGTCCCAAATGGCTTTAGGCAGGCACCAGAAAGAGGAAAAATGAAAACCATGTTAAAGATAAATCGAGCCGTTCTTAAAAGTTAGAAAGTAGACTTAATTAGGACCAGCTCTCCCTGTCCAAAACCACAAAAGTTAAAATGGGAAAATATTTCCAGAAATGCCTATTATGTGTTGTTAAAAAAATATCTAGAGTAAAATATATGTTTTATTTTATACATGCCTCCAGCTAAAAATTATGCCTTTACTCACTCACACAGAAGATGAGAATGCAAACCCAAATCTAGACAGCCTCGAATCAAATTTAGGTTGCTTGCTAGTGTTGCAGTTTTCTATCGGCCAGATCTTACTCAAGCTCCTCAAAGGAGAAAAGAGGGGAAAAGATGAAAAAGACAAGAGAGGGGTGGGGAGAGAGCCTTTCCTGACAGGCTGTGGCATGTCAGCGTTTGCTCCTATTCCATTAACTGGCCTTCTCTGTCGTCTTGCCTTGGTGCCCATGACGGCACATCTTTCATCACTGCGTCTGCTGTCCTCCTCTGAACTCATGGAAGGGCCACATGTAATTAGATGAGGTCAGCTGGGGGTGGGGGAGGAGAGCCAGGCTCGCTGCTCCTAAACAGGACCTCCAAAAAATCAGATACAGGGTCGCTCCTGTTCACTGCCTCATCAGCAAGGTCATTAATTGGCCCAGATTTCTCAGAGAGCATTTAAAGATGATTCATCTTAGGAAAGGCTAACCCCTGTCTTCCAAATGCTTGGCCTTTTTTTTTTTTTTTCTTCTTCTTTTTAACTACTGTGTAGGAAAACGTCTTTAACTTGATTACGTTTTGAAAAGTGATTTCTCCATGACAAATCAGTACCCTTTTTGAAAACGTACCTTGTCCCCAGAGACGTTCTTGCTCGGCATTTCAGCGGGTCTCCAGGAGTTCACGCTCTGACCCCCGGGATTCATCAGTATCGCCAAGGCTCTTTTGTTATTGTCCTGAAGTTTACACGAGCTCCCCAAATTAAAGATGAAGGTCATTTATTTATTGTTGTTAGCCTGTCTCCCATTGTACATGAGCAGTTGGGTGTTTTATTCTTCAGAAGCTCTGTTTTCGAGGTGTAAGTTCAATATGGAGGCTCCACTGCACGCTGAGGATGCAAGATGTCCAGATTACATGATAACCCAGGGAAGAACTAACACACTTTTCTTTTATCATTTTAGTTGAGAAATGCTATGGTGAATCGAAAGACGGGGAAGTTTTCCATGGAGGTGAAGAAGACAGTGGACAAAGGGGTACATTTTTCTCAAACATTTTTGCTGCTTAATTTAAAACAAACCACTGTGAAAAATTAGCTTTGAAAGCTATATCTGGAATAAATATCTTTCGCTGAGATCATTTTTCTCTTGTCTTTACTTATCTCAAACAAGATTCATGTAGTACTGTTAACCTGATCATAGTGTGTCCATTTATTTTTATTTATTTCTGAAGACGTCACTTAGCAGACTAACCATGTTTTCTTTTCTCTACGACTTTTTTTTTTTTTTCAATCTAGAAACGGGTTTTGGTGATGACAAATGACTACTATTATACAGACATCAAGGGTACTCCTTTCAGGTAGAGCTGACCATAATACATGGACATTCCATCAGACCCATCAGTTGTGTTTGTACAAAACCTGCTGACACTCTCAGAGCTCATCATCTGAAGATAACCAAACACCCTGCCAAAAGGCTGGAAAGAGTGAGGAAGGGGCTTTTCCCAGGCTGCTTTTGTTTTCCAGAAGGGGGGGAGATGGTTCAGGCTCACCTAGGAGAACTCACTCAATCTGCCATGGCTTTGCATCTCATTGTCAAGCAAATATGCTTTGGGGGTTCCCGCTAAGGGTGAAGACAAGTGCAGAGGGTTACCAGGGTCCTTAACTATTGAACTTGCTGCTTTGTGAGTTCCATTTCACCTTTTATTTCCATGACCAAAAAAACAATCCTTCAAACCTGGAGGTGGCATATCCATTCCTACATGTTGTGCCTCTGTTTCCATTTCTCTGAACTGTCCTTGTGTGCTTGTCTACTTTTGAATCCTGTTGTTTCTCTTTGTAACAGTCCTGAAAAATGGCTTTGCCTCATTGGCTGCTTTCAGATGTGTATGTAGCATTCTAAAGTTTCCCACTACTATTAACTTAGTGTTGTAATTCATTTTGTAAAAAATTATTTCAGTAAGCCTGCTTCATATTCCTGAACTGGCGTCTCAGAGCTAAGGAGAGAAGGAGTTTACTGACTGTAGAATAATCTGAAAAATAAATTCTAGCATTGTTGTCCTAAACTGCCAAGGATCATGGGTGGATTCCATGTGGAACCAGGAGCAAATAAGGACCACATGAGCTGCTAAGTGGGTTTGCCAAATAGTCTCTCTAACGTAAGGGACTATGTTTTAAAAACATAGTCTCTTGCTTTTGATAAAAACGGAATGGATCTTAAATCAAGCCAGTGAGTGTGAAAAACCTATTAGACTAGGGAGAGGATTGGGCAAAGAAGCCTGCAACACAGTAATGTGGTTACACTCATGTAGTAGTGGAAGTTTTTGTTTTTGCCCTTGAGCAGGGGTCAATTTCCCGAGTCCCAAAGTCTAGGGGCTGGAGAGACCCATCTCTGGCTGAATGCAGGACAAGGGTGTATAAAGAGCAGGGCTCATGGTCCTTGGGAGGGCATCTGAGAGAAGGGCTTGCTGGAAGGGCGAGCAGTTTGCCACAACTCTGAAAACACAAAGAGTAGCCAATTGCTGCTGGCATTTCTGATCAGAAGTTACTTTGAAGCAGCTGATTGAACCTAAGAAAAACCAACACCAGTGATAATCAGTGGGGTTTTGAAAGTAAACAGTTGGAAAAATTGTTGACAGATCATAAAATGGAAATGTGAAAAATGGAAAATTAAAAAATGTTAGCCCACAAGTCTATTCGAGTCGATGCCAGGGATTTCAAGATTTGCTTTGTCTCTCTGCACAGTTTAGGTGTGGCGCTTTCCAGAGGTCATGGGAAATATTTCTTCCGAGGGAATGTAACCATCGAAGAAGGTAAGATACTGCCTGGCTCGTCTTATCCTTTGGTGTGGGAGGAAAGCTCGGGAGCTAGCTACTGAGTTAGCTGAAGAACTTGTTCATCTGTCCGCACCTGTGACCAGTCCCTTGGACATTCCACTCAAACGAATGCCTACTTGATAATTCTTAATACCTTTCTTCTTCCCTGGTGTGCCTAGATTTCAGAATGACAGGAGTTCCGATTCATGGTTGTGATTTAATTTACTTATATTCTACTTTCATCCACAAAGCTGTTGACTATGAGTAACTCACAGTCAACAGCATTATGGATGAAAGCAGAGTATCAGTAAATAGGAATCATCCCTCAAGTATATTCTTCTCATACATAAAAATCAGTACTTGGGAGAAATACAAATTTATGAAATAACTCATGCCCAGGGGAAACCATGAAAACAGAGATATGAGAGCCTTAGTCTCTCCTACACAGTTGAGCCACGTATTTCACTTGTGTTTCATGGCAGCCCTGGCCCAAAGGGAAATGTGACCATTTAAATGATTTACATAGGTCAGAGGGAGTAAGTAGCACCTTGAAGTTCCCAGACCCTCTTATCTTCATAAAGCACAGAGGCACAGTAAACTCTCAGTAAACAGGAGCAGTTGTTATAGCTCTTTAAATTTTAAAATTGCTGTCACATGTGCTATCCTTTTCATCTGCCAGCTCCCTAGTAGTTCAGAGAGGTTACCTGTCCCAGCATTAGGAGCTCACAGGGGTGGTGGACATTGTTTCTGAAGGGCACCACTCCCTGAGTGGCCTTGAGTGACTCACTTGCAGGTCATTAGGTTTTGCATGTCCACAGAGGAGGAGTGGGCCCAGAACAGTAGTCTTTCTGGATGTCTTTAGGGAGGACAGCCAGGAATGGGAAGGTCAATTATAAGCAAAGTTTTAATTGGTCGGAACTGATTACACATGTATGTGGTGAGTTTCCAGAAGCTGGGCCATCCATGGCGCCCTCAGATGATGCCACAGGGCGTGAGGAAGGAGATGGATGTTCCCTGAGACGCCAAACCCCTAGATAGCCTCTGATTTACTGCCAGTGGTCCCTGCCCGTGTTGTTTCAGGGATGTTGGTTTGTGCTTCCCAAGTGCTTGTGAGATCGTATAGGGGCAGAAAGGAGAGTAGAGAGGCTCACTGTGAGCTGGGCACAACCCAGAGTGTGCCCACCAAAGAGCTAACCATGTGGTCTCTCTTCCCAGAGACATGCCAGAGAACACAGGCAACTCTGTGACTTGAGCAAGACACTCTGCAGGATGTGTTTTCAGGATCATGTTTTCACTTCTAGAATTTTCTGCCTCTGTGGGCCATGTTGGCTCTGTGGACATCACTGCCCATGAAGCCAGAAAATTCATGTCTAAGCCATGTGAGGTCACGCTGAAGAAACAACTCATGGTCAGAACAATAGGAGAGGTTATTAAGAGATATTAACTGCCTCTCATGCGTCTGCTCCCTTGGTCAATCCTCAATACATGGGCCTGTCCCTCCCTTCCTCTCTCTCTCTCTCTCACACACACATACATACATACATGCATGGAGACACAGATACACACAGTTGTTTTGCATTGTCTTTTGGATTCTTTTTCAGTCACTATCTTCCTGTATGTTCCACAGCTGTGAGGCTAAGCAGTCACAGAGAATTTCAGAGCTAACTGTAACCACTGTGCAAAAAATTAGCTCAAATCCTCAGCAAGGGGGAGAGTGGCTGCTTATCCACCCAAATGAGGTCATATCTTCCTCTCTCTGTTGGTCCTCTGTAAATAAAAAGACTGACAATCCTGCCAGCTTTGCTGAGTAATAGAACTTAAGAAAGCTGCTTCCCCTTGGGCCAAATAGTAGAGGATCTTGTCATCTCTCTAGGAGCCGTGGTGTATTATTGTTCTCTTCTGTTCTTGGAGAGGGAAGGAGTTCCTTGGGGTTGGCAACCATACTTCTATAGGATCTTCAATAAGGAATAACTGCCTACAGAATGTGGGAATTTTCCACATGCTTTGCCAGTGCCAGAGATTACAAAGGCGGCAAATAGGTAGCTTTTGCTAAAAAATATAAAAAGTCATTACCAAGATTGAAGGTGTGGGCTATAATTCTACCTGCTGAAATTGTTTCTCTTATGAATCTTTTAATCTTTTTCAACACTTTGTATCTTTTTGTGTGTGTGTGTGATGGAGTCTTGCTCTGTTGCTGAGGCTGGAGTGCAATGGTGTGATCTCAGCTCACTGCAGCCTCCACCATCTCCTGGGTTCAGGTGATTCTCCTGCCTCAGCCTCCTGAGTAGCTGGGATTACAGGAGCATGCCACCACGCCCAGCTAATTTTTGTATTTTTAGTAGAGACAGGGTTTCACCATGTTGGTTAGACTGGTCTCGAACTCCTGACCTCGTTATCTGCCTTCCTCGGCCTCCGAAAGTGCTGGGGTTACAGGTGTGAGCCACCGCGCCTGGCCACTTTGTATCTTTTATATGTATTGCACATGATAATTGTTCAACAAATTAGAGCTTATGTCATTATTGTCAACAGTTCCAGTCATCAGTGGATATGATTTTTATCAGAAGGACCAATGTCAGAGGTGAGAGAATTAGAAAGCAATTAAATTTCCTTGGTGCCCTAGGAACCCAGAGAAGAAGCAGTCAAAAAGATCTTCCCGATAGATCTCATCTTTTCTGAGTGTCATTTATAGGTCCTGTGAAATAGAGCCAGAGATGATTTTGTAAATGAGGTTGGGAGGATGGGAACTGCAACTAGAAAAAGACTTGACACTCTAAACCCAGTTTTCTGGGAAGGTACAGTCCCTTCTCAGGGCCTTTGCACTTGTTATTCCTTCTGCCATGAGCACCCTTCCTGCCACCTACATGACTCTTCCTTTCCTCATTCAGGTCACTTTCTCAGTGAAGCCTTTCCTGACCTCCATAGTTACAATGGAATCTCTCTCTCTCTCTCTCTCTCTCCTCTCTCTCCCTTCAACCCTCCTTATCTCTTGGTCCTCCCTGTTCTTGTTCCATGTTCTCTTTTCCTTTTTAGCCCTTGCTACCATCTGATATTCTCTAAAGTTAAATTTTAATATAATTTACTATCTCTTTTCTGCCACTAGAAATTAAATACAATGAAGGCAGTAATTTTCGTTTTGTTTTTTCACTGCTATATTCTCAGGGCCTAGAATCATACCTGGCATATAGCAGATGCTCAGTAAAAGTATGGAAGAAAGGAAGGAATGGGAGGAGGGCAAAAGGAAGGAAGGAAAGTTGTTTGGTTGGGAAGAAGGAAAGGAAAAAAAGAAGAAAGGCTGCACAGATAGATGGATTGTACTAGGGACTAATCCCTGTCCCATTTAACTGTTTTCTGGCACTTGTGAGCTATGCAGTATTACTTGTATCTCATGGTAGATATAACTCAAAGAGCTGACATGACATCCCCAAGGTCATTCAGCCTGTAGGTGTTGGAGCGTGGGTATGCCCACTTGGATCATATGCAATGATGTTCATTCTAATGTATTCTCTACTTTCTGTAAAATCAAGCAGAATTGTGTGATAGGTCTAGTATTTTGCTACTTCTTTTATAGATTTGTGTTTGAGATGGAAACTGGAGTCCTGAGTGCAGTAAGATACTATCAGTCATTTAAGAAACTAACTTCCCAAAACAGGCTATAAGCATCATGGGAGTTCCCGAGGTCATCATTCAGAAGTGTATGTCTGCTGATAACCCATTAAGATCAAGCCATGTGAAAGTGCAATGAAACAGTTATCCTTGCAGAGTTAGGATGGTCTGGAACCTTCTATTAAAACTCCCAGATTCCATGCAAGCCCCAGCTCCCCTAGTTTCCTTCCCAGGCGGATGACCGTTTTCACTTAGGATCCTGTAACAACTAGCAATCTTTGCTGCTCAAAAACAGTTGAGTATTGACGACTTCATATTGTTCAACCTATGATTTCACCCTCACAACCACACATCAATTAGGGACTACTATTCCTGCTTTTCACATGAAGAAACTGACGTTTAGAGAAGTAAAATAACCTGTTGACATCACACAGGAGGTCAGTGGCCTAGCCCGGTTCCCAACTTAGACTAAATGGAGCACCAGAGAGAGTGTTTCTAAAGTCCTGTTAAGCTTCTCCCTCCGGACTCATTTGTGTATCCTCTATCTTCAAGGGGTTAAGGTTTTCCTGGGATGAACAGCCAGGGAAGGTGGCAGTGCTGGGCTGAGTGAGGTAGAGATGGGGAGAGAGTCCTGCCTGGAAGGGAACTCGTTTATTTTCCTCAGAAAATAAACCTGCTGCTCCAAGGCAGGTCCCTTAGGGTTGATGTCTACCCTTAACCCACCCCGCAGCCCTACCCTAGAATATTTGAAGCACACAGGAGGACTGGGGGAGTGATACTTATTCATGAACCCCTTCTCCTTGACCCCCAGGCCTGCATGACTTAGAACATCCCGATGTGTCCTTGGCAGATGAATGGTAAGAATTAAACCATCCCTCCTTGACCATGGCATCCTTCATTGCCCTCTTTGATTCCACATGGTTTGTGCTCCCTTGCCCAGTTTTCCTGATTCCAAGGCAAAGGAAGCAGATGCTGTAAATATTGACATGCTCTTGTTTTGGGCCATGTCATGTTCTTAGGTCCTACTGCAACACTGACCTACACCCTGAGCACCGCCATCTGTCTCAGTTAGAAGCGATTAAGCTCTACCTAAAAGGCAAAGAACCTCTGCTCCAGTGTGAGTATGCTTTCAAAAGTGTGCTGTGCCTTCAGGGGTGATGGTGGGGAATGAACTCAAAACATTTTTTGGCCTCACTTGTTAAGGGAAGCTTTGCTTTGGCAGAGATTATCAGTCACATGAAATCTAATCAAATATCTGCTTCCTGTAGGAACAGGAGAAAGAATGTGGATTATGGAAAATTGTACAGAATCCCCAATCCTGGTTTAGCTGTTTGCATTGGGCTTTGTCCCCTTCTGAACCATTTAGTCAAGCAACTGAATAGGATGAAAATGTTACAACTGGGAAGGGACTGTAAATATTTGCATATCTCCCTTATTTTGCAAATGAGAAACCAAGGCTGGAAGTAGGATTGTGCCTCATTCAAGGCTATATCTAGATCTCCTGGTTCTCCCAAGAGTAGGGTCACGACGGGGACACGTAGCCTCTCAGTGTGGTACATGCTGAGTGCCCTGCCTACCAAGCATCCCCTTCTAGGGGAGTTCAGTGAGTAGGAAATCTCTCAGCTGGTGCAAAAGAGGGAAGAGCAGTGGCAGCCCTGGATGTCCCTCAAAAGCAGGAACAGACCCTATACTCTCACAGTTTGGGCAGGGGAGAGCCACTAAAACTGATCATGATATCTGCCCCCACCTCTAACAAGCATCATGTATTCAATGACCTGAAAAGTGTTTTACATATCTAATCCTATGAGAGGTGTAAGGAGATTATCCAGCTACTAAATGACATCTCCATAGAATGGATTTACTTTTTGGGATATGCCCTGGTGGGGAAAGGATCAGATGGACATCCTGTGAGCCCAATGTGTCATTGTCTTTGACTTTTTAAGGACATATTTAAAAAACAAAAGTATAGAGACAATATGAATAATACATTTGTAGTCACCATCCAGCTTTATGCAGTCGTAATATTTTGCCACACTTACTCCAGGTGCTTTTTAAGGAATGAGACATTATAGATAAAGTTGAAGCCCCTGGGTCCCTGCTCAGCCTCGTTTCCCTCCCAAAGAGAATGACCTTCTGTATTTGTTCATTATTCTCAATAATTTAATGCTATTCCTACATATGTAGGTATCTATAAACAATATGTAGCATTAATTTTATTATTTTAAAATATATATTAAACTTTATGGTATATTGTATGAATTACTATATTATAATACATACAATATGTGTATAAAGTATATATGTACTACAACTTGTGTTTTCACCCATTATATTTTTGAAATTTGTGTTGATCATTTAGCTTTAACGCATTTATTTGCATTACTATATAGAATTCCACTACATAACTTAATATATTCATTGTCTTACTGATAAGTTATTTCTAGCTTTCGCTTTTCAGCAAAGCTCTTTTTTTTTTTTTTGCCCCCAGTCAAGGTGAGGACTGTCCTGTCCCATGTGATAATTAGTTATCCTCCTCTGCAGAGTGATTTGAAAACTCTAGGATGCCTCTCCTAGACTTACCATGTCCTCTCATTCCTTGGCCTCTTCCACAGAGCTCTACCAAGAGTCCCTTTGGATGGCAACAGACATTCTCCTTTAAAATGAAACAATTCTTGGCCGAGCGTGGTGGCTCATGCCTGTAATCCCAGCACTTTGGGAGGCTGATTCAGGCAGATCATTTGAGGTCAGGAGTTTGAGACTAACCTGGCCAACATGGTAAAACCCCATCTCTACTAAAAATACAAAAATTAGCCAGGTGGTAGTGGCCTGTGCCTGTAATCCCAGCTACTTGGGAGGCTGAGGTAGGAGACTGGCTTGAGCCTGAGAGGCAGAGGTTGTTGTGAGCTGAGATTGTACTACTGCACTCCAGTCTGGGTGACAGAGTGAGACCGTGTCTCAAAAAAATAAACAAATAAATAAAAATAAATAAAATGAAACAATTCTTAAAAAGAAGGAATCACAAAATAAGAATCCCAGGGGTTATTAAGTTATGGTATCTCTTTCCCATGTGACAACAGGCTGAGAATTTCAGGGTGCTAAAGAATTTCAGTTTTAGGAGAGGACAGAGATGGGGATGATGACAGCCAAGTGTTCAAGGAGTACTGGCTTCTGGTCTCCAAATCTGGGACTCAGCCTGCTGGTCCATGGCAGGAACCACGAGATGGGGTGAGAAAGCAAGAAACTGAAGTGTGAGACACCCAAGGCTCTCAGTTGACTACCTTCTTGCCCAAATGCTTTGGAGGCTCCTGTGTTGCAGGCATACCAGGTGTCAGAACTGTTTCATATTTTCAACTAGTGGGAACTTAACTCATAAAGCAACATGCCGCATGAGAAAGTAGCCTGCAGATGCTGCACAATGAGCCCATGAGTGCCTCTCATGCCCCTCTTCCAGCCCTGCTGAAGCATCCTCTTGTCTGTCCCTCCCAACAGGTGATAAAGAATTGATCCAAGAAGTCCTTTTTGACGCGGTGGTGAGTGCCCCCATTGAAGCGTATTGGACCAGCCTGGCCCTCAACAAATCTGAGTAAGTGGTTGCACGTGTCCTCGTTTCATGGCCATTTCCTCACCAACACTCCGAAATATGGTTATGGTTTAAAGAACTAAACTGTTTTAGGAACCTGGTGTTAAAGTTCTTTAATTTTCCCCCAAGCTCCAAACCACAAGAGCTAGAGCAGATTAGCGGCTCGGGCTTGGATGGCAAGCTCCTGGCTTTGACATATAATTTGTTTGAGTTTTAACGTTACATGAAATTTGGTACGCTGAGGTAGGGTGACACTTCCGAGAGAGAGGGAGGCGGAAGGGAACTTCGTTGCCTGCCTCGCCACAGCTCTCTCTACTTTGCAGTCTTGGGGGAGCTTGGGATCTGGGCCAGGTTAGGTTGTGAGTAGGATGGAGAAGTGAGAGCTCAGTTTCATAGGGTGTTAGATATAACCCTGTGGTTTTATTTCTGAAGTGGAGGGTGGAGGGCTGTGGGGAAGGCCGTGGTAGTTGATATCAAAGACTAGGATGAGAACTGCTTTAGCAGCTTATTATTATTTCTTTACCATTATTACTTTAAGTAGACTATTAAAGATTAAAAAGAAAAGGAAGAACCATTCCTTTTCCCTTATATTTTCATGTGTTACATGATTCATTTCTCTCCACTTTTCTGTTCTTCCTTAGTTCATTCCCTCATTGTATCTTCCCTTCTATCCTGTTTCTCTCCATTTTTCTATTCAATAGTTCATTCCCTCATTGTATCTTCCCTTCCATCCTGACATTCATTCTGTTCTCATTTTCATTCATTCACTCATCAAGTCTTGACTGTGTGTCTGTTATGTGCCAGACTCTGAGCGAGGTGTTGGGGAAATGGAGAGAAACCACACAGATAGAGCCCTTAACATCATGGCACCTGTGGTATATAGTGTGCTGTATTATTAAGAATCATAACTGCTTTGAAGGAAAAGTAAAGACACATAAAGTGTAACAGATCTAAAGTGGAGGAGGAAGATGGGAACTAGTTCAAGGTTTGGGCAGCATTCCAGGAACAGCATGTACAAAGGCCTTGAGATGAGAAAGCATTTGACACATTGGAGGAATTTAAAGAAGGTGGACACAGCTGACATATAGAGGATAGCCTGGAAGATGTCAGAGGATGAGGCTGCAGAGGGGCCGCATGGCTCAGGACCTTGGGAGTCAGGTTAAGGATTTTGGATTTTATACTCAGAGCAGTGGAAGATCACTGAAGGATTTTAAGAAGGGGAAGAAAATGATCAGATTTTCATTTTACAAAAAGATCTCTCTATTGCTGTGTGGAGAACAGAGGGTGATGGGGTAAGAACAATAGTAAAGGTTCGTACAGTTTTCCCAGGGATTCATGACTTGGACCCGGGCAGTGGGCACAGAGAGAAGAGGTCCACTTGTGGCTTGCTTCAGAGGCAAGGTCTCCAGGACTTGATGATGGGTTTGTTGTGGAGGGTAGGGAGGTTGAGCCATCAAGGATCATTCCCAGGTTTATATCATGAGCTATTGGGCAGACGGTGCTATTTGCTAACACGAGAGACACTGGGGGAGGATCAGGTTTAGGGCTGGGCATGGCCAGTCTCTCTTCTAGACATCGTGAGCTGAAAATGACTGAAAGTCTCCCAAATGGAGATGTCAGGTAGGCTGTTTAGTATGCAAATCTGGAGCCCCAGAGAGACTGCCATTTTCATTATTAGGGGTGTCTTTGAACTGCTTGCCTTCATGGCATGGATCTTATTTCCTGGGAAGCTGGCAACGAATTGAGCCTTTCCTGGGGTTTCTTTCTCTAGTAAACCTTGTAGTGTTTCTTTTCGGCTCTCATGAAACTCAAAATCTTGAGCAAAGGTTGCTGATTCATTCCTAACACATACTAAAGATTTCCAAAATGGTAACTTGCTTTGTAGTCCACCATCTGTAACTGATTGGACAGCCTGGCTTTCCAATTTGGTGTAGGCTACAAGCAGAAATGCATTGTTTTGGTTTTTATTCAGCCCTTAAATACTTAAAGGTAGCATCCACCATTTTGACTTTCATCAAAGATCAAGTAACCAAATGACCTTACTTTGAAGATAACGTGGAGAATACTTTGGATCAAATTACTAGTAGCATTTAGGACAGAGAAACAAGCTCAAGAATTGGTGTTCTCTTCATACATTTATTGTAGGATAAAATTATGTGTTTGTGGACCAGGCATGGTGGCTCACACCTGTAATCCCAGCACTTTGGGAGGCCGAGGTGGGCAGATCACAATGGCAGGAGATCGAGACCATCCTGGCTAACACAGTGAAACGCTGTCTCTACTAAAAATACAAAAAATAAGCCAGGCGTGGTGGTAGGCGCCTGTAGTCCCAGCTACTCGGGGGGCTGAGGCAGGAGAACGGCATGAACCCGGGAGGCGGAGCTTGCAGTGAGCCGAGATAGCGCCATTGCACTCCAGCCTGGGTGACAGAGCCAGACTCCGTCTCAAAAAAAAAAAAAAAAAAAGAAAAAGAAAGAAAAAAAATATTATGTGTTTGTGAAGAAAGGCCATTTGCTTTTTGCATAGGAGAAATATACCTTGCAAATCTCCTAAAGAACACGCTCAAGCATATAGAATTTGCCTTGGAAGTTGAAACAAAATGATATTTAGTGAATTTTTACATTAGTTTTCCTTGCCAAGGCCGTTCTTAGAGTTCCTATGTGTAGCCTCCTACAGAGCTATTGGAAGAAGCCATTTCTTTACACATCTCTTTGGGGTTGGTGGTGAGAATAAGGCCTGTGGTCTGGTAGAAGTGATAAGCTGGGGCCCCCACAACTGTGTGGATGTCAAAACCAATTCCAACTACGTGGAATTCCAGGCTGTGGGATGCTGCAAACTTGGTTCCATGGCTCAGCTGCTTTAATGGCAGATTCCACAAATGATCTCAAGACCAAGAATAAACTTGGTAGCTTTAATGCAAAAAGCGAGTCCTAAGCCCTAACTGGCTAGTCCTTCCCATTCTTAGCCTGATCTCTTTGAACTTGCACCCAGAACCTTGAAATAAAGATGTGTGTATGGTTGGAAGTAGATTTTTTTCACATGCTGCTTTTGTTGGCAGGAAGTTCTTCATTTTTCCTGCAAGTATTACTTTGAAAACTTTTGTAAGGGATACAAGTTGGCAATCTGTGCTCGTGTGTGTGTGTGTGTGTGTGTGTGTGTGTGTGTGTGTGTGTTTCTGTATCTTCTTTTAAAGTTTAAGTTTCAAAACTGCTATTTGGTAAAAACATTCTGTGAGTCTTAAAATGCAATGTATTATCTGCTTACTGTCTAGAGGCCTCCCCCTGACGTCTGTTGTTCTGTTTCAGAAATTCTGACAAGGGCGTGGAGGTTGCCTTCCTCGGCACTCGCACGGGCCTCTCCAGAATCAACCTGTTTGTCGGGGCT
Organism: Homo sapiens; assembly: GCF_000001405.40. Taxonomy (NCBI): domain Eukaryota; kingdom Metazoa; phylum Chordata; class Mammalia; order Primates; family Hominidae; genus Homo; species Homo sapiens. Next base: position 54,891,434 of record NC_000003.12, read on the forward strand.
GAGCAGCTCACCAATCAGTAAGTAGGAGGGATCCTCTACAGGGGCCCAGGGAGCTTCTGAAATGGAACATTCAAAGGGAAGCTTATTTCATTTCTTGATTCCACTACTGGTAGAAACATAATTTAGGCCACCCCAGGCCTATTGAGATTTTTCCTCTCTGTTCTACCATGCGGGCCCCAGCATGTGCTTTCACCTGCCTGTTAGCCCTTCCACCACCCTTTGTTCCTCAGGCTTGTTGGCTTCTGTCCACTGTCCTGGAGTCCTCTCCCGCCCTGATGAGTCATTTCAGAACTCTGGGAGGTGGTGCGGCTGCTGGGGGAGCCGCCAGAGGGAGGAAACACTCATCTCGTAACAAATGGCTTCAGGGTGTTCAGCTGTTCTGCAGCTATGCTGAGGAATTCCTGCCTGTACAAAAGTCACTGTTCCAAGTCCTGTTTGTTTACATTTTACTAATAAACCTCTGCCTCTGTGCTTAGCCTGAGGGGCTGCAGAGCTCCACACCCAGGAGTGGGCCCTCTGGGGATGCTGGGGTTTGACAGTGTCTCCTTGGACTTCCAAAGAGACGTGGATAGATGGTGGGCAGAGAGTTTCCAGGTCTAGTACCCAGATGCTAAGCCCCTGCATCTTCAGAGAACCACGGGCCCTTAACTCATCAAACTGGTGTTTCACCAGGGCTAGTAGGTAGACTGTGAAGTCTTTTCTGAGTCTGTTAATAAGTTTTTTCTATTTCTTTTCTCTGAAGCAAGAGCGATTGTTAAGACATGGACAAATGGGTCCCAAGATTCAGAAAGTTAGAGAGTGGTTTGCAAGTGTGTGTGTGTGAGTTCAGAGGTTACCACAGAACATTATACCCCCAACCTTCAGGGTACCTGGAGGTGAATAACCAAGCCACAGAGTAGCTGCCAATTTGAGAGGGATTGGCTCATCAGGGGTCCAAGGAGGCGGTGCTTCCTTGGAGCTTGACAGTGCTGTTTGCCTCTGCTAGGTGAGGCCCTGACACCCACCATATAACCTTACAAAACCAAGTCTGGTAAATGACAGATCAATCAATGTTTAGGTATTTTAAGAGATTGGCTTTGAATTCTGTTCCAGGACTTTGACCTTCTTGATACTCACATTTATCATCTATGAAGTTTGATTATAGTTGCAACTTGATTTTTAACGACTTTTTTAAGCGTTTTTCCCCCAGACAATTGTTTTTCCAGAGGGCGAGTTCCTGGGAAGGACTAGAGGTGCTGAGATACACATTGCCTTCTCCTGTTAGGATCCAGATAGGCAAGGGGAGACAAGGGAATTCATTTTCTAATACTCATTGAGAAAGTCTGCTGCTGGCATTGAGACTGAAACAAGCAAAGCTGCAAAACAGTAACAATAAAACATGACACCTTGCTGGTCTGATAACTGTGTTATTGTGATGGATTTAAAAGACAAAGGACCACAGTAAGGATGCTGGGAGGTGTACCTGGCTTATCTCACTTGGGTATCTTCATTCTGTCCTCCTGAAAAGTGAGAGCGATGATCTCTTTTGGTTACTGTGAAGATCAAAAAAAATTATGGATGAGCTGGGCACAGTGACTCATGCCTGTAATCCCAGAACTTTGGGAGGCCAAGGCAGGCAGATCACTTGAGGTCAGGAGTTTGAGACCAGCCTGGTCAACATGGTGAAACCCTGTCTTTACTAAAAATACAAAAATTAGCCGGGCATGGTGGCACACACCTGTAATCCCAGCTACTCAGGAGGCTGAGGTAGGAGAATCACTTGAACCCGGGAGGTGAAGGCTGTAGTGAGCTGAGATTGTGTCACTGCACTCCAGCCTGGGCAACAGAGTGAGACTCTGTCTCAAAAAAACTCTTTTTTTTTTTATGGATGGAAAATTTCTTTGGGAAGCTAAAAATTCCTACAACTGTGTGTTCTATTCTTTGTGGCATTACGTGACCCACAGAGTGGGTACTCATTGACAATTTGAATGGATGAAATCTGTCTTCAAGAAACTCCTGTCATTGCTTCATATAGAGGCACCTTGACATCTATTGTCTTAGGGTCTTACCTGCCTATCCCCTCCCATCAAATGGTATTTGTCAAGATCCAGCTATTTGGATACACTCTCTAAGCCAGGCTTAGAAAGTTTTTAGCATTTCTGACTTTTGGTTTAGTTTTTGCTTTTGACTAGGGCATGAAAGGCAGAGCTTTAAGTATTGGGCAGAGAACTTGATAATATAAAGTTGCTACCCTGCAATTATCTCATACTATCATCAGTCTCCTACACTGAGATTTCATCCCATACCCCCGCCACCTGCATTTGGAAGTAGGTCGATTATACTGAAACTTGGCCGTCACCCCCAATAGTTATAATACATTCTGTGCCTTCAGTACGACTTCTCACATCACATGCATATAGCATCCAGTGATGTTAGCCTTCACAGCGTACAGCCTTAAGTTAAGAAGATGACCACTTTACCCCTGCCCTTTCAACCACCAAGAACAAAAGAGCTCTTGGGCTTTAAGAATCCCATATATTTGTTAGAGCCTGTTTTCAGTGTCCATAACACTCTTTCACATATGGTGTTATGTAATTCTGATACAACCCTGGTAAAGTGCAGCGTTTTTATTGTTCCCATTTTGTAGATGAGTAAATGGGGGTCGGAGACTCAATTACTCACTCAGAGTCACCCAGTTCTTCCCAGAATCTAGACCAGCCTGACACACCACTGCAATAGCTCCTAGTATCCAGGAGGAGACTTTCACCTTACCCAGAAGGATCTTTCTTCCTGAAGAACATTTTTGGGATTCTGTAAAATCAGGTTGCTCCTTCCTGTTTCCTCCAGAATTGCTGCCTAGTAGTTGGCAGAGGCCTCCAGGGTTTCCCGGCAACTCAGTCCTTTCGCAGTGACACCAGGGCTAATGGGGATCAAGTGCTGCAGGCTCCTGCTGGCTGCCCTAGGTGCCAGCACTGTCCCGGGCAGCAGGGCACTGGACACCCAGATGTGCAGCATTCCAGATCTATTGCCAGCCACCCCCAAAGCCTGAATGTCACTGCCTTAAGTGAGGACCACTTCATACCTTCTAACCAAGCCACCATCTCATCTACCATGACTCTGGAAAAAGGTCCCCTGTGGGCATCATTAACCTGTGCTGCATAGACAGGGCACCTCTTAGCTGTAATGACCACTGAACAGACCTGCTGGGAGTGCGAACACCTTCTGCTCAGTCGTGGCTGCACCTGTGACCCAGGGTAGAGAGTAGCAATGCATCCTGCCATGGGCCAGGCAACAGAGGCTCCTCCTCACACCGTCCAGGTCAGGTTTATGAAGAATTTCATGTCTAGCGAAAGAAATGAAAAGGCTAAAATTTCAGTATTCCTGAAGCCTGATGACTTTTAGATTAGGAAACATTACCACTGAATACAAGCAGCACAAAGAAGAGCTTGTCTACCAAGATGAGCCTGGAAGTCCTGATCTCCAGCATTCTAGATAGCACAGGGGATCTCTGCACTTTCTCAGTCTTGCACATGACTCCAAAGTTGGCCTTAGCCTTCTGAATGAGAGAAGAGTGCTTTGTAAAAATTTTTCTTTTAAACACTTTTAATTTCTGGAGAGTCATTTTGTCAGTAAGAGTCAAGATCAAATGCAAGCAGCTATGCTATGTCAGACCGTTTTTGACCTACAATTACCTAGTTCTAGTAGCACAAAATTTTATAGCAGTATTAACAAAGTAGAGCACTTATGAAGACGGCCATAGAAAGGAATTTAAACAAATTGAGAAATTTTATTTTTGAAGATATAGGAAATTGTGTTTAATACTGGAAGAGCTCTTATCTGGATATGAGATTAGATTTTTCTTGTGATCATTAAGCATACACCAAGCGCCTGCTGAGAGCCAGGCCCTGGAAATATTGGGAGGAGGAAGGTCCCAGACCTTAGAAAGGAGTTAGGACATGCTAGTACAAGTTACAGGGAGGTAGATTCCAGAGCTATCTAAGAACCTGGAGGGTGTCCTCGAAGGGCATGGGCCTCCTCTCCAAAAGTGGGCACTCCATCTTTGGTAGAGGTGAAGGGAACCCTGGTTAGACACACCCTGCAACTACTGAATGCTTTCCTGAACTGGGTGCCAAGTTCAGGAAACCAACCAGTTACAACTTAGCATGAAAATTTCTCTCCATGGTCCTTGTGATCCAACTCTCTGCTGCAAACTGCTGGGTTGAAAGTGGTGCCATTTCTGCTTCAACTCATGGCCTTTTCCCTACCTATATGTTGTCCCTTGATTGGTCTCCCTTCCAGAAAAATGTCTGCAGCAGACTGTGGCCTAACCAGGCGGTCATCCCCCCACCGCCTGAGTTGCACCGTATCAGCCAAGATGAGGCGCTTCAGGTGCTGGACAGCACATGTGACTCTCCAGAGGGAATGTCAGGTCAATAATCATGCACTGGGACTTGAATATGCTTAAGGCTCTGTGAAGAGTGCACAAATGTGAACAAATCTCCTGTCCTCAGAGATCTTGGGAGGTCTGGGGAGGGGATATGATGATTGTGCAGGCCAAAAAATAAATAAAAGGCTATATGAAAGTTACCAAGATTGTGGGGGCCCAGGGTGTGGCAAAAGCTTGCATGTGTTTCTGTGGATTCATGGGGTAGATGGTAGATGAGGCGCACTTTGAAAATGAGTGTGATTTTGAAAGGAAGAGATAGAAAGAAGACTGCACCTAGCCTTCCCGATAGACAAGCTCTCTGCGCAGAAGGCAGGGAGTCAGTGGAGGGCGGGGATGCACACAGGGGGCATGAGCAGGCCTGTTTGTCCAGCGAGGAGGCAGGTGAGGGAAGAAGGTACAAAGATCTCAGTGTGGGCTCACATTTACTTCCTTTGCACTTCTTCTGAGAAGCGTGTTTACCTTCTTTACACTTGCTCTAAGAAGAATGAGATCTACTTAAGGAGTTGATTCTCCCAAGGGTATGAGTATATGTGTGTGAGTATTAAAGCCAGACAAAGCTTTCTTGTTTAGAGGGGACATCCTTGGGTTTTCTGATAGGATTTCTGTAGGCTTTGTTTGCTTGGCTTCAGACTTTAAGACAATTAGTTCACTAGATATACAAGGAAAAATCATTTTACCCACTCAGAATTTGACTCCCAGAGCTCTGCAAGATGTTTTTGAGTAATCTGGGGTGCACAGTGTTAAGTGAGGCCCCCTCTATACTGAGAAAGGCAAGTTGGGGTTCTAAAAGTGAACACTGGTTTTACCTGATGAAGGCTGTCGGGGTGCTCCAGGCCCACCTTTACTCTGCTGAGTGATGCATGTTCTTCTGATTCTTTTCCACTTCAAGGGACTTCCTGAAAGCTGGCGACAAGGAGAACATTTTTAACGCAGACCATTTCCCTCTCTGGTACCGAAGAGCCGCTGAGCAGATTCCAGGGAGCTTCGTCTACTCGATCCCATTCAGCACTGGTGGGTGCCCTTGTTGGAGGCGGGCTCTGTCTGTCTGGTCCAGTGGGTCTGGGCATTGTGTGCAGGGTGTTGGGGAGCTGCCTGAATGCTGAAAGGAACCAAGTTCAACCCTCAGAGCCAGTGCTGAATATTGGGTCAGCCCTGAACCAGTGACCAGTTCCATAAGAGTAATAGCCTCAAAGAAAAGGAAGGTTTTTCCTTTACCAAATTATGTAAATGTATTTCAGGAAGCAGGGCTGATGTTTTGCATCCTATGGGATTTTAATAGAAACTTGTCAGTCAGTTTTTTTAAATGTAGTCATGGCCCCACTTAGAGAAAATTCAAGCATCCCTTGCCAGAACCTTCAGTGAGTCACATCCCTGCAGAGGTCCACTGTTCCCCATTTGAACTGAATTGATTTAAACTGATATGCCGGACTAAGGACTGACTTTGTATAACCATGTGCTCTCTTGACAGGAGCCTGCAGTTACCAATGACAGGCATGTAGCCGATTAGTTTTTCAGTCCTAAGAGTTTATGATATGATAGTATAAAAAATTAAAGTCACCTGCCTCCAAAAAGAACTGAATGATGTCTTATTTCCACCAGTTTTGGAAGCAAAACATACTGGAAATGCTTCAGTTTTCCTCGTATTTTTTTTTTCTCTTGCCTCATGCATCTGGTATTTTGGGTGCTCACTCTATACTGCTTATTGCAGAAACTTGAGAGATGAAGGAAACCTAGTTCTGTAAACTTGGGTTGCTCTGGAAAGTTCAATCTGTAGTTATATTTTACATATATCAGTTCCTTTCATATTAATCTTCTACAAATATTCCTAACTCAATCCTAAGGGAAGTTCTCCAGGGTTTGTGCCCAATCCCCCTCCCTAAGGCTTGGTGCTTTGTCATTTCCATGACTGAAAATATTTTCAGAAAGGGTGCTTTTGAAATTTGTAGAAAGCAAAGAGTGCTCTTACAATTGGTTGAATGGGCTCATTAGGAAGACAGTCCCTCATCAATGGACATATTTAAGGAGAGGCTGAATGTTATTGATGAGATTCTTTGCTGCTTGGGATTTCAGACTAGATTATCTGTTAGATTCTTTTCAGGTCTAAGGTTCTTTGGGTCTGTGCTCCTTTGCTGATAGACCTGTGTGTATGCCTGCCTGTAGTTGTGTGTGCTTTCTCAAATGTAAATTTCCAGGTGTCCGAAGCTCGCTTGCTTGCTTGCTTGCTTGCTTTCTTCCTTCCTTCCTTTCTTTCTTTTTTCTTTCTTTCTTTTTCTTTTTCTTTTTTCTTTCTTTCTTTCTTTATCTTTCTTTTCTTTTCTTTTCTTTTCTTTTCTTTTCCTCTCTCTCTCTCTTCTCCGCCCCACCCCGTCTTTTTTTTTTTTGAGACAGAGTCTTGCTCCGTCACCCAGGTTGGAGTGCAGTGGCATGATCTTGGCTCATTGCAACCTCTGCCTTCTGGGTTCAAGCGATTCTCCTGCCTCAGCCTCCTCAGTAGCTGGGATTACAGGCACCCGCCACCATACCCAGCTAATTTTTGTATTTTTAGTAGAGTTGGGGTTTCACCATGTTGGCCAGGCTGGTCTCTAACTGCTGACCTAAAGTGATCCACCCTCCTTGGCTTCCCAAAGTGCTGGGACCATGCCTGGCCTGAAGCTCTTTCTTTGTGCTTGTCTGCACCACACTTTGTTGCTGAAAATATCAAGAGACAGTGAACTTTTTCATTCTGCTGCAGACCTATGAATAATAACATTGTCTTCTGTCAAGCAATCTCTTAAGACTTCCTTGTCACAATCCTCTAAAGAAAAATAATAGAACTTAGCTTGCTGTTCTTCTGATTCTGGAATCATCGAGTTAACTAAAGCTGTTGTTGGATTGGTTTTTGGTAACTGGGATTTTCACCAAACTTTCAATGTAATGGTATAATGAAGTGAGTTTACCTTGTTCATGACAAAGTTACAGATGACGTAACATCTTAGGACATTTCATAACCCCCTTAGAGTCCGGGAAAATCTTAAAAATCACCAACTGCAAGTCTCTGTGGTGGAGCTCTCTCTGATTTTCTCTGCTATGTGTTGAATACCTGTACAAACTAGAAAAGAAACTGGTTTTTATTGCTGCTTAAACTTGGGCCAGGAGAAAATTTCTCATTACTTTGGTCCTAAGTGTATTCATATTCAGGTTTGACTTTTCCCTGCTTCTCAATTCAATTGGATTTCATCCAACTCACTTTCATTGAGCACCTTTTAGCAGGTGGGCATTGGACTAAATTATTAACTCCAGGCATTCAGAATTTGTGCTCAGTATCTTTTAATTCGTGGATATTGGAACCATTGCTGGTAATTGAAAATCTCTTAATACTAATGCCATATTGTTACCAGAATAATAATAGTTTGGAGTGAAGATTATGCTCTAGCTCTATCCCTGTTTAGAATAATTTTGCCCAGAAAAACTGGGCTCGAAATTACAATTTTATAGATCAGTAAAGATTTAACCAATGAATCAGAGCTAAAGTTGCCAACTTGTAAAATAATTTCAAAGCCCTCATACAGCTCTTCATGGTTATATTTAGACAGGCAGTGTAAATATGACCACTGACACAAGTAAACACTGCAATTTGAAACCACAGATTACCAAAAAATGTGGTCCCTCGATGGTGGTCAATGGTTTCGATGTGAAGAGGCTGGATGTTCCCCAGTGCACTGGTGGTCATAACTCAACTCGCCAATTCCTTCAGCTGGGAGGACTCGCAGCACTGCACTCATGGCCTGGCAGCGTAGGCAGAGCATCCACACCTCAGAGGACTCTGGGGCCTGGGACCAAGCCCCAGAACAATTTGCAGAATTGGTGACTGTAGACCGATATGATTACTCTCTTAACGTGTACACTGTAATTATCTTCATTTTTGTTGTGGTGTTTTTTCTTTTCACAGGACCAGTCAATAAAAGCAATGTGGTGACAGCAAGTACATCCATCCAGCTCCTGGATGAACGGAAATCTCCTGTGGTGGCAGGTAAATAATTGATTGAATCCATGAAGACAAAGTAAGCATGGCGCCCATTCATCCGGCCAGTGGGCTACTTCTGTGAGGCACGCTTATCCTCCAAAAAGGTTTTCAAAGGAGAAAACAATTTTAAATTACTTCCTTCTCAGCTTGGTGTCATCTCCTTCAAACCAAGACTCTGACAGCTGGTGGTGGTTGATGTGAAAACAGAAAACTTTCCCAGCGTTTCTATCCTTAAACTCTGAGCCAGTAAGAAATTGTCAGTACTTGCCGAGGAGAATTTCTTGATGGTAGGTAGCATGTTCATTCAAAGTAAACTCCAGATCTCCAGCTTCTGTGTCATTAGGATGACAGTGGGCATACAAGGAAATTGCAGGTTTGTTTTAGGCAAACACAAACTGAAATGTGCCCTTCTCCAGAGAGACTGAGATTTTCATCCCCCTAATCCCCCTGGGGAATTAGAGTTAGCTGTATCTGCAGGTGCTGTGTTTGGGACCAGGGGAAAGCCAAAATATTATATGACTGAGAGTCTTGAATTGTCAAAGAAGTCCCGTTTCTGGCTTTTTCCATTTCTCTCACTTTTTAGGAGTGTCAGCAGCTGTCTGTGGATGGCTAGGGGCTTTCATTGGTGGCATTTGGCCTAAAGGGCTGGCAACTACCAAAAAGCCCTCTTTGAAGACAGATGCTGACATAAAAACAAGGCCCGAGGGTGTGTCTGGCACATGGTTTATTCTGATCACTTTGGAGCCATTGGTTGATGGGTGGGTGATATGCTCCAAGCACCATCCTGGTATTGGCTGGGTTTACTAAAGAGAGCGATTTTTGTTTTCCAGCAGTCTCCCTCAATAAGTTGTACTTTAGGGTGACTTAACATCCACTTCTGTGTCTTCACACACTGAATATTTGTGGGAAGGAGTATAAATGGAGCAGATGGAGGAGACCTGTTTGAAGTGGTTGTTCTTTGGCGAGGAAATACTGCTTTTTTCCCCCCACTTTATTTCTTACTTGGCCTGTGTATAATTGTATTAGTAGGGTTGAAAGATCTGGGGGTAGTTGCCCTGGTTATTCCTGAGTTACTGGGTGTGACAAGGATGACAGCCTTATGTATCTGACCTGTGGCTCATCTTGAACTAAGCAGACCTATTCTTAATCAGCCAGGAGATATGGGCTCTGAGGATTCACAGTTGCTGTCTTCAAATTTTGTCACTTAATGTCTCATGTTCCTTGAGGAAAGTGGGAGACGGGATCATTTAACTCAACAAGATTTACTTATGCTTAAAGGAGGTCAGGCTTGCTTACCTCCAGGCTGGTCCAGCGAGCTAATTCTGAAGGCATGTTGTCTCCCGGGAGCTGAGGCCACATGCAGCAGCTGTCAGTGACATGGTCTGGCCAGAATATCTGGTTGTCTGTTTGAAATTTCTTTTTAAAACCCTTTCTTTGGGTTTCTAGTTTAGTCATCATGAAGGATGAGCCCTAAGGTCACTGTGCCTGTCCCAGCCACCTCTGTCCAAGTTTACAAACTATGCTCACATGTTTCCAAATGCCTTACATTTCATAAATGCCTGTTTGGCTGAGTATAGGTGAAACGTGGTCTGAGCCTGAACACTGTGTATCCAGTCTAGAGAAGAACGTGCACTTTCCAAATGCTATGCCAGTCTATTGTCGAGTTGCATCGCTGGCCATAGACCACAGGCAGGTCACGAGACACAGTTTGGTCCACCCTGAGTGGGTGGAGAAGGCACCCTCCTATTTACTGCTTCTCTGTGTATGCCAAATGGCCCCCATTTTCAGAAGATAATTACAGAGCAAGGCCAAGAAGCAAGGTCATTTAAAGAACCGTATTTAGTCCTTACCTTTTAGAATTGGTGACTGTTACCCTTTTTCAAACTTTGGTAGACGTAAGATAAAACAGAATTGCTTGGTTTTGATGTTGAAGACTGCTGTGGATGCAGCCCCACGAAGGCAGTGACCTCAAGAAGACCTCTCTGTCTCCAAAAATAGAGCGGCCTCTTCAGCACCCCCTCCCCAAGTTTTCCTGACTCTGACTCAACCATCATATCACTGTGTGATTAGGTTTGGTAACTTTCCTCTGTGTATTTTCCTCAAATTAAGTAGACACTGTTTACCACTCTAAAATTAAAAAGGCCATTTTAATTGGGGAAGAAGCCTTGTTTTGGCAGATGAAGATGAATATGTGAGCAGGCTTTTCTCCCATCAGTGTGCCCCAACAGCAGATGGGAGACAGCCGACTGGCAGGAATGTTAGGTCTCAATGAAATCCTTGTGTTAAAGTGGAACTCTTCTGAAAGAAGAGGTGTACAACTATGCAAATAATTATCAAGGACTCCTTGGAAAGGCCAGCTTCGCTCCCAGGCCTGACCTGGTCATCTCATGTTCATTGGCTATATATGTCTGGGGTAGAAAGAGGTTTTTTTGTTTCATTTTCTTGTTTTTTGTTTTATTCTCTTCTTTCTCTTTTGTGTGTTTTCTTTTTTAAACAAAAACATTTAGATACTCATCTGTCAATGACACCTTTGAAGAAAGGCCAGTCAGACTGGGCAAGATTCCATTTGTACGCCAGCCTTGGTGCATAAATGGGCCCCATCCATCTTCCCGGCCTATGACATTGCTTACAGTCCTTCTCTTGAGAAGCCTGCCAACTCTCCAGCTGCCACCAGTGTGCTGCATTTTCTTAATTGCTTTCCCACTGCACAGGAAGAAGTGGTGGGACTCTCCCTTTGGCCTACCAAGTCTCATCCTAGCCCTGGAACCTTCTGTTGTGTCAGGTCCCTCATCCATTGCATTGTTGTCACTGGAAATGCAGATCTTGGACTGTAAGGTCCACGCAGTTTGTCATTCACTCTATAACTTGCTAAATGTGTGGTCTTGGGTCTCTAAAGTTCTATCTAAAATAGGCTTGGGATTATTACCTCCCTTGCCTTCCTGTGTGTCAATTCAGGGATAAAATGAGAAAACAAACAAGAAAATTCTTGGATAAGAGAGAAGAATAAAAATGCTAGAGTTTAGCATAACCCGTTTTTATCTAAAAGTTGGTGGCATATTCATTCATTCAATAAATAAATATTTCCTGAGCCTCTGCTTTTGCCAGGCACTCTAGCTATAAATAAATAATAACCAGTGTCTTAATCCATTTTGTTTTGTTATAACAGAATACCACAGAATGAGTAATTTTTTTTTATTTAACTTTATTTTAAGTTCAGGGGTACACGTGCACGTTTGTTACATAGGTAAACTGTGTTATGGGGGCTTGTTGTACAGATTATTTTATTGCACAGGTATTAAGCCTGGTACCCATTAGTTATTTTTCCTGATCCTCTCCCTCCTCCCACCCTCCACCCTCCATTAGGTCCTAGTGTGTGTTGTTCCCCTCTCTGTGTCCATGTGTTCTCATCATTTAGCTCCCACGTATAAGTGAGAACATGCGGTATTTGGTTTTCTGTTCCTGCATTAGTTTGCTAAGGATAATGGCCTGCAATTCCATCTGTGTTCCTGCAAAGGACCTGATCTCATTCTTTTTTTATGGCTGCATAGTATTCCATGGTGTATATGTACCACATTTTCTTTATCCAGTCTATCATTGATGGGCATTTAGGTTGATTCCATGTCTTTGCTATTGTGAATAGTGCTGCAGAAAACATACACTTGGATGTGTCTTTATGATAGAATGATTTATATTCCTTCGGGTATATACCCAGAAATGGGATTGCTGAGTAGGATGGTAGTTCTGTTTCCAGCTCTTTAAGGAATCGCAACACTGTTTTCTACAATGGCTGAACTAATTTACACTCCCACCAACAGTGTATAAGCACTCCTTTTTCTCTCCAACTTCACCAGCATCTGTTATTTTTTGACTTTTTAATAATAGCCATTCTGACTGGTGTGAGATGATATCTCATTGTGGTTTTGATTTGCATTTATCTAATGATCAGTGATGTTGAGCTTTTTTTCATATGCTTGTGAGCTGCATGTATGTCTTCTTCTGAGAAGTGTCTATTCATGTCCTTTGCCCACTTTTTAATGGGGCTATTTGTTTTCTCTTGTAAATTTGTTTAAGTTCCTTATAGATACTGGACATTAGACTTTTATCAGATGCTTAGTTTGCAAAAATTTTCTCCCACAGAATGGGTAATTTATACAGAAAATAAATTTATTTCTTACAGTTCTGCAGGCTGCAAACCCCAAGATCCAGGTGCCCACATCTGGCAAGAGCCTTCGTGCTGTGTCATGTTATGACAGAGGGCAGAAGGTAGAAGGGCAAGAGAGCACACACAAGAGAAGAGAAAGGGCAAAACCTATTTTGCCTTAACTTACTTATTGTTGACTTGAGTTTTATAAATTACGCTGATCGTGGTGGTGATTCTTTACTTTGTTCTCCCTGGAGAGACCTGGCCCACTAGTCCAGCAGTCATAGGCACCGCATCTACCATATCAGGGTAGAAATGACCTGGTACAAAGAAATACAGGGAGGCAGAATTGAAGCAAGATGGAAGGTGTGGCCCTGCAGGAGACTTCTTCCCCTCCTCAAATCGTCTGTCTGACTTCCCTGTTTATCTTCTAGACCCTCCCTCTGACAAATACAAGATACTCAATCCCAATATTTGTTAACAATTTCAGACTTCTAGAGATGTGTAAAATATTAAATAATGAAATCTGAATTATGTGCACTTGCTTTAAAGTGTACCTTTTAACATACCAAAATCTAAAATTGCTCCTAAAAATGTTTCATTTTGATTTCTTAGATAGTTTTGAACTCTTTAAGGGCAAAGACCCAATTATCTTTTTATTCCCAGTGCCAAGTACAAGGGCTAACATACGGTCCATATGGGAGCGATACTGGATAAATACATGATTCAAGGAAGACGGGCTTCATTTTCACCTTCTTTATGTAGGTACATATTTATTGACCAGATAGTGGAAACATAGTACTTGACTAAAACTCTAAGACAGATAATCACTCAGTAGCTAAAACTCCAGTCCATACTATAGTAATATGATATTGATCAATATGAATATTTTAAGGAATAGAAAATTGTTTTGTGTCCCATCCCAAAAGCAACCTTGTTGGACCAGTAGTTATCTCTGCATCAGTAGATGTCTTTTCTGAGGTCCGGGCATCTAAGGTGATGCTTAGAATAGCTAATCTGATCACATCAGCAGATAAAAAGGAGTATAGACACCAGAGACATTGGTTTCTTATAGAAACTGCTCTTTTTAAACAGCTTTATTGAGGTAGGATTTATATATCTTTTTAAATTATAAAATTCAATGAATTTTAGTAAGTTTGGGAGTTGATTTGCAAGAAACACAGAACACTTTAGATCTGTTACTGGAGAAATTTGAAAATGTGGGTTATGTGGTCTCATTTGCATAACTCAGGGCAGTGTAATGAAGGGGAAGATCCCATTTAACCAGCTAATTAGGAAAGGGATTGATTAACATCAGTGATCATTAACTGTTGCCAAGTATGTGGTATTTAATCTGAATGCAGTATTTACTATGGGCCCTTCATTAGAGTTAGGTGAATAATGCTGGCAAAATGTTCTAGGCAAAAATTTAACTTGTGAACATTCCTTTGGTGGGATCTCACATATTTGGTATGTAGGAGTTAACTAGTATGTCAGAAAGTGTGTATCAAGTCTGCCTGGATAAACCTCTAGTTTTTAAAATCTGAGCAAAGGAACTGTTTTATTTTGGCAAAAATGAAAACTTACTGATTAAACCAGTAGTTTCCAACCGGGGGTGATTTTGCCACCAGGGGACATTTGGCACCATCAAAAAACATTTCTGATTGGCACTACTGGTTAGGAGGATGCTACTGGCATCTAGTGGGTAGAGGTCAGGAATGGTGCTAAACATCTTGCAAAGCGCAGGACAGCCTCCACAACAAAGAATTATGTGGTTCACATGTCAGTAGTGCTGAGATTGAGAACTGTTGGGTTAAACTGACAGGTAAACTTCAACTCAGTGCTTTCAAATTCAGTGTTTTTCCTTATAGACTAACAATCTTGATTCATTTCTTTATTTTTAATTAACTCATTCAATAAATATATATATTGCACCTACAGTGTTCCTAGCGCTGGGGATACAGCTGTGAACAAGTACCCCAGAAGGCACTGTGGAGGGTGTCAGGCGATTGTCAATTGATGACAAGGGCACTGTTGGCATCGATGTCCAGAGACTGAGATGACAGCTTCCCAATGAAGAATTGTTCCACACAAATGCTGCAGCAACCTCTGAGAATGCTGAGCATGGCCAAGTTGCTGCCAATGGAGAGCTTCCATTTGTGTGGCAGATACACACAAGTATTGCAGGAATGAGAGACAGGAAGGGAAGGAAGGGAAGAAGTGAAAGGGAGGGAGGGAGGAAGAAGGAAGGAAGGAAGGATTGATTTCTAGTAGTGGTAAATACTCTCTAGAAATGGAGTAGGATTAAGAGATGAAATGTGGTTGGCAGTGGCAAAGGGGAGAGGAAGTGCGCAGCCATGTGCACATGGGTATGTGGTGGGGCAATGCCTTTCCAGGTTGGGGGTGGTTTGAGAAGGCCTCCCTGATGAGGTGACATGAATGGAGGTCTGAATCATGAGACGCAGTCTGCAGTCATCATGCAAAGATATACAGGAAGAGTATATCCCATATACAATGGGAACTAATGCCTCCAGTAACCTGCAATGAGATTCCTCATCCATGTGTCCATATTCCACGTGGGTGCTGTGAGACCTGAATGAGTCTCTTGGGTTTTGGGGGTAGTTACCAGGTTCTACAACCAGAGCTGATGAGTAGGTGGGTAGCTGACCCAGGGAAAGTGGGCAACCCAAGGCAAGTCTTTGCTCTGAATGTCAACTATGAGATGGGACTTTTTATATGTTTGACATTTTTATTAAGCTAACAAATGAGTACTATGCAGGGACAGAAGCAGGTCTAAGCCAGTAGGACTGACAACAGCAAACTTTATAGAAATGGGTTAGTGATGTAGCTATAGGTCACACTTTATTTAAAGTCTACAGCAGAGTTTGAGAGTGAGAGCTGGACATTAGAGCAGCTGCTCTGCATACCACACAGTAGCCAGTGACAAGGGCATGTTGAGGATTATTGCCCCAGGAATAAAAATAGCCCAGAGTTTTGAGAAACTGGATCCTCTGTGCTCACTCTCCAGGACACTTGCTCCCAAGAGTTACTGTCCCTTTCTAAACTCCTCAAAAGCCCCAACGCGCCCTCCACTCAAAAATGAGCAGCAGAATTTTGGGGTGACACATCCTCTTACCTGCTTGTGTGTTCTAAATCAGCAAGTTAAGCCACTTCTTTTAGAGGTCATGGTGGGATGTGGACATAAAAGACAGTGTGAACTGAGTATTTATGAGTGAGCACAGGCCATCCCCTTCCCCAGGCCTCACCCCTGTGCCTTCCTTTTCACATGTGTAAGAGGAGGTTGTTTGGTGCAGAGGTTGGATCTCTAACAGCCTCATTTTTAAAAGGTGGACATTTATTTTACCACCAGAGAAAAGGGAAGGAATTAACCAATACTGGAATATGTCTTAGACCCAGATTCAGTCTTGCGTTTGGGGGAGTGTCTGATTCCTGTTGAGAGAAATAAGTTTTTATGTATATAAAGTTTTTGGTAAATGCTTACATCTGGGTGGGTAATAATCATTAGCTGCTAAATTATTATTGTCGCCCTCTTCATTAAGAATTACCATATGTTACGCCCACTGCTGCTCACTAGTCAGTGCTGTTTCCTGTATTATGTTATTTTTTCTGAAAACTTGCATATCAGAAGATTATATTAATAATATCTTGATATGTTTTGTATTAAAACTTTGAAACTCACACTTTCACATACCTGTGCCTCAGAGCTGAGGTTCGCAAACTACAGCTCTAGGAAACCACTCGTGTGCTTTCTCTATGGATTTGTCTATTTTTGGACATTCCAGATAAATGGAATCATGTAATATGTGCCCTTTTGTGACAAGCTTCCTTCATTTAACATAATGTTTTTATGATCCATCTACATTGTAGCCTGTATCAGTACTTCATTTTTAAATTGCCATATAATATTCCCTTGTATGGATAGACAACATTTAGCACATCCATTCATAAGTTGATGGATGCTTTTTTAGCTGTTAGTAATGTTGATATGAGCATCCATGTACATGTTTTTGTGCAGACCTATGTTTTTATAGTCTCTTGGGTACATACCTAAAAGTAGAATTGTTGGGTCATATGGTAACTCTGTTTGGTATTTGGAAGAACTGCAAAACTGTTTTCCAAAGTGGCTGCACCATTTTACAACACCACCAGCAACATATGAACATTCCAATTTTTCTACATCCTTTCTAATACTGTCTGTCTTTTTTATTTTAGCCATCCTAGTGGGTGTGAAGTGATTTCTATTTCCCTAATGACTTAGCATCTTTTCGTGTGCTTACTTGCCATTTGTATATTTTCTTTAGAGAAAGGTCTATTCAGATCCTTTGCCCATATTTAAATTAAATTAGGTTGTCTTCATATTGTTGAGCTGTAAGAGTTGTTCATATATTCTGGATATAAATACCTTGTCAGGCCGGGTGTGGTGGCTCATGCCTGTAATCCCAATGCTTTGGGAGGCTGAGTCAGGTAGATTGCTTGAACCTAGGAGTTCAAGACCAGCCTGGGCAACATGGTGAAACACCACCTCTACAAAAAAATACAGAAATTAGCTGGGCAGGCTGGCAGGCACCTGTAGTCCCAGTTATTCAGGAGGCTGAGGTGGGAGGATAGCTTGAGCCAGGAAGGTCAAGGCTGCAGTGAGCCGAGATCATGCCATTGTGCTCCAGCCTGGGTGACAGAGTGAGACCCTGTCTCAAAACAAAAGAGAAAAAGCAAAAAATCTTGTGAGCTCTCCACTGCCTGTTTTTGTAGAAAAAGTTGTATTGAAATGCAGCCATGCC
Source organism: Homo sapiens (assembly GCF_000001405.40). NCBI lineage: Eukaryota > Metazoa > Chordata > Mammalia > Primates > Hominidae > Homo > Homo sapiens. Next base: position 54,908,803 of record NC_000003.12, read on the forward strand.
CATATTGTCTGTGAATACCTTCTTGCTAAAATGGCAGAGCTGAGTAGATGGAGGGGTAGAGACCATAGAAACTGCAAAGCCAAAAATATCCACTACCTGCTCCTTCACAGAAAAAGCTTGCCAAACCCAACTTCACATGAAAATATGTCACATATTCTATTTAAAAGAACAACGAAAAAGGCTGATTTGTTCACTCACCTATTTAAACATGTTTCTATAAAAATGAAGTAGATATTTAAATCAGAGGTTATGTAAGTGGATGCCGAAGACAGAGCTTTGTGTATCAGAGGTTGTGCATCGGTAGTGCCTAATGTTTTTGTCTGTGTGGTTACACAGAAATTCCAATCAAAGATCCTAAGCTTTCTAAAAATATATGTTTTCATTGTAAGTCAAGACAGTGATTTAGTTAATCTTCACTCTAGCTTATAAATCTCTGAACAGTGCAATCAGCATAATGCTTGGTAGAACATTGAAAATGCCCTCACATGCTTTGGTGGAAAACAGTTTATGGGATTTTTTTTTTTTTCCAACATGGCTCATGAGAGATTTGGGGATTTATTTAACCGCCTTTATCCAGGCAAATCTCCTAGTGACCTTGTTGGGATTTTGATCTCAGTTAAGACTAGAATATATGTGACTCATGCTAAGTAAAGGGCCCACAGAGGATAGATGAGCTGACATGAATTTCCCTCCCTTGGGAAAAAAGGGACGGGCATGAGCAGAATCTGCAGCAGAAGAGTCCAAGCTTGTCCAACCTGCAGCCCATGGGCTGTGCAGCTTCAAATGCAGCTCAACACAAATTCATAAACTTTCTTAAAACATTATGAGATTTTTTTTGTGATTTTTTTTTTTTTTTTTTTTTAGCTCATCAGCTATCATTAGTGTTAATATATTTTGTGTGCAACACAGGTGGAGAACCCTGGGGCCCTGCAACATTTACAAGTCAGGGAGATGAGTGAATCAGCAAATGAGACCTAGGAGGGTTGGACAGTGAGGTCGGCTAAGAACCAAGTAAAGGGAGACTTCAAGGAGAAAGTGATCAGCGTGGTGAAGAAGACAATTCTTCTTCTTCCAGTGTGGCCCACGGAAGCCAAAAGATTGGACATCCCTGCCTAAACCCTTTGACTTGACTGAAAGTCCAGTACATGGACTTTCTTGCCTGAGGAAAATGCTTTGATCAGTGTCTGGTGGGAAAGGGACAGTGCTGATCAAAGGCTTTTTATTCCCAATGTCTCCCAAAGTTTGCACTTACCAAGAACTCCTGGGTTCTCTTCTGGGTGAGAAGATGTGCAGGATGTTAGGATCAATGCCTGAATGTCATGGTCACCTCAAGGCCAAAGTACACAATTATACATGACACAGCTCAGGCAGATGGTAGTAGGTAATTGTCTTTCAAAATAAAATTTCAGAATGAAAACATCGTGTATGGTCATAGTATATGCTTTACCATTCTTCCACCAACTTCCAGATTTTATGATATAGTCAGGTTTTTAAGTCAAAAGTATTCTGTTACATTATTTTATTTGTGTGATGCATTACTCATTCTTTTATGCTATATGCTCCTCTGCCTTGCTGTTTTCCATTTTCTCTGGAACCCACTCCACAATGAAATATTCCTCATGAAGGTCACCAGTAATTTCAGTAACTTCCATTGTTCTTTTGTCGTGGCCTATTAGCAGTGCTTCACCATGTTGATCACTTTCTCCTTGAAGTTTCCCTTTACTTGGTTCTTAGCTGACCTCACTGTCCAACCCTCCTAGGTCTCGTTTGCTGATTCACTCATCTCCCTAACTAGTAAATGTTGGAGGGCCCCAGGGTTCTCCACCTGTGCTCCTATTTACTCTCAAGGCTTTGAACACTGTTCATAAACTGGTGATTCCCAAGCCACACTTCTCTTACTTGACCTTACTTGCCTATTCAGTGTCTCTACTCTTTCCCCAATAGGCCTGTCAAATTCATTAGATGCCAGGCTGAAGTCCTGATTGCATTCACACCCTCCCCCTCCACCCTTTCTCCATAGCCTTGATAATTTAAAATCCAACTCAATAATTCTCATTTTCTAGTTAGTCCAAAACCTTTGGAGTGATTCATTTATTTTTTTAAACAAAGCATGTCATCTTGGATAATATTGAATGTACTCAAAAGTAGACAGAAAAAAATACAATGAAATTCCACGTATCTTGTGCCCAATCCCAGTAGCCATCAACCCTTGGCCACTGTGTCCTTCAATTTGCCAATCCACAACCACCCCTCCCATATTATTTTAAATCAAATCTTAGTCATTACATCGTTTCATTCATAAATACGTCAGCCTACATCTTTAAAAGATAAGGACTTCTTTGGATTTTAATATAGCAATACAATTACCTAAAAATAATTCCTAAATCTATTACCTAGTCAGAATGTAAATTCTAGTTGTCTCAAAAGTGTCATTTATTTTTTACAATTTGTTTGAATCAGGATCTTCTTCCTCTTCTTCTTTTTCTCTTCTTCCTCTTCCTCCCCTTCCCCCTCCCCGCTTCTCCTCCTCCCCCTCCTTCTTTGTCGTCTTTTTTTTTTTTTTTTTTTTTTAAAGAGATGGGGGTCACACGTTTTTCCCCAGACTGGTCTTGAACTCCTGGGCTCGAGTGATCCTCCTGCCTCAGCCTCATGAGCAGCTGGAACTACAGGCATGTACCCCTGTGCCTGGCTTTGAATCAGGATCTGGAAGTCATTCTTGACTCTTTCCTTTTCCTCCTACCTACAACCAATCTGCCTATAAATCCTGTTATTTCTTTCAGTTATGTACAGAGTCTGACCACTTCTCAGCACTTCCACTGTTCCCTCAGTGGGCCGCTCCACTTTCATCTCTGCCCTGGATTGTCATAGAAGCAGCAGCTTCTACCGCTTCCCCTGTCTTCTCCCAACCTTCACCTCTTCATTTTATTCTTCATATGAGCCACAGAAATCATGTTAAAGATAAGTAATATCATGTCACTCTTCTATCCAAAACTCTCTATTGACTTCCCACTTTACTCAGAGCTAAAAGCCAAAATTCTCACAGAGGTCCAGGTATTAGTTATCTTATGCCAAAGCTTAATGCCTTAAAGCTACAGACATTGTAGCTACAGACATTTACTATTGTACAGTACCTGTGAGTCAGGACTCTGGGTGCAGCTTAGCTGAGTCCTCTGGCTCAGGATCTTCCATGAGGCTGAAATGAAAGTGTTGTTGAGGGTTGCGGACTCATCTGAAGGCTCAACAGAGGAAATGCTTTCACCGTCACTCATGAGATCATTAGCAGGATTCAGTTAGCTCCTTGTGGTTTGTTGGCCAGAGACCTCTCTTACCTCCTTGCCACATAGGCTTCTCCGTAGGGTAGCTCATAGTGAGCTAGTTTACTTTGAATAGGACAAGCAAGAGAGAGTGAGCAAGATAGAAGCTGGAGTTTTTTGTAACTTAATCTTGGAATGGATATCTTATTACTTTTCCCATATTCTGTTTGTTTGAAGCGAGTCACTAGGTCCAGCCCACAGTCAAGGAGAGAGCATGAGTTCCAGGAGGCAAGAATCATTGAGAGTTATCCTAAAAGCACCTGCCACAACCTGTAAGTCCTACATGATTTGACCCCTATTACCCTCTAATCTCAGCTCCTTCTACTTCCCTTTTGCCCACTCAACCACAGCCACACTACCTCCTTGTTCTTCAGTCACACCAACCTTGCTGCTACCTCAGGGCCTTTGCACCTGCCATGCCTTTTCCATGGGACATTTTTCCTCCAGATACCTTCACCACTGGTTCCATCATTTCCTTCAGGTCTCTCCTCAAATATTTTCTCAGCAGGGACCTTCCTTATCACCACATGTAAAATAAAAACTCTTCCTCTTCCATATCCCCAGCGTTCTCTCCTCTTCACATCTGCTTGTTCACCACCTGATATGATTTGTATTTCTTTATCTTCTCCCTCTGCTAGATGTTAAGTTTCATGGGACAGATATTTTATATTTCTTGTTCACTCCTTTAGCCTTAATACTTGGAAAAGGAGAACATCCTCCTATATGCCACATTGTAGACGGTCTTCATCTTTAATGAATGAAGACAGTGGGGTCTCAATGGGAGGTATTGTAGAAGTTAAATGTCCTCAGATACCCTACATACAGGACAGCATGATTCCTCTCTGATTTGTTTTTAAACTCAGGGTCTCAGTGGAAGGCATATCAGCATAGGATGGGCTGTACAGACTATTGCTCTCGTCCTTGACACCCCACTCATCTGTTTCAAGGTCACACCTCTGCTCTGTTTTGTTTTGTGTTGTTTTTTTGAGATAGGATCTCACTCGGTCACTCAGACTGGAGTGCAGTGACTGGAATGAATCACTGCAGCCTTGATCTCCTGAACTCAAGCAATCCTCCCTCCTCAGGCTCCTGTGTAGCTGGGATCATAGGCATGTGCCACCACATCTAATTAATTTTTGCATTTTTTGTAGAAACGGGATTTTACCATGTTGCCAAGGCTGCACTTCTGCTTTAGATAGTAGATATTCCTCCTGGAGACTTAGCTATCCTTGAGCAGTATTCCTAATTTCCGTGGCCCTCGTAACTTTCTCCTCTTCTGTGTATTAATGAGTATTTCAATGGGAAATACTTATTGGCTAGCATCTTAATCTAGACTCTAAATTTCCCATTTTTCTCAAATAATTTCAAGAGAGTATGACTGAGTTTCTTCCCCTCTCATTTGGAGACTGCCTTTTCCAGCCCAGTAGAGCCATAGATTATGAAAGGGTTCTTATTTCCCCATTTTGCCTTGGCTCCTTCAGCCGGCCTCCTGGTTTTAGTAGTACCAGAGCTCTGGCAGTGTCCTACTGGTTGGTGGTTGGGTTTCTTTGCCCTGCCATGCTTTAAGGTAAGTGTTGGCAGTGCCAGGAAAGGATCCTAACTCTGACTTCTTCGAACCTGTCAGGTCCTGAAAAGTGCCTGGGTGTTGGCCTTGGGAAGAGTTGCATCCAGATTCCCACTCCACCATTTACTAGTGGTGTGACGTTGAGCAAATGACCTAAGCTGTCTGTGTCTTCGTATGTAATGTGGCAGTACAATACCCACGTGTTTTGGTTACTATGAGGCTTAGAGAAAATTAAGTATTATGCTTGGAAAATACATGGCACGAAATTGGGTGCTCAGTAAATGCTGATAATGGTGTTGTAATTGCCCTTATCCAAATACTTAGTATAATAATGTCATAGTTTTGATATTGTGATTCACCACTAAATGAACAAAGAATGGTGAGGATCGTGTTGTGTTATCTATGCTAACCCCATCTCCTGCAACTGCATTTATAAGTCTGCAGTTAATTCTGTGCATGACTTGTGTAATGTTGCTTTCCTTTCCATGCTTCCATTTCTTCTGTAAAATAAGGACATGGAACTATATCAGAGTAACAAATAGGTTTAATCTCTTATGTCAACTCCAGTTGATCAGTAATGGATACCTGGAAAACAGATTAAAAAAAAAAATTATGAGGCCTTGTCTGGGCTCAGCAGATAACTTTGTCATGATCTATTAGCAATGTCTGCAATGGATAGAAAGGCTGGTGGCAGCTATTCTGAAATTCTCCAGGCCTGGACTAAATGCTCTCTAAGACCCTTCTCAGATCCCCAGTCCTCTGATTTGTTATCAAGGTCGTCTTGATGGGCCTTTGTAGCTGGCTGACATCCTATCCTGTCCACCCAAATGAATATTCAGTGTGATTGGAGTAAAACGTAGATATGAGTAGTCCAGTTAAGAATCTGAAAGGGATTATATATCAGTAAAAATAAATAAAAATTAAAATAAAAAAGAATCTGAAAGGGAAGTGGTTGATTAGGCAGCTGCTTCTCTGAATGGGGTAGGGGTTTCTTTGAGACTGCATTGCAATTTGAGTCTAAAAAATAAAGCATTTTAATCAAAAGAGCAAAAGGATGGTTCCCTAAAGTCATGCATGCAGATCATAGCCCAGCAATGCCATGTGGAGTTGGAATATAATTTTGTGTGGGTTTCTGTCAATAGCATTTAGCAATGGATACAGGGATGGGTTTTCCCAAACTGGAAACAGTAATTTCCTGACCTGCAATAGAAAGTTATAGGTTTCTAACGGTTGTTGGATAATTATGTGAATGTGTGCTACAGATAGATTATTTTAGAAATTAGTTTAACCACTTCCTTTGATATTTAGGATCTAAGATAAAGGTGTCTTGTTTCAGGGGTACTTGGTTAACTCAAGCAAGGAGATTTGATTTGCACAGACCTTCAGGAAGAAATCTGTGTGTGCATCACTTTTTAGTCTTGCCATTTTTATAAGGAAAAATGAAACCCTTAGTAATCCACTGGCATTTTATAATCTTAAGCAAAAGATTCTTCCTGTGGGGTCAGGGATATTTGCCTTATTTGTAAAAGCTTTTCAGATATAAAGTTGATTCTAGGTCTTCCTTCTCCAAAATCTCTATGGCAGAGTACATTCTTCATGCCCCCTTTTTTTATGCCTCACTACAGACAGCTACAATATCTGTGAATTTATGATCCCTGGCAAGGCAAAAATCACCCGTCTGTAGCCATACTGTTCTACTAAATATGACGAAAGAACTATATTTTTAGTTTTCTCAGAAACAATCAACACTAAACGTGATTTTTGTCCACAGTGTACCCTCAGCAAGGCTTCTATGACAGAAGGACATTTTTATAAGGGAATCTATGAATATGACAGCAGCAATAAACAGCTGAAAATAATCTATGAGGCGTTTGCAAATTACCCCTCATGAGCTGTAGTGGTTGTGAAAGATAATTTGTGGTTCTCACAGAATACCCTGCAAATTGGGTCTTTCATCTGCAATGTTTTTTACAGTTAAAACATTTCATTTCTCATATTAACAAATGATAACTCTGCATTTGTTAATGTAAACAATTTGATTTATATTTTTTTCTGTGCTGAGAAGCTGTTGACATTTCAGGGTAAGTAATTATTTTCATTGCCAACTGCTGTTTGTGGTGACTGTAGGCAAAAGATAGAAATCTGAATATAAGTATGCATCATTTTAATCATTTTCCTTAAAGACTGCCCATAAAGCAGGAAGTCTGTTTGCCTGAGTTATCATCTGTACTTAGAAATCTAAAAGGATATAAGTGTTGACAAGCAAGGATTCTAGTCACGTTCAGGGTTTTCTGTGGTGGATCAGAAACTCCCTCATGTAATCTCTGTGGGTAGGGGGACTGGGTTGACCTCCACTGTCACCAAACCTCTGGCAGGGCCCAGTGCACTTGCTGACTGAAATCACTGCATTAAAACGAAGCATGCGTTATTGACCTCAGTAGCTCTCAGCTAATGTAATATCCGTTCAAGTGGCTCATGGGGTGGGTGTCAGGATTACACAAGAACGCCTTGCACTGTGTCTGGTACACGGTACACGGTGTGAGCTCTGGAAACATTTGGTGAAACTGGGACAAGGTATAAAAACGTATAATTCCTTTCTCACACTGCCTTCTTGGCCAAGCATCCTCAGTCCAGGGCCATGGAAAGAAAGGTTTTTTCACTTGGAAAGTAGTCACTACGTCCATAAAGAAGGATATTGAGCCATGTCCACTGAGTGGCCCATGGAGAGGAGGTGCCAGGGCCTGGGACAGAGCTGATGGGTCAGCAGGCTTTCCTTGGGGTCTTTCTTTGATCTACAATTTAAGGTATTTCAGTTTCTTTCGATATTCAGAAAAAAATTACCATCGAAATTTAAACTTTGTCCCCTAGAAAAATCATCTAGCAAAATTGCTGCTCCAGAAAGGTGGTCCATCTTTAGCCTCTGGGTGTGTGGGGCCCACACTAGCTATGAAGCACCATGGCAGGTGTAGATTGTCTCTGTGATTATTAGAGGTGCATCCGTGTGAGACCTGCACAGTAGGAAGTGATAGGTTCACCCGTTTCCCTGCATCTATCCCATACACATGTGAACCTTCCATTCACATTTCAGTTAGAGAATGGACTACTGATTTAGGATCCAAACCAATCATTACATGGCCTGAAGGAGTGAATGTAGAGCCAGTACCCTGAGTAGCAAATGTGTTTTATCCTTTGAACCAACTCCAGTTGATTAGTTCTGGTTGCCTACAGTGCTGTCTTAAGGCATCTGTGGTGCTGAGCTAGGAAGAGTGCTGAGATTGATTAGCAATGTCTGTCATGGCCTCTGGAGGGACAGCTGGCCCTATATTTGCCATTCTCTGCTTTTAACATGTCCATAACTTCTCTGTCCTCTCTTCTTGTGTAAAATGATTTTAATACTAACAGGTGACTGTGAGCATCATGAGAGAGAACAGGTAGATTCCACTTTAAGAAAACCTAGCATGAGAAAATGCAAAATTTACAAAATGCATAAATCTGGAGCCAATTATTTCTATTACAGAAAGATTCCATGAAAGGTTCCTTTAAATAGCCAGCTCCCCTACTGCATTAAAATGATGATTCAATTTACAAAAATTCACTTTGCATGCAACTCTTCAAGACCATGTCTGTGGAGTAAAGCCAGCCACACCTGATTTTTTAAAACCATGGCCTAAATAACATTGAGGATAGCTGCCGCCACCTATCTTGAGTCTCTTGGTAATTCCCACTCTCTGCAGTCTTCCTTCTTACTCCTATCCCAGTGTGGGGAGTAGACAATCTGGGTGGTGGACAACAGCTGCTGGCTTCCACCCTGACACGGCTGCATTTCATTAGTGGGTAAACTGATTGCTCAGAGTATGTTTATGTGTGGGTGTGGTTGTACAACTCTATGCACTCTGTGCGCTATGTATGCAGATACAGATACACAAAAGTCATTATCTCGCTCTCAGCCCAACCTAAATTCATTCCTGCTGTAAGAGTTATAAATGGAAGGTTCCAATCCCTTGGTGGATATGGCCTTTTGGTAATATCTGCCCCAAATTCTGGCTCCCCATCCTCTTTGTGTTTGTTTATATGTTATTTACCCTTGCATCAGAAAACTTCCCCAGACTCAGGGCCTGAGTCCTATTATCCGGACATGGAATCTTCTTCTTCCTCTGAGGCCTAGAAAGCCCCAAATGGTTTTCTGATTTAGAAAATGAAATAGACTTTGACTCTTGTGGCAAGCTATGAAATTCCCAACCAACAGCTTCCACTAAATTTATAACATATACAACATCTAAAAGTATCACTGATCTAGCATGAACTCGAATTATAGAGGCATTCAATGCCCATCGGGTAAGATCACCAGCCTCTTCCCAAGCACTCAAAATTGGGCAGTTTTCCAGTGGACCATAAAGCTCCCAGGAATGCTGATTGGCATGTGTGTTTGAATTTCTGGTGCTTTGTAAAAGGAACTTAATCCACAGAAGAGTACCTGGAAGAGATGGCATCTTCCCTTTCTCTGTGTGTGTCTTACCCCCACATAGAATCGTCGTAATAACTTCCCAGGCCCAGAGCACAAGTATCATCTTTATTTTACCTATAGTATTTTAAAAATCGCAACATAAATTCCTCCCCAGAAATATTTTTTACAGACACATCTTTTTTTTTTCTTTTTTTTTTTTTTTTTTTTTTTGTCTTTTGGCAAAAGCAAAATCAGACTAACAGGAAACACATCAGCCCTACTCAGACACTATCTTCTGGCCTGCAATGACCAATCCTATTTGAGACAAAAGCTCTCAGGCTGGTGAGCTGTCAAATCGCTCTTTTTCTTCCACCTTCCCAGGATCATTGGTTTGAGCCAAGGGTCCCCCATGGTACTGGGCTGTGATTGCCGCATAGGTGCAGCCATAGATGGCAGCTGCCAACATCATGAGACACACAATCCCACACACAACGCCAGTGATGATGACAGTGGCAATGGCATGACGCAGGTTGGCCGGCCTTGGCTTGGGTTTGAGCTCGCACTCCAAGAGTTCTCGCTCCCCCGCGTTGTGGTTCTCAGGAGGCCTCAGGACCACACCGTGGGCAGAGCCGGGCCACTGAGCCTGCGAGGACACTGGATCAGGAGCAGGAAGAGGGCAGGGCTGGTACAGCTCATGAGGGATCCTAAGGAGGTCCTTTCCCTTCCAGGTGTCTGGTGATTCACAGATGATGCCGTCTGTTAGTCCCCCTTTAAAAAACAAAAGCAAAGAACAATAACAAAGCCTTGATACAACAGAGTTCCAAAATCCTCTGCCTGCAAAAACTTAGGCAGATGGAATTTATGAAGTACCTTTTTTTTTTTTAAATCCTGGAGTCAAAGAATTTAACAACCATATTTTATGATTTTAGGATTCCTAAATTGGCTAAATACTAAAAATGCCACACACTAAATTGGCAATTACTTATGACCAAGAATTCATTAGAAGCCCAGTAACCTTCATGTTCTCTAAATGCTCAGAGAAAACAATGCAAAAGCTGACAAGAAGGCACGCTGGGGGCCGATGGTGAGGGCACAGCTGCCCACTGCATTCGTGCCACGCATGGTCCTAGTGAGCCCCACAGACAAGAAAACTTTTGTACCAGATTCCCATTGAAAATCTAAGGAAAAAATAAAATAAATGTGCATTGTTGTGATGTTATGTGTTTATTACAAAGATCCTGTGTGTCTCAACACTGTTCAGTGATGCCAAATGGAGAGGTGGAATGGTCTTGGAGTGATCTGTGGATTTGACAATACTGGAAGTTTAGTTCCTGGAATTCGGTACCATGAATGTGTCTCCTCAGGCCTCAGAACATTTACGGCTTTGAATACTGAACTTTCCAGTGGGTTATTAAACCCAGTTTCCATTACCTGTAAGGTGATTGATATCCTCAGGTGTGTAGACTGCTGTTGGTCGGGGGAATTTGGGTGGTCGGTCATTCTTTCCTAGAGAGAGCCCTGAGCTAGCAGACTGAAGTCTAGTCTAGTGTGACCACTGATTTACTCTTTGACTTTGGGAAAATGTGCTTCGCTGACTTAATTTTCTGCCATGAAAACATGCTATTTGTATCCAACTTGATGGTTTACAAAGCACTGTTAGATAAGTCCTAATACTCCACTCTTGTAGGTAACTCTTGTCCAGACTCACAGAGGTCACGAGTGGATGAAACAACATCCAAACCCAGTTCTCCATGCTCAGTCCAAGTTTTTTCCACTACACTCGCTGCCTCGCCACATCCTCCTCTCAGGAGCGTTGTGAGGTCAGAGGAGTGGGCAGGATGGCCCTCGGCACTGTCTGCTAGGAAGCCTTTTGATTGGACAGAACTGCCCCATGACCTGCACCTTGGCCCTCTCAGGCTGCCATAAGCACCTCCCCTAGGCCAGCCGAAAAGACTGGCACTGCAGTTAGCAAAGTTAGATTGGAGGAGATTCTTAGTACACACAGTAAGTGAATTAGGAAATTATACCAGAAAGACATATGTAGAGGGCATCACTTCAACATTATTAGCACCCTCCATTGCATGGCACTTCAGAGTTTTAGGAATGCTTTCACATTTACTCTCTCTAAGCTTACTACAAGATAAGTCATAAGTGGCCCTGTAAGTAGATAGGGCCTATCTTGCAGTGCAAGGATTATCAGGTGGCCCCAACACACCAGGGTGAGTGGCAGTGGCAAAATTCAACCCATGTCCTTTTTGTTGCCACTGCTTAAAACTGAATCACCCACCACCAGAGTGTCTTGGGTTCCTCCTGGCTTCTCTAGCAATCCTTTGAGGAAACAGTCCTCACCCTAAAGCAGAAAGATAAAAGGGGAATTTCTTCCTTTTTTGAGCCACTGATTTTCCTGAGGCCAGAGGTTCAGAGCAGCTGCTCCAGATGAGTTCAAAGTGCCATTGAGATTAAGGATTCTTGCCTCATGGACCATTTCATTCCTCTGCACCTGACCATAGGAGCCTCTGCCAGGAAGTTGGTTGCAAGACAAAAAGGTCAGAGAGACAGAAATGAAGTGATGGGGCTTTGAGAAGTAGTCGTGATATTTAATCCAGCCAGAGAGCATGGAGACTTCTATCAGGGGAAGCAAGACCACCTGCCAGGGGGATGGACAGGTTCATCAGCTGACTTCCACCTTGACTAGGGTGGTTTACCCAATCACCCCAGACTTAAGAACTGTGTTTCTCCAGTTCCAGACTTTCTGTTGTTCGGTATTAAGGTGGGAGCCACAGCCTCTGGACCCAGAGCCAAGGAAATACCCAGACTGGAGCCTGGGACATAGCTGGAAGGCAGGGGCTATGGCTGCCAAATGCTCTGTGGTCTCCTGTGCAGGTGATCCTCAGCCGGGATGCAACTCCCACTCTCCACCATTTCATGGGCCATGACCCCCTCGTCAAATCTGCTGATTACAGCTTGAGGGTCCCACATCCTTCTAGATTAATGTAACTGACAATGCAAGAAGCTCCAGCTTGCCAAGCACTCATTGTTCTCTATCTGATCACTAGTAGCTCTTCACCTCTGTCTTGGGAGAAACTAGATTCAAATCTTGAGTCTGAACATTACGTAGCTGTGCAGCCGTGAAAAACTCCCTTGACCACGTTGTGCCTCTGCTTGCTCATCTGGAAAGTGGGAGATGAGGATAATTAAAATTCACTTCCCAAGATTGCTCTGAGGACTCAGTTGGATAAAATATATCAAGTATTTAGCATAATACCTAGCTCAGAGTAAATGTTTAGTGAAGTGAAGATGACTTGTTTACTAGTAAATAGAGAGAAATATTAATCATACAATCTGTGTGCATATTTCTTTGGAGGAGATATTATTATGTATTCACCAAAGCACATCTTTTTGCTCTTAGGCCAGCAGGAAGACTAAATTTTCCCACTTTTTGTGGTCTATTTGAGGCCATGTGATTGAATTCTGGACAATGGAATTCAATTAATTGAATTAATTAATGCCACCTCCAGGCCATAAAGCCCCCGTGTAATCCGCCATGCATTTTGTTCCCACTTGGGGATGACCTTAGAGGCCACGTGATAAACTTGGCGACATCACAAGCTCGAGGGGTCTTATGTCCCTAAATGACTGCATGGAATGCAGACCATGCCCCCATTTCCTTTGAACTCTGCCATGAATGAGCAACAGATTTTATTGCATATATAACTAAAGTCTGGGCTAGTCTGTTATGTCGGTTAGCCTGCCCTAATACCTGTAGTGTTTGCATTTGTTTATATATCTTTTTTTAAAAGAAGATCTTGACTCATATCTGTTCCCTTATTTTGCCTGTATTCAATATATCTATAATCAGACTGTCTCCCATGTTTGACACATATTTGGATTTTTCCTAGTTATGTTGGGACATCCAGGTCTTATTACCCCAAATCAATTTCTGCCTTCCTCCGAAGAAAAGCTGTGATCTGTACTCATGCAGCTCTGTTGTGACGGCGTGTTGAAATGCGTCACAGAATCTGAGGACTGGAATGGGCCGTAGGAACTCCCTGACTTAAAACTATCAGTTTCCCTCTGGTGACACTGAGTGCTAGGGAAGTGTACTAATTTTCCCAAAGACCACCAGCAAGTTTGTGGCAGAGTAGGGCACATTTCATCCCATCCCAGGTTGCTTCCAGTGCCCTAGTCCTGGGAACTTTTTTTTTTTTTTTTTAATCAAGAAATGTTCTTTAATGAAAACTATCTTTCTGTGTTGGCTGGCCTGTGCTTACAATTTAATCCACAATACAATAGTTCAAGCCACTTTACCTGTAGACGTAAACAATTTTATTTGTAACCTCTTATAAGGAAGATGTTGCCATAGTATGTGGCTCCTGTTGCTGGTTGGCTTGAATGTCGACTGGATATTGATTATGTAATTTACTATTACATTGTTGAGAAGGATTTATTCAATATCGTACGTTTTAACCCATGTTGTATTCACCCTAACCTCATTCCCGCTGAGAACCGCTACAACCATGCAGACACTGTTGACTTCCCTAATTCATGTCTGTAGCTCCAACATCTTCCTGAGCTTCGGGCTTAAATATACAACCTCCAACTCAACGACTCCCCATGGATATGTACAGAACATCTCAAACTTGACATGCCCCAAGCTGAAGTCCTAATTGACCACCTCCCCAACACACTCACTCACTCCCCCCAGTCCCCTCTTTGCCCCTTGTCAGCTGAAGGCATCACCATTTACTTGATTACCACTGCAGGACAAATCAAAATAGACTTTCCCATAATTATGGTCTTCTCTTAGTCATCCACTCCAACCCATTAGCAATGTCTGCCAGTTCAGTATTCCAAGTATCTCCCAGCATTGATCATGTCTCACCACCCTGGTTTGGGCCACCATCATCTTCGCTGGCTGACTGAAATCATCTTCTCCCTCATCTCCCTGGTTCTTCTTCTGCAGCCTTTCGTCAGTTCTCCCAAGAGTCTACAGAGTGACCTTTTACATTGTAATCAGATCCTATTGTTCCCTTGACTAAAACTCTTCAAGAGCTTTCCATCTCACTTAAAGTCCAAGCATCTTGGCCTTCTCTGCACACTTCTGCATGATCTGACCCCCAAGTACTGGTGTTGTCTTGTCTGTGTCTACTCACTCCCTTCCTCTGCACTGGCCACTGTCTTGTCCCTCTTTTTGTCCTGCAGCCAAGCCAAGTTTTCCCCCTCATCAAGCCCTTTGCGTTCACTATTCCTTCCCCCAGTTATCTCATGGCTCATTCCTCCTCAGTCTTTGGGTTCTGCTCAGCCATGTCACCTCCTTGGAGACATCTTCCCATCCATCCTATCAAAAATGAGACCCACATTCTATCACTCTCCCCTTCCCCTGCCTCATTGTTTCTTAGCACTAACTGCTATTCTAAACATGTATCTTTATTTATCATCTTATTTAACATCTGTTTCTACTACCAGAATGGAATCTCTGTGATGGTTAGGCACTGCCATCTTCTCAGTGCCTGGCATACAAAAGGCACTCAAATATAGAAATGAATGAATCATGCTGAGAGCTAGGAAGAGTGAAGCACTGTGAAGTGGAGGAAAGAATGTCGGGTCAAGACCCAAAAGCCATGCCTTCTGTTCTCACCTGGGCTTCTGCTCTGTGATCTTGGGCAAGTCACTGAACCTCTCTGGGACTCTGTTGCCCATTGACAACAGGGGTTGGCAAACTTTTCTGTAAAGGGCCAGATAGACAATACAGCCCCTGTCACAACTACTCTGCTTTTATAGTGCAAAGCAACCACTCACTCATTATATAATGAATGGGCATGGCTGTGTTCCAATAAAACTTTATTTACAGAAACGGGAGATGGGCTGTGGCCCTGGGGCTGTAGTTTGCTAACCCTGGGTGGTTTCCAGAGTCCCTCATCTTTAATAGTCTGAGATCTCTTGCTTTGCTGTTGTCATCATGTTAAAGAAATTGTGAGTAACTTTAGAGAGAGGCCCTGTTGCACCCAATTTCAGTGACATTGGTGTTTGCTAAAGCAGAAAGGACAATTTTAGAAAAGAATTACAGTTGTCAAATGGGTAGAAGCAGACAAAGAGAGAAAAATATCCCAGAGAGAGATAACCATACCCACAATTGGATCAGACTTGATAATAAGAGGTTGGTGTTATTTGGGGTTGAGCAGTTATTCAGGTGGTGATTGAATGTCCTCCTTCTTAATAGCATACTCCCAGATAAGTAACTTCTTGTTATATTAATTAAACAAGTGAAAGTTATCTCCATGCAACATATTTGTAGATTAATTTCGAACCTGAATTTAAACACCTTCTAATGACTCACTTGACTCTTTTGCCATACCGTGAAATGGCACCGATGTGTAAAAGCCCAAATCCACCCCTTACACACTCCTCCACATTCTTTCTAATGCAGAGAACAGATGAGATTCATCCTAGGCTGGTAACACACAGATGGGGGGTTCCAAATAGACATGACTGACCTTTATAGACAAATTTCTCCAGCCAGAGTTTAAGACCGAGCAAGTGGCAATTGCATTTCCAGAGGTTGTCCTTGAGAAGTAAAAGCCTCACACTGGGCATGGATTCCAGGAGCGCTCGATCAAGCTGCTGAAGCTGGTTTTGTTGAACCGCAAGTATAGTTAGGTTCTCCCAAGTCTCTCCCAAGGATGTGGGAAGGTGGCTTATGTTGTTTGATGACAAATCAAGCTCCCTCAGCTGAGGGAGGGAATGGAAAAGTCTGCTTTCCAGGGAAAGGAGTGAATTCTGGGTTAGATTTAAAACCTGCAAGTGCTGAAGCCCATGGAAAGCTCCAGGGGCCAGATTTGAAAGGGAATTGTTGGACAAGTTTAAGGTCATGAGCCATGGCACTGACCTAAATGCAAAAGCAGGAAGATGGTGTATCTGATTATCTTGTAAATGCAGCGTTCGAGTCTGAGGAGGTAAATGGGAAGGGATTTCGGCCAGACCCTGCTGGCTGCAGTCTACAAAATTTGTAGATGACTGACAGTAACACTTGTCCGGGCAGCTGCATACCACCTGGAGCAGGACAATCACACTGGAAAACAGGAGCAGTTCACCTACAACAAACAGAAAGAAATTGGGATAGGAACCAGTTTGTGAGGTGTGGTATCAGCACTTTTCCGCCTTTGAATTTACAGGTAATGTGCTTTCCAGCCAGGTGAAACCTTCTACAACCTGCAAGAGAGGTTCTGTCACTCACCGTCTTTAGTAGAGCCAGGCTGGTCAGAGTACATCCCCAGTGTCATTACCTTCTGCAGTCTTTGTGCCACCTATCGTCTGAAGCCTTGAGAAAGATACTCTCAGTGTCTTCTGATTCGGAAGATGGAAGACTTAGTGATATCAAATAGAAGGGTGAAAAAAAATATTTGGGGTGTATATGCCGTTTGTAGGCCACAACAGAATTATTTGGGGCCAGATGTGTAAAAGAGTGTTAGAGGATTTCAGATACTTACATTTCTGTAAAGTATGCTGCAGAACAGTGCTGTCTAATACAACTTTCTGTGATGATAGAAGTGTCCTACATCTGCTTTCCAGTATGGGAGCCAATAGCCATGTGTGGCTACCGAGCTCTTGAGATGCAACTACTGCAACCAAGGAACTGAATTTTTATTTGTATTTCATTTTAACTATTTTAAACAACAGTAGCCACATGTGGCTAATGGTTACTGTATTGGATAGGGCAGATCTAAAGCGCTGCTACGTATTGATATCCATTTTTGCCGTTGTAATTCCATGAACAAGGATAGTGTCTGCTGCTTTTTTATTCAAGATTATAAAAATATGGAAAAGCATTAAGAATAGTATAATAAATACCCATTTTCTATAATAGTTCTGCAAGTCCTTCATGGGTTATTGTACTTCCTTGATTCTTTTTTCTTTCAACTCAGAAGAGCAATGCATTACTTATGCAGTTGAACTTACTTTGATTCATGCCCAATTTCTATTTTCCAGCATAAGCCCTTTTCCTCACACCATTACTGATGTATCCCTCCAGACATTTTAAAAACAATCATTAGTAATGACAAAAATCTCAAATAAACATATAGCATGCATTTTGAGCCACCTACCATTCTAAGTGCTTTATAAATATGTATATTAATTAATCCTCATAACCTTGTAAATATGGTTCCATTATTATCCCCATTTGAAAGATGAGGAAGCTAGGCACAGAAAAGCTGAATCACTTGCCCAAGTTCACACAGAGTATTATAGTAGAGCTGTGATAAGGACCAAGGCTGTCTTCCTCCCTCCAGAGTCTGTCAGAGTTCTTATCTACTGTGCTCCACTTTTCCTCCCTCCAGAGTCTGTCAGAGTTCTTATCTACTGTGCTCCACTGCCTGTCAAATACACACACACACACACACACACACACACACACACACACACACACACACTCTGTTTTACATAACACTTTTTAAAAATCCAGATAAATGTAATCATCAATATGTCTCATTCTGCAATTTGCTCTGTTCACTGAAAACTGATCTATCCACATGGATACGTGGAAAGCTAATTCATTCCTTTTAACTGTTGTAGCATATTCCATGGTGAGAGCATGCCACATTTAGTATTAATATTTACCCCCACTCTTATGAGGGGTAGTTGAACGGTTGCAGTTTTTTTCTTCATTCTAAATGATGCTGTAAAACAGCATCCTTGTTCAGACTGCCTTGGCTGTGCAGGAACTGGGAGAGGGTCTCTGGAATCCAGAGAAATCTTCTCACAGGGCTCAGAGAGGAGATTAAGTTCACATTTTCTTAGATACTGCTCTGTCATTCACCAAAGTAGCTGTAACACTCCCTTCTTTTTTTTTGAGACTTGAATTTCAAAATATGACAAACATCTGCCAAGGGCATTTTACTATAAAGTGGTAGAGGAATTCATGAGCCACACAGTAATATCCAAAACTCAAAATAGTTATCTACTCAAAGTGGAAGCTCTTGAAAGGGGCTTTGTTTGATTGATTGTTTGCTTGCTTGCTTGTTTTGGGCCTTAACTAGGGAAATACACAGCATGGCTGTCATGCACTTGAGCCTTTTCCCCTTTCTTCCTTAAATTCTCTACTGAGGCTAACAGTGCTCTAGGGCAATAGGGAAGATGTTTAGAGAGCCTTCTGAAAGAGAGTCTTCTCAGTTTAATTTAGTTTAAGGGATGCAGAACATCACAGTCCCCTTCCCCTTTCCAGAATATCAAAGAGCAAAACCACTGTTTTCCTTTCTATAATTTTGCAAATAATCTAAATGACTCCTTTCAAAGCCAAAACATCTTCCCCTCAGTAATGAACGGACACCCCTCATTTTTAGCTGTGGGGCTCAAGCATTAATTAGTTGCAGGAAATTAATTCTTAAACCAGAGAACATGTTTGCCGCAGAATCCACTGATCTATTAATGAAAGGCTTGCCTCTCTGAGATTGTAGCCAATTTGTTCATTCTTTCTTTGGTTCCACTTTTCCCCCCAAAGGAATAATATACGAACTCCAACTACAAGCACCATGTTTCCTATGAAATGGCCCGTGACATGCCAACTACATATTCATGTCATGACTGCATACATTTCTCTCCACCCTCTTCCTCTGCACCCAACATGCGCAAACATAAATCATTCCATGCAGAGACATTTTTCATATCTGTCCAGTCTTTTAAGACAGACGACTTGAAAATAGATTTCCCGCAGATACCTTTGTGAGGGGATACCATCTTTCTCCCAGACAAGAACTTTTCCAACGGGAATTGATCAGGGCTCACCTTTCATGACTGAGTCTCCTTGGGCGTCCTTGCTGACCTCGTAGACCCTTTAATTAATGTGCAGAGCAACACACGAAGGGCATGGCAGACTCAGAGCCCAGCTTTACATTCAGTCTTTCTGAACCCTGCCCTTGCTTTTCTTCAATGCAGAAAACAGTTGTTGCTTTCAAAAGACCATTTATTTAAGCAGCCCTTCCCCTTGTCTCCATCTGGCTGGGATCAGTTTCCATAAGAGGATCTTGGGATCGTGCCCCTCTTCTTTCTTAAAATGTTGGCCTCCCCAGGATCATCCCTGCCTTTCCCATTCAGACGATGAGCCGCGTAAAGAATGTTTGTCAAACCTTGGTGAACAGCTGTAGCATTCAAACATGACCCCAGTGCCTCGGCCTTTTTGATTATTTAATCTGCTTGAAGTACAGGGCACCAAAATAAAACTGCCTTCTTAATCCGGCTGTGGCTTCTGAATTCTGTTGACTTATTAACCATGCCGGGTCACCCCTCTTTGGGTTGGGGGATGCTGGACGGGACCCTCACCTGGGGGTCGAGCAGCAGAGCCCGCAGAGTGTGTAATATGAGGACAAATTGGCCTGCTGGAGGCTGACACGGTTTGCACCGTGCACTTCTTTGGTCATCGAAGTCTTATTCAGCCAACATCTGTGGGGATTAGCTGTGTTGACAGGGTCTTGATGCCCTGAAATTCATAGCCATGGTTTCCTTTAGTGGACATCACAACCTTCCTTCTGGTGCCACAAATAACTTCTCAGCTGCTTGCTTGCTTGCTTGCTTGCTGCCCCCACACCCCACCCACTCCCCAGCCCCCGAGTTGAATTGACCTTTTGGTTAGTGTGACTTAAGAAATACTTCTTAATCTTTCTTCGTTTCCCTGATGCTGAGGTCCTGGCCCTTCCCTCACTTTTCACATATAAAACAATAAAGCCGCCCCCTGTGAGCATCAGGCGTCAGTCGACTGTGACTCTTCTCTAATTGAAGCTTCAGGGAACTTTCCCACCAGGGACTGGAACCGTTTCTTTGAATGTGGAAATCCCCTGCCATTTGCTGAGGTGGGGTTTCAACCCCTGAAGCTGCCCTTCTAGATAAAACAAAATGTTCTGCTGTGTGTAACTGTGTGTACGCTTTTATGGAAGCAGCATGAAGTGCAATCCTTGGCTCCAGGAGGTATAATTGAGCCATTGGGTTTGGGCTCTGGAATCAGGTGGGTCCAGAGTCGATATTTGGCTCCACCATCACCAGCTGCGTGTCTCCAGGCAAGTGACTTACCCACCCAGAGCCCCATCTCTGACATGGGGACAACATTAGCCCTTACTTTACCAGGCTGTGCCCAGGATTAAATATGGCAGTACACGACATGGCCCAGAGTGTCTTCATAAGTGTTCACAATTTTGCATGAGAAAGGCTTTCAGGATTTGTATGCTGCCAACTTCTGAGGACAACCTGGACCGGTCAGCAGGAGGAATGTCCTGAGGGAGGTCTTGACAGAGGGCCATGGAACCTGGCCCTTCGTGCCACTCTGCAGGTACAAAGGGAAGAGGCCCTTTGTGAATGGAAGTTGAAAACATCAAATTTTGATTATTTTCAACAACCTGTACTTTGTGGACTCTTTCATCCTTTGGCCAAGCCCCTTGTCACCCCACATAACCCAGTATATTCATCCTGCCTCTTCCAGAAAGCCCACTTTACGCAACCTGCCATCTTTTGTCCTTCTCTCCAACATTTTTTTGAGCATCACACATACAATGGGCAAAAGTCAGGTGTAGGTGACAAAGCAAGTCAGGTGATGAAGAGCCACTTAAATCTTAAGAACTCAATGATTTCTTCCCTCCTTCCTTCCAATCCCTCCTTCCTATCCATCTGTTTCAGGTGCACAGAATTTAATGACAATAATTTCCATTATTAATGGAAATACATACATAACCATCAATGGCCCCCATTAGCATTCAATCATTAATTTATCATAACACAACAAACACTTGTGAACTTAACACTCCTTCTAAGAACTAGAAAGTTACTAATAACTCATATCTACCTGTGTGCCTCTCTCTTTCCCTGGGGTCAGAAACATTTTTTTGTGAAGGCCAGATAGTAAACATTTTAGACCTTAAGAGCCATCAGTCTCCATTGCAATTATTGGACTCTGCTGTTATAGTTTGGAAACAGCCAAAGACAATACATAAATCAATGGGTGTGCCTGCATTCCAATAAAACTTTATTTACAAAAACAGGTAGAGGCATAGATCGGCCCACAGGCTGTGATCTGCAAACTCTGGTTATCCCATCCTCTGGCAACTGCTCTCACTAGTCCACCACCCCACCTGTCACCCACCCTCAACTCCCACCACCCAGGCAAACATATCCACTCTCCTGTTGCCTCATCTATCAAATGAGGGGGTTGGGTAAGATGATCTTTAAGGCCTTCTTATGTCCAGAACCTTGTCATTCTGGTCAAAAAGCATAAATGGGATTGAAAGGCACTCTACTTACCAGCTTTAAGGGGGCTTAGACAGACAGAGAATTTAAATACCTCTTTAGGTTATAGTGGAGATATTTAGCTGTGTCTATAAGGCCCAGCTGGGATCCAGATATCTTAGACTTGGGGGCCTGAAAATGATCAATCTATTGACAGCACAATTGGATGTTGGAGGTCAAGACCCTGGCAGAGAACCAAAGGCAGTCAAGGACACTTCTGGTTAAAAGCTAAATGAAGAAGCACACTTTCATGCTGCTTATTCCCTAAAGTTCTATGGTCCTGGGAAAATCCCAGGCTCTCTGAGCATCAGCATTCTATCTGTAGAATGTAGATAATACCTACCTCGCCGGAGGCAGGGAGGATCAAGTGATACTTAAGTGCCTAGCACATATCTGGTAGAGCAAAAGATCCAAAGTGGCATCTTGGCCAAGCATGGTGGCTCACGCCTGTAATCCCAATATACTTTGGGAGGCTGAGTAGGTGGATCAGTTGAGGACAGGAGTTCGAGACCAGCCTGGCCAACAAGGTGAAACCCCATCTCTACTAAAATACAAAAATTAGCTGGGCGTGATGGTGGCCTTCTGTAATCTCAGCTACTCAGGAGGCTGAGGCAGGAGAATCGCTTGAACCCAGGAGGCAGAGGTTGTAGTGAGCCGAGATCGTGCCACTGTACTCCAGCCTGGGTGACAGAGTGAGACTCCTTCTCAAAACAAAACAAAAAACAAAGTGGCATCTCTTACTAGCAGCATGGATTTACAGACTTCAAAGAGTCTGAGCTGGCTGCTCCCACCTAAAACACGAATGCCCAGGAAACTCCTAGAGAAGCCCCAGAGCTAATGGGTTCCTGGCAACATCTGCTTACTGCCCAAGGGGTTTTTTTGGTTCTGTTTTACTCATGCTGACCCCAATTGGGGGTTAAAAGATGGACAATGCACACATGGCCTGGACTGCCCGCCCCGGACACTTGGATGTGGAGGCTGATTGATTTATTCCATCTGACCTCAGCCAAGAGAACAAAGGGAGGGTGTGTGATATGCATGCTAATGCTAGGCAGTGCCTTTTCTTTCTCCCTCCCTCCCGTGGTGAGCAGATCCAAGAGGTGGCAAGACAGCCATGCTTGCAAAAAGAGGAACCAAGGAGAGATGCTGAATGCAGCTCAGGCCAGAGCCACTCCTTAAAGAGGAGAACTGCACTATGAGGGTCTCCTGGCCCCAAGACCTGCCAGGACCCCAGGTTCCCACATGGGAGCTAGCTGCAGATGCACCCGTAGAGTAAAATTGTGTTTATATTCACACTGAGATTTCAAAAATTTCCAAGCTTCTGAGACATATTCTTTTGCCCTTTTTAAGCCAGAATGTTTTCTAATATGTTAGTCTATTTACCATTTAATTTCCCTGAAATGAAAAATCAATGATTATTAACCCTACAATAAAATTGACAATGTCTTGAAATCCAGCATGTAATAGCTCTTTCTCCCAGGCAATATTACACAGGTATTTAAAGAATAAAGGCCAGGCTCAGTGGTTCACGCTTGCAATCCTAGCACTTTGGGAGGCTAAGGTGGGTGGATCACTTGAGTCCAGGAGTTCAAAGCCAACCCAGGCAACATGGTTAAACCCCATCTCTACCAAAAATACAAAAAATTAGCTGGGTGTGGTGGTGAGCGCCTATAGTCTGAGCTACTCGGGAGGCTGAGGTAGGAGGATCACCTGAGCCCAAGAGTGGGCTGCAGTGAGCCGAGATCACGCCACTACACAGCAGCCTGGGCAACAGAGTGAGACCCTGTCTCAAAAAATAATAATAATAAATGAAAAAGAATAATTAGAACTAAATATACCCATCTGGGAGAATATTCATAATAAAGTGGGAGGCAAAATAAAGCAATTTGAATAGGAAGCATATTGTATAATCCCATTTATATTCAAAAAAGTGTTAGAGATGGAGGAATTAACCCTATAAATACGCGTTGGTTTGTCTGAAAATGGAATAAGTGGGAAAGGTCAGTCACCAAACTGATAATGCTGATTACTTGGAGGGGAGACTAAAGAAAAAGAGGGGAAAATAAATGTTTTCTGCTTATACTTCTGTATATTCAACTCGCTACAACAAAAATTAAGAAGCAAGTAAAGGCACATTTCCTTTACTGGAATATTTGAGATGTCTTATCTTCTAGTGACTGGCTGAGTTATCTGTGTAAATATAGCATGCCTAGAGTTTGCCTCCTCTCTCACCAAGAGAATTAGCCCCACAGGTAACATCTGTCTTTCTCTGCCAAGGGGTCTCTACGTGTGATGAGCCCTTATAACAAATATGAGCATTTCTCCCAATTGTAAGGTCTGCCTTGGTAAAGTCATGGCCAAGTGCTCCTCCATCCCTGTCAACAGGCTCCTCATCCAAACCATGTGGTATGGCGATCTAATGCCAGGGAAGGCAGCCAGGCCTAGTGACAGCTGCAGCCAGGAATAGTGGGGAGTAGGCCCTTGGCACCACAAATCCATGCAGAAATTTCGTTTGGTTAGAAAGAAAGTTTGACATTGGAGGCATGTGGATAATAGTGAAAATAGTTTCCTAGGAATTGTGGATGACCAAACGGCACCCAGGTACACAGTTTATACAGAGCTATTTTAAAGTTTTAATATTGTCTTCCATCCATCCATCCCTCCCTTCCTTCCTTCCTTCCTTCCTTCCTTCCTTCCTTCCTTCCTTCCTTCCTTCCTTCCTTCCTTCTTTCTGGACCTCTGCCTTTGGATTTACTATCCTATAAGAGATAGAAAAATAAGAAACATAGAAAACTAGGAATATATTTTAAAATGACAATCCCATTAATCATGTATTTAATGCTTACAATGGGGCACATAGTGCTAATAATTTGTATTAAAATTATGCTATTTTAACAAACAACACCCAAATCTCAGTGGTTTAACAGAATAGCTCATTTATTTCTCTTATCACAGTCTAGTTCAGGTTGACAGGGGCCTGGGCTCCATGGTGTCATTCAGGGACCCAGGCTTCTTCCACCTTTTGGCTGTGACCTCTTCTTGGCTCTCAGAGCCCTCTCCATCAGTTGGAAAAGGTACTTACCACTTCTGCTCACATTCTATTAGCCAGAATTAAATCACATGACCATGTCTAACAGCAAGAGATGCTGGGAAATGTTGTCTAGCAGTGTGTCTTGGAAGAAGAGGAGGCATAGCTGTTGGAGATCATAGCAGTTTCTGCCTCCACATTTTATTGCATTATCTCACTTTAAAGTGACAACAACTCACTAGACATTAAGTTTCAAATGACCTGTTTGTTTCCCATACTTTCTTCAAAACCCACTTAATAGGTTTATTAAGTAAATATTGAATGAATAAAGATATTACTATTACTTTTTTTTTTTTTTTTGAGACAAAGTCTCACTCTGTCATCCAGGCCACTGCAGGCTAGAGTGCAGTGGCCTGGTCTCAGCTTACTGCAACCTCCACCTCCCAGGTTCAAGCAATTCTCCTGCCTCAGCCTCCGGAGTAGCTGGGATTACAGGCACACACCACCATGCCCAGCTAATTATTTTGTATTTTTGGTAGAGACGGGGTTTCGTCATGTTGGTCAGGCTGGTCTCTAACTCCTGACCTGGGGTGGTCCACCTGCCTCGGCCTCCCAAAGTGCTGGGATAACAGGCATGAGCCATTGTGCCCATCCATGATGTTACTATTACTTTTGATACAAATTACAAAACAGGGACGGAGAAGGTAAAAACTTACCCAAGGTTTCCAGCGTTATTTGTTGCAAACACATGGATTGTGAGTACCAACGTTTAGGACAATATTAAGGGAACCTATAGTTGTATTCATTTTATGCCCTAAGGTCATTTTTTACACAACCCATTCTTTTGACATTAAGATGTAAATTGAATTATCTGGAAGCTCTGACTCAGGAGGTGAGAACATAGTTCCCTCTTGAGCCGTTCAGTGGAGAACCAAGGCTGCCATACGTTTTCTCTAGTAAGAAAGTGGGGAGGTTGTGTTCATCTCCTTGTTTTTTTCTTGCCCTTTTGATAAGGTAAGAATTCAGGTTCAAGGAATGCCTAGGATTATTCCGTTTACTGCATATGAATATCAGCGGAGTTTGAACTCCCTTTAGCAGGCCTTGAGTTGCCTGATAAAATTAGTGGAGTAGTGGGTTTGAAATGTATGCCTCCAGCCTCCCTAAAGCTAAGGAAGACAGTGGCCAAAATCTTTCTTTTCAGCATCCACGTGTCCACAGAGCCTAAGACTTAGCCAGGTTCTGTGTAGACTAGAAAAGATATTGCATACTGGTTCCTGGTCTTCAAAGAGCTCACCAGTCTGTTTTGTTTTGTTTTTTTGTGTTTTGTTTTTGTTGAGACAGAGTGTCACCTGTTGCCCAGGCTGGAGTGCAGTGGCGCTATCGTAGCTCACTGCAACTTCCATCTCCAAGGTTCAAGTGATTCTCATGCCTCAGCCTCCCGAGTAGCTGGGATTACAGGCACACACCACCACACCCCGCTAATTTCTGTATTTATTTTCTAGTAGAGACAGGGGTTTCACAATGTTGGCCAGGCTGGTCTCGAACTCCTGACCTCAAGTGATCCACCCGCCTTGGCCTCCCAAAGTGCTGGGACTGCAGGCATGAGCCATGGCGCCCAAGTCTGGAGGGTGCTATTTAGCAGTTTTCTCATCACCTTGAACCTGTTTTCCATGAGAAGACTGCACGTGATTTTGTTTGAACAAGGTAGGGTTTCCCTGACACTGTCTAACTCTCAGGGAACCAGTTCTTAGAAGTCCTTGCTGGGGAACTTCAGATGGTGGCAGAGGTAGACCATCTAAGTCTACCTCTGGGGTAGACTTGCATTTTGGGGGTTAATCCTCCCTATACTGTCAGGGTTAGAGGAAATACAGACTTCCCATTCCAATATCTTCCCAATGTCAGCCTTCCAGCATTCAGTTGTCCTGCACTCAGGACATGTGTAAAGATAAAGATGCATTTCAGATAAGTATGATTAAAGGTAATTAGTGAGCTCATGCGGCTGGTGGAATAAACATAGGCAGATGCTAGTTGACATAAAGTTAATGAAAGAAACAAACGGATCAAGAAACATGGCAGCTTAGGAAGCCTGGCCAAAGCCTCACAGTGACACGTTGTTTTACTTAGATCTTTTGAGTGGCTACTTTTGTCTGTGCCCCAGGAATATAAATTGGAATCAAATTCATGTTCATGTTTGATTGTTTGCTCATGTTAACACATGAAATGAGTGTTTTTTGCAGTTCTTGTTGTTGGGTTTTTATTTGCTTTTGTACTTTTACTATAACGTGATAGTTCAGTTTCTGTAATAGATTACAATGTATGTTTCATATTTTTAAATTATAGCTTACTGTATGTATATCATGAAGCAATAACAAGTCTGTGTTATGCTTTTTTCTCTTTAAGGTTTGTTCTATATGAGTTCTTTGATATATACATAGCTTGAAAATGCTCTGGAAAACAGTTAGTCTTAAGCAGGACTTAGATTGTAGCCCACATTACACATCCTGCACTTCAGGAATCCCCTTTGTGAGTCCAATCATTTCATTTTAGAACAGTGTTCCTGCTAAACACATGGAATCTGGAGTGAAACCATCTAGGCTCAAAAATACCGCCTCCAACATTTACTGGCTGTGTGGCCTTGAATGAGTTACTTAACCTCTCTGATCTTTAACTTCGTCATCTGTGCAAAGGAACCCAGCTTGCAGATTTATGGAAAGGGTTAAACAGTTTTTTATCACGAGAATCATAGCAAAAAAAAAAAAAATCTTTTGCACATAGTAATATACATTAGCTAGTATCTTCTATTATTGTGTCTATAGGTATCAACTAGGTACTTAGATTGTATCTGCTTGAACTAATCTGCTTGGTACAAAAACAGGCAAGTTAAATGCAAAGGAGTATTCTGCCCGTGGACAGAGCTCCCCATCTTTTCGTATTATAAAGCCTTTGTGTGTGTGCCTAGAATCAAGTGCAATCTCAGTGAATTTGTGCTCTACATATCTCTGCTTGTCATCAAAGTCGCTCCACAAACAAAGGAAAGTTGATTGTTAGTATCATGCAACTACCACTTTCATGTGGGATGTTTGTTAGCAAAATAAAGGCCCTGCCTTGACTTTGCTGCAGCCTCCATTCAGGTTTATAATGGGCACCTTCCCCTTCTGGTGCAATAGTGATGTTCTCATCTTTTCTTTTAATTCAAAAATCCCATATTGGGTTACCTACTACATGCTCGTGCTGTGATTTTTTAAGGCTTCCCTGTGGACCTTGTCTCCAGTCAGCCCGTCGCTAGTAGGAGGCCCTCTTTCCCATCCTTGCATAATTAGAGAAAGCATGTAGTCATCTCCCCAGGGCTGCTTAGCTTTCATCATGAAGCATGACTATCAGAGTTTTGAGGTTGATAGGAGTGGAAACATTGTGTTCAACAAGCAAGCTCCTTCATGTGTTGTCAACATTTCATTTGTGATTCTAATGAGGGCTGAGGAGAAAATAAACTCCGTGTATGCTCTCACTGCTACGGCTGATGTTTATAAGTTCCTATCCATGGCCTCCAGTTGCTCCCACCATGAAGGCATCTGGAAAGGCAGCTGAGTGCCGCTGTGTGTGAGGAGGTGCTAAGGTGGTTAGATTTGCTGAGAAAGAGCAGTGCCCGTGTTCACCCCTTAGAGACTGGTGTTTCTCTATTTTTGGTGCTTTCCACTTCTGAAGGTGAAGACACCCTTACTTAAAAATAAGGTGTGCTCAAGGGACTCTCATTCTGGACCCCTTTGTGTGTATTCTTTCTTGATGAAAGAAGTATCTACTGAGTGTTCCCTACCTGCAAAGCTCTGTGTTTGGGAATGTCATAGGCATCAAAATAAGACACAGCTCAATGAATGGACCTACAGTCCAAATGGCCACTACAGTGTAGAAAGGGGACAGAAATTCATTATACCACTATGCAAATACAGTTGTCCCTCGGTATATGAGGGGGATTGGTTCCAGCAATCTGTGCTTGCACCAGTCCTGCAACTGGCCCTGTGGAACCCACATGTAGGAAAAGTCAACCTTCCAAGTATCCAGGTTTCACATTCCATAAATTATGTATTTTCCAATCTGTGTATTAGTGGACCTGTGCAGTTCAAACTCGTGTTGTGCAAGGGTCAACTGTATATGAAAAAGTACAGCCATTAAAAGTGCAAGGAAAAAGAGGTACATGGTTCCATAAGAGAATGCAGTCTGGCAATTCAGCCTGAGAGGTGAGGGCAGGCATCCCAATGGATGTTATAGCCAGGCTGAAATCTGAAGTACTAGCCAGAATTTACCACAGAGAGGGGAAGAGACGAGGGCCATTCCAGGTAAAGGCATGGCATGTGTTACGCTGAGAGGCCAGTGAGATGGCACAGCATCTTAGGGACTAGCAGAAGGCGGGCATGATCACAGCACAGAGGGTGAGGAAGGAGCTTGGGCAAGCAGGTGCTGGAGAAGGGGTGAGAGGCTGGTTGCTGTCCCCGACCTCATCTCCCGGTCACTTTATTATTAATATTGAAAACCATTGGTTTTCACCATCTGACCATAACCAGAGAAAAGCCCCTTGCTGTCCCTCAGTATGCTTCTCAGAGGAGGTAAAGAGGATGTTGATTTCACAAGCATTATGAAATCCCCGTACACGTTTCTCAGATCCTGAGCTTTGATGTGGAGTTGGCAGTTGTGGGCAAATCCTTTCTGCATGTGTCTGAGGGGCAGCAGAATGGCAGAGTTGCATTCTCACCACATCAGTGCCTGGGTCCAGTGCAGTCAAGGAAGAACCAGCCCTGCTGGGGCTCCAGTACTGCCTGGATGGGACGTAACATTTCCTCCTGTGAGTTTGTGTATATGTTAGTGCAGATGCAAACACTGCAGCAGACCAGAAGTGGCAAATGAGTGTTTACGTCCTGCAACTACCTGCTTTGTGGCCTCATGGCAACCTTGCTCAGCAGCCCCTGGGGCCATCCATGGCCTCAGAATCCTTTCTAGTCCAGTGCTTGAAGCAGACAGTATTAGATAGCCAACTGGTGGCACCATGCTAACATAATCCTAGTTGGTGTTCCTGTAGTATAGATCCTTGCCATTTGCAAGTTTGACTAGCCCAAATGCCCCTAAAGTATATAATACAAAGCCAAGCATCATTTTGCTGAAGGGAGAATTTGAATCATGCCCTGGGAAGCTATTGACCAAGCCCCCTTAGTTACCCCCACCCCCAAATTATACATCTTGATATAGACTCAGTGTCTTCTCCTTGTCCTGTGACCATGGTAATTTTTCTACAGTGATAAAAATAAATTTTTATTTTTAAAAACGTCTTTCAAGGGAAACACAAAATTTGAGAGCATGTTGAAAAAGTTGTTGTGGTCTGTGCATTTGCACAGGAAACCCATGGCTTGCGCTAGAAATATGATTCTAGAAAAGTCAGGGTTGAGTTTGGGCATGTGGACAATCCCCATTAGTGTGCCATGGGCAGTGGACATGCTGTCCCGCTGAAGCTGTCCCAGGAGAGCATGTGCATTGGCCTGCAGAAATGAAGTACTTAGTCCAGAGGAAGTTGATCTGAAAAGGGTAGCACACGTTAGACAGCAAACTGGGACCAAGAGGAAACTGTGATGCTACCTCTCCATTTGGGATAATGAGGCACTGTTATTTAGCAGTTTATTATTTGGTTAGCTTTTCCTCTGTCTAGATATCCAATTTGTTGGACACAGTGCATCCTTAAACTCTCAAGGCTGAATCCAACATCTGAAACTCTTACAACCTTCCAGAAGTTCTCAGACACAGGGTGCTTTACCTGGAAATGATCATGTTATTTCTCCACCACTCCAGGGTAGGAACTATTATCTTCTACATCTTACTAAAGAGAAAATTGAAACTTGATGAGACTGACTCACTTGCCTGAGACCCAATTTCTAAGGGGCAGAGCTGGGACTTGAACCCTCATCTGCCGGACTTCAAAGCCTTTGAACTACTCTGCGTTTTTATCTCATCTTATTCTTCCCAGTCCCTTCCCCTGGCATGTGGAGAAATGCAAAAGAAGGGCCAAGACATTCACCTTTGTAGGTTCCCGCTGCCCATTTCTTCAGGGAGGCAGGGCCACAGGGAAAAGAGGGCAGCCTGCTGTCTGTCTGCTGTGGCCAGGGATTGGGCAAAGTGTGCTGGGGCCGGAGGTGGGGAAAGCAAGGCATTTTGTGCAGAGAGTTAGCAATAACCTGGTCCATCCCCCAGAACGGAGCTATCAGTCAGATCTGGGACACATTTGTCATGGCTGTTTCCCTATTCAGAAGCCGCCCCTGCAGGCCCACCCTCTCTTCATTGCTGGGCAGGAAGGAGGGAACTCCCTTTGATCTATAGACCAGTAGCGGGAGAAGCATGGCATTTTGTGGGCCTGCTCCTGCCCTTCGGCCCACATGATTGTTTGGACAACCACATGAACAAAAGCCGCTGGCCATGCTTGCTTTAGAGCATCCAGAGTCTGAAGATAGAGCATGCCCTGGAAGAAAGTGGAAGTGGAATGACCACTCCCTTTCCATGATGGATTTCTAGGTCATAATGCAGAGGACAGGATGCCTCTAGGACTCCCATCTGAGCAGATGAGCATCTCAGAAAGAGGGGTGGAAGATGGAGAAGGTGGAGCTGACCTTACAGCCTTCCCACTGGACAGCTCAATCTTCTATGGTCAGGAAAAAACCACACACTCACCACATTGGTGTCTAGTCTCAGGCCACAGCCCCACACTCCCAGTAAGAAGCATTTGCCTGGAGACAGATTAGCTAACTTTTGAGACATGTGCACAGTTTTAAAAGTAGATGGGTAGCTCTTGGAAGACTGCAACTATTTTCTACTTATCCTTGAGAAAGGAAGATTTTTGAGTCAAGTAATTCTGAATAGGGAGCAACTGTCTTCTAAAAATATATTCAACTTCCCTGTAGTATAGTATACTTTGATGTATTAAAATACAGCTCATCCCACTCAGATTACTGCCTCGGTGCCTAATGCTGTAAAATTAAACTGTTCCTCACTGATATTTTATTAAGCTCCACCAACATTTCAGACACAGACAGCTCACAGAGCTTCGGGCCATGTGTTTTATTTGCTGTCAGGGTGAACTCTGACACCAGTCCGTAAAGCCCCCTCCCCTTGTCTTTATATAATGCAGCATTTTCAAAAACCTTGCTACAGGCTACTCCCAAACTGTCACTATTGGAAGTGAACATCACTAGTTTTCTGGGTGTGAATGCCTAAAAGGACCAAAAAGAAGCAAACAATAAGGCTGTTGTATGAAAAGTCTTTGTACTCTGGACGTTCCTTTTGCATTTATTCTGTGCTTGATATTATTCAGTTTATTTTTGCAGGTTTTGCAGGGGAAGGGGGCTTTTTGGTGGAATTTTTCTGAAACCCATATGCAAAAAAGGGCATATGTTTATGGACAATGAGTTCACCTCCCTAGCAGGGAGCCAAAGGTATCTGTATGTTTGCATCTTGAAAAATAAATGGATATAGCCATAAATGCCGATCCTCTTAACAAGACTAACTTTGTCATTTAATAAGGGAGATTATTTCATAGATTTAAAACCAGTTAACACATTTAAAACTTGATAAGGCAATCCTGGTATGTTTCCTTTTCTCCAGTGATTAAAGCAAATCAAACACTGGACTAGGGGAGGTTTTCCATGGTACGAGTAATGCCGTGAATGTTTCTCCTGGTAATGCAATTAGGAAATATTGGCCCCAGTTAAAGTAACTTAAACAAAACATGTTGTCCTCATCAAACTTGTTCAAGTTGTTAAACAGGCAAAGCCTTGTCCAAAAAGTAAAAAAACAGGGGCATATAGTGTTTCCATGGAAACTCTGTTAAAATACTGATTTGTGGATATGATCATAATCAGCCCCATAATCTAATATGACTGAATTAAATGAAAAAGAATCTCAGTTATGAAGTAAGCCCCCTGTGTGAGAGTATTCTTACACATGCAGAAAACATATGGATCCTGACGGACGCTATTTTCAAACTACTTATTGGCCCAGGGATGGGGCTTTAAGACTCCAGTTTCATCTGTCGTTTTCCCCCTCCATTCATTGTTCATCGTTTTTATAATGCCGGGATTATGTGGGTGAGCAGTAAATAAAATCTTAACGACATTTGGGTTTTTCAATATCTATCATTGCTCCCCTCACAATGCCCCATATTGTTTTCATTGTCTTTTGTGACAAGACAACCCATAACATTTAATGGTTTGTGGGATGTTACAAGTTTAAGTTTTATTAAAGTAATAATTTCTTCCTGCTAATGGGATCTTGGTAGAATTCTAACCACGAGGGTTCGCATGGATGTCTTTGACCTCTAGAGGAAGGGACATTAAGTCAAAGGCTAGGGTGAGTCCCTTGGGTCTGGGGAGAGGCTTCAGGGACATGCATTGGCCTCCTCCCTGCCACACAGTTCTGCAGCTCTGTTTGCACCTGTCTCGGCTGTAGTAAAAATGGAAACTGCTCACCATGGGATAAACTTCAACCTCGTGAAATGGCAATGACAGCTGCCTTTCAGTAAACCTACTTGATTTATTTGAAAATCATTCCATCCAGAGATCATCACAAGTGGTATTCTTGGGATCAGTTTCTTTCTTGTAAAAATGCGTCCTCAGTCACATAGGAACTTCAAATAGGGTTTACCAAGGAAGTGTTGGCTAGAGCCTGGCAATCCTTTGTTACCTTAGCCATGGCATCCCAGAGCATCTGCAGAATGATTTCTGCAACAGGGCAGTGATACAACCGTGTATCTCTGCCCAGGTGTGTCAGTGCTTTTAACGCCAGCCCATGGTCCCTTGAAAGTCCCAGCATGGCTAAGACTCACCTTCTGAACAGGCAGTCAGTCAAAGCTCAAAGATTCAGACTCTGGCCCAAGAAGTAGGGGCTGACCTCTCCCCCTGAGTTCTGCCATCCCCTCCCACAGTGGCAGCAGCCTCCACGAGAGCATGCACACCTTCTGATTTGGGCACAGGGAGAAATAAGCGAAGAGGGAAATAGTTTTAGGCCTGAATCTTGAGGCTGGGACCTTGAATCTGCTGATTATATGCTCCTCTTAATGCATCTCTATTTCTAAGTAACTTGGTTTTATAGCAAAGTAATATATGAATGCAGTTTCTAAAACTTAAGTGGTGCTAAAGATGTTTTAAAAAGAAAAAGAAGCAGGAGCCAGGCATACTGGTTCACGCCTGTAATTCCAGCAGCTTGGGAGACTGAGCCAGAAGGATCATTTGAGGACAGGAGTTTGAGACCAGCCTGGGCAACATAGCGAGGCTCCATCTCTAAAAAAATAAAAAAAATTAGGCCAGGCACAGTGGCTCACACCTGTAATCCCAGAGCTTTGGGAGGCCGAGGCGGGTGGATCACAAGGTCAGGAGATTGAGACAATCCTGGCTAACACAGTGAAACCCCATCTCTACTAAAAATACAAAAAATTAGCCAGGCGCGGTGGCACGTGCCTGTAGTCCCAGCTACTCAGGAGGCTGAGGCAGGAGAATTGCTTGAACCCAGGAGGCGGAGGTTGCAGTGAGCTGAGACTGTGCCACTGCACTCCAGCCTGGGCGACAGAGCAACACTCCATCTCAAAAATAATAATAAAATAAAAACTCAAAATTAACCATGTGTGGTAGCAGGTGCCTGTAGTCCCAGCTGCTAGGGAGGTTGAGGCAAGAGGATCACTTGAACCCAGGAGTTCGAGGCTACAGTGGACTATGATCATGCCACTTCACTCCAGCCTGGGTAATAGCAACACGCTATCTCTGGTAAAAAAAAAAAAAATGAGAATAATAACAATGTTTTTTAAAAAAGAAAAAAATCATGCCCTGATCCATCATTCCCAACCCCTATTCTCACTTCCTAGAGGCCACCACTTCCAACTCTCTTAGTGTCTCTGTTTCTCACTGTCAAG
Source organism: Homo sapiens (assembly GCF_000001405.40). Lineage (NCBI taxonomy): Eukaryota > Metazoa > Chordata > Mammalia > Primates > Hominidae > Homo > Homo sapiens. The sequence goes on from NC_000003.12 coordinate 54,943,348, forward strand.
TTAAGATTGCCGTTTTTTAGTTAATTTTAGACATGTGTATTTACTTCCTTTAATACATGGTGCTTTGGACTTTTTACACCGGCTCATCCTGCCCTCTTCCTATTCCACCAACATGACTGTATGCCCATTTCATTGTTCTTGATTAATTAGTCAGCGAATATATTATTAGGACAATCTATGTACATTCTCTATTATTTTAATAGCATGGTATGTGTTTTCTTTTTTATGTTATTTTTCCCTGGATTAGAAAATCCCCTGGTCTTCTTATTGCTTGGTTTTCCTTCTACTCATCTTAAATTTTCCCCCATGTGTTTCATCAGATGTCTCAAATATGTATTACTACTATTTTCTAAATGTTTGGTATTTCTGCCTATTTCATCTTGCTTTGGTGAGATCTCCCTCTCTGTGTCATCCTATTTCAGTCCGGACTAATAGCTCTCTAGGTTTGCTGGGCATGCAGGCACCTAAGACTTCTCTTCCCTATTTTTCTCTGTCATCTCCCCCTTTCTCCTAAACCCTCATGCCTTCTTTTTTTGACTTAATTTCTCATTTAGGTGATGAACATTTTCCAGTAGTTTACTAAGAAAGGGTGGTAAAATTTCCTCCGACCTTGTAGCTCTGAAAAGGTCTTCATTCCATGCCTTCGTTTCCTAACCATTTGACTGGCCATAGAATACCTGGCTGAAAATCATTTTGAATTTTGAAGGCATTGCTCCATTTTCTTTTGACTTCCTGTGTTGTTTAGGAAGTCTGATATCATACCATTTCCATATCCTTTGGTAGGAACAGGATTGCCCAGCCTCCACCCTAGAAGCTTTCTGCATGTTCATTATGCCAGGATGCTGTGAGTTCACTTCATTCATTGTGCTGAGGACCTGCGAACTCTTTTGCTTTAGAAATGCATATCCTTCAGTTCTAGGAAATTTTCTTAGATTATTTTTTAGGTCTTTTTGTTTTATTATCTGCCACGTTTTCTTTTCCCAACATATATCTTTCTACTTTTAAATTCATTTGTATATTTTGACTGTTTTATTTTAAATTTCCCAGGGTATTTATTTATTTATTTATTTATTTATTTATTTATTTATTTTGAGACGGAATCTCGCTCTGTCGCCCAGGCTGGAGTGCAGTGGCATGATCTGGGCTCACTGCAAGCTCTGCCTCCCGGGTTCACGCCATTCCCCTGCGTCAGCCTCCTGAGTAGCTGGGACTACAGGCGCCCACCACCCTGCCTGGCTAATTTTTTTGTATTTTTAGTAGAGACAGGGTTTCACCGTGTTAGCCAGGATGGTCTCGAACTCCTGACCTCATGATCCGCCTGCCTCAGCCTCCCAAAGTGCTGGGATTACAGGCGTGAGCCACCGCGCCCAGCCTCCAAGAGTTATTTTTTATAGCAGCCTTTTCTTGTTTCAAAGACACAATAACTTCTTTTATCTCTGAATATATTGACTGTAGTTAGAGCTGGGGGTGTGTGTGTGTGTGTGTGTGTGTGTGTTTGCTGTCTCTGCTGTAACACTAACTCATTTAGTTGTCTGTTTTTCTTTCTTTTTTCAAGGTGAAGGCTCTCCCCAAATATCTGTAGCCTAGTTCACTTTTAAGAGTGAGGCACTAAAATGCAGATTGAAAGTTTCTCCACAAATAGACTTTACTATTGGGTGAATCAATGAAAACTTAGCCAAACTGGAGAATGGGGAAGATGACAGTAATTCTAGGCCTTGTTTGGGGGCTATAAGCTTGTTTGTCAGCATCTGAGAGCTGGGCAGGGAAAGGAAGGTTAGGAATTCCCATCAATCAGCATGCAGGTACTCATTTTCCCAGTTCAGCCCCTCCTCCCTCCCTCATCTGAACATTAGCAGTTTTTCAGGAATATATAAGTTGGTGTCTGTGGCATGTGCAGCAGAATACATGGTGTTGATACCTGCTAGTATTGTGCCCTCCAGTCTGTCTGTGGCAGTGGTTAGAATTGCCAGGGGATCTGGCTCTCCGAGCCTTACTCTGTAGTATCTTGGCCTCGAAAGTGGCCAAGTAGGGCCACCCTGTCTTCAAATGCCATCTCTTTTTTGACCTCTCTCTCCTGTATCCAGCCCAGGCATGTATCTCTTTTTCCCTAGGAGCCAATGAGTGTCTCCAGAGCAAGAACAATGTCTTTTAGGTGCCTATCCATAGGAAATACAGACTTTGAGGAGGCCTGGACTTCTTTCCATTCCCTCCCACTTATTAGCACCATAACCTGGGGCAAGTTATGTAAGTTCTTCAAACTTTAGTGTCAGTGCCTCTCAGCCCACCCAATGGAATCTCAAGCTTATCCAGTGCAGTCAGTCCCCAGCCCCACCAAATGCAGGTTTGACAGTGGTTCCCTATCACTACCCCATTAGGTGTCTATAGGCAGCCTTGCTTTTTTCAAGATTATAGGTGTCCTGGGCCATTGTATGTTGGGAATCAGGCAGGGACCAGGCAGGGTTTGCAGCATGCAGAGAAGTTATTTCTGCCAGGTAGTCAGTGGGCAATGCAGCAAAGCTGAGGTAATGCCAGGCGTAGGTAGGGTGGTGGATGGCGGGGGCCATCCTCGTTGGAATAAAGGAGGAGGCCTGACCTCTATCCCGGCTCCTGCTCTTCACAAGAGTTCTTTGCCACGCTTATTCGCCTAGCTCTTTCCAAACAGCAGGAAAACGAGTACCCTGCCTCATTATCACATTTCCTTGGTTCTAAGATGCCATAAATAGAAGTGGAAGCTGCTAAGGAAATAAAAAGCAGTATGCATTGATGTGCCTGTCCTGAAAGACTCTCAGTTCTATGGAATTCCACCTCAGTGTCTTAGCTTCTCATGTTCTTTCCCTGCCTCTCACTTTGCCTGTTAATGCTTACCTCCACCCCTAGCTTCAGGCTGCAGGTTAAAAACCATTTCTCCCCCAGTCCCCAGGACTTGGTTGAGTGCCCCCTCTTATACTCCTGTACCCATCCTGTACATGTCTTCAGACCACCACAATGGTTATTGGTTGCATAATATCTGTATGCCTTCAGAGATTTTAGCCCAGGGAACACCTGAGCTGTCACATCCTTCACTGTGTCCCCAGCACAGAGATCCTCAGTCAGTATTTGTTGGATGAAGAGAATATAGAGAGGGGAAGAAAATGAAAGGAGGGGGGATGTGAGGGCCGTTAGCAGCAGGAAAGAAGAGAAAGCCTCTTAGAAACAGCCCTTCCAGTGGAAAGTTTGACTTAACGAAGAAGAGCAGGTTACTTTCACCAAGGCCTTGTTGCAAAATGCCAAATAATGACAGGAGAGCCGTCCTTTCATGGAAGCTGGGTGCAAACCTGGGGGGAGCTAGCATTTTGGCCAACCTCAGAAAAGCATGTTGCTTTGCTCACTTCTCCACTGGATGCAAAGAATCCAATCCTTTCTTAAACACCCGAAATCATGGAAGAAATGAAAGGTAAGACATACAACTTTGGAAGTAGATGTGGTTTATTAAAAAAAAAAAAAATGATGGGACCATTTAGTCCCTGACTGAGAGTACTCTTAAGGCATGGAGCTGTAGTGTGAATGATCTTTATCTGTAATTGTAACACTGTGTCAATAAAAATAGTTAAGCATTGTGAAAAATTAATCTGCCTGTGACCATAGTGCATTTAAGATGATTAGAATTACCTGGAGAGCCTTAGACAAGTAATTGGGTCATCAATAATCTTTTCTGGAACCCCATAATGAAAGTGATCTTCCATTCTAGGAAAATACTATAATACCAAAACTAACAATTACTGAGCTCTTACTGTGTTCCAGACACTGTGCTTGATCCAGTTTTCATCATCATAATCTTAAAGACTGAGCAGAGGCGGGTTAAGTAACTTGCCTAAATCCCTTCCACAGCTGGTAAGTGGGATCACTGGATTCTAATTCTGAGCCCACCTTTACTCTATGCTGCCTCTTAACTTTTCCAGTAGACCAAGAAACAGAAGAAAAGGGTGGAATAATCTTCCAAGCAGTGCTAATGCAAACCTAAGAGACAGAAAACAAGGTGTATAACAGGCTCTGGTTAGGACTTGCTGAGCAGGGAGAAAGAAAAAGAATACCAGGATTCCAGGTGATCTCAGCTGGCATCTGCCAGTGCAGGATAGGACTTCTCAGGAGGCACTGAAGCATTCTCCTGTGTACCTGCAGGAGAACCTATACTGTTGAGTCTGTGGGTTAGCAGCATATATCCACAAAATTTTGAGTGCTAGATGTCCCCACAGTGGCCTGATGCCCTGGGAATAGGCCTGATTATAGTATGGAGATAGTGGAGACTTAGTAGCAGGCAAAGGAAATTTTTGCTCTGGCTATACCCCATGAAAATAAGAGGTCCTGACTCTTATCAGTCAGGACTCGGTCTTGGGAACAGAAGTTACCCTATGTATTCCAAATATGAAGGGCTTGGATGCTAGCCCTAAGGCAACTAGAAGCTTTTATAATCATTGCAATGTTTGGGGATGTGGGTCAGGAAGCATCCATGTAAATGGTTCTCTAGCACTCACTAGGGAGCTGCTTCAAACCTCACATCTGCCAACAAATTTGCCTGCAGCTGCCTCCAGAGCAACATGGCCTCTGTCTCTTTGCTGCCTTCTAAATCTAGCACCAGCTCCTTATTGGCAAATGCTAATCTGGAACCACAGATGGGGGAGATTCCAGGAAATGCAGTCTTGGCCTTTCTCCTTCAATACAGGGCAGACCTTCTACGGAGGAGATGGTGATGTCCAGGTGAATATCACCCATCAAGTGCTCTCGACCTTCCTATGACCTCAAATTACAATGACATTCTATTTCTACTTCTCCTCTCACCCCCAGCTCACTTTCCCCTGGTTGTCTTGACTAGAGAGTGAGATAGGAAACTTTTTGACTAGAAAAGTATGTGTGATGTGAGCCCAAGGTCCATTCCAGGTGACCTCTTGAGAGCCCATCCAGATGAGTAATTCTCTCACTGTATCACCTCACACCTGACCTCAGTAAAAACTGGAAGATTCTTGATAATTGTCATTAGAAAAAAATTAAAATGCTCCCAAGAGGTTAGCAACTAGGCCCTTCATGGGCATATATGTGTTTGCCTTCTTCATTGTCCAGAACTTGGTTACTAAGAGCAGTTCAATGGCCTATGTACATTCAACTAGTATGGGCAAAGGTAGCATCTTCCTGCAGTGGTTTCACCATGAGCACCTCTGCATGATCAGCTAACTCGGTACAACTGGATGATGGTCATGGTTGCCAGGCACACTATGCTGGAAGGATGATGAGACTCCTTGGAAGGAATACTAGGTTTCATGAGAGACACTTGACATGAAATAGGGAAGGGCACCATTCATGCCACAGATTTGCCTTTCATGCCCATGCTGTTGTCAGCTATTGTATTTGACTGTCTGCATGGAGGTGCTTATGTGACAGATCTCTATACATGAAGATAATTTGCTCATCTCCTACCAAACTAGACTACAGTTGCATCTGTCAGGAGCTGTTTAGTGCAGGCAACAACCACCAAACTCAGATTGGTTTAAGCAAAATCAGTAAATTAAAGGAAGTTGATTATTTGATTATTTGGGGATGGTTGGAAATACATTGTTTCATGTAACTAAAAAGTCCATAGTTATAACCAGCTTCAGGTACAGTTGGATCTGGGGCTCAGCTGAAATCACCAAGTTTCTCAGTCTCTTGTTTTACTTTTCTTTGTGTCAGCCCTGTTCTCAAGCAGGCCTTCCTCATCCAGTGCCCCCAGTATTCATCTGAGCAGATTGGCAAACTCAGTGGAAAGAAACCCCCTCTTTCCTAAAAGTTTCAGTTCAATGTCCTGGGGCTTGTTCTCCTTGATATAGTTTTGGTCAGTGCCTATCACTTTGGCACAGGAGCATAGGATGCATCCCTATGCCTAGCAGGTGGAGGGTGAAGCCTACACATGCCACATGGACTGGAAATTGGAGTCATGACAGCTCCCCAAAGGAAATGGTCTAGGTGTGGATAAGGAGGGAGGGTCTCTGCTGCTGAAAAAAGGGGACATGCCTGCTCAGCTGGCAAAAGTAACAGCTGTCTATTATTCCAGCTCAGCTGGAGTTCAAATTAGTTTGAGCCATCTATGAATCACATCAGGCAAGTTGCTAGCCTCTTTGGATCGTTCATTATTGGTTTATGAAATAAGCAGGTTGGGTTCAATGGCCCACTCCACCATTCCAGCTCAGAACTTGTGTAAATCTACCCATTGATGCCATACCCAAGGGGCAGCACTGGAATCAGGGCACATTATCAACATTCTCAAGCGCATTGGTCACTTATTTCAGGCCTAATTGTGTTGCAAACAGTAACCTGAAAAACCGCCCAACATCGTTGGTCAGGGCCTCAGAAAAATTCAGAACTGGTTTTGCAGGGGCACACTCCACAGAAGTGACTGTGGTCTCTGCCACAGATAGATGCATCCTTAGGCTCCTGGATGGAAGACTTTTTTTGCCTGTGATTCTTTCTGAAAACTGGGCCCCTGCCAAGCTCATCTGGCATGCTGTGCTCTGGGTAGAAGTAATTATTTTTATGAGGCATTATTCATGTCTAGTCTACCTGAGGGCCACCCCAAATAATGTTTCTCTAGCTATTAAAGGCTTCATCAGGCATGCAGAGTCTCTAGTAGTTTCCTTTAGGGGAAAAGAAAAAGATTCGTCTTGAAGTCTACCACCTCCAGTGGCAATTTGCTGTGCATTTCAGGGCCATGCTAAGTGGTTGGCACCTGAAAAAAGGGCGAAGTCTTTTTCTTTCAAGTGCAGCTGGAAAATGGGAGTCATAAGTGAAAAGTAGGGAACTGGGAGAACTATTTCCATACAGCCGAGGTAGCTTTCTTGTTTTGTTCTGAGCTGGCAAACTTCAACATGCTCAAGCAATGTTTTGTCAAATTTCTTAAATGCTGAATGTGGCACTGGCCCAAATGAACGTAGATGTTATTTTAGTGCTGGGAGAGATTTATTTTAATGTACAGATGCAGCCACTACAAAGGCCCCTTTTAATCTGCTGAGGGCTCTGTTCCTTGCTCTTTTACTCTTTGCAACCCCCTCCTCATTTTAGGGAACCTGTGTATGCTGTGAAATTGCAGTGTTCCTTCCTTCCCTCTTCATCTTGCAAGGCAGCGATATAATGCTGACAATAATTATAATTAAGATGCTTTGTGCAAGAAGAAGCAGTTTGCAATGCTTCCTCCTGTTTCCCAGCCTACCAGCAATTCAAAGAATGCTGCTTGATCAAAGAAAATATGCCAACAGGAGAGTGGACCTGCACAGCTCCAGGCTGTGGCAGGGCAGCCTCAACAGTTTTCCTTATCTAGGACCCAGGTTCTCTACTCACGAAAGGAACCCGTTCTTTTACTGCTCGGCTGTGAGATGGGAAATCCATCAGTTGAGCTGAGCCTCAGATACCAATATCTTGCACCTTGATCGGGGCCAAAATAAACGGGAAGGGACGCACAGAGGAAGCATGGTGACATGTGAGGTTTGCCTGAGCCAAGTCTGTGCTTTCAAGGCAAGAGCAGGAGAGGAGAGCCACAGACAAGATGGGGTGAGAGGGAAAATAAAGAGGATACTCTCTGGGCTCAGTGGCAGAGGGGAAACTGAAGCCAGGACAGTCCTGAGTCTTCTCACACCCAAGGCTCCTTTTAAATAATCATTTGTAATATTCCCTTTACTATCTCCAAATGAAATTCATAGAAAATGTAACTTGTTTTCCTATATGCTGCCAAAAAAATCTACAGAACGCTCCAACTATAATATCAAGAACTAGTTGAGAGTTGTTTATAATAGGAAAATAGATATTGTAATATTTTGGGGCATAACTACAAGATAATACAGAATAAAGTAGCTAGATGCTTGTGCTGCACTTTGGTGCAAAATCTGTCAATGCAGTGGCCACTATGTAGACATCTCACCCACAAATCCTGCCAGATACCTCTGTAATAGCCAAGCCGCAGACAAGATAAAGAAGACCCATCTCTCTCTTTCACAGCACTATAGTAATGTTTCTAGAAAATTCCATGTGCAAGACATACTTTGTATTTGGACATAAAACAGAGTTCCAAGCCATCGACACCATTAGGGACATGGAACTGTTCTTTGGTGTGCGGCCCGGGGGCAGTGGGGTGGGGGGCTGCTGTCCTGTGAGTTGTAGGATTTCAGTTACTGTGAACTTTGAAGCATCTCTACAGACTTCCAGAACAGACCCCTAGGGGGTGACGCAGCCCCACTGAGAACCACAGGAGAGCCTGGGAGCCACAGGGCGGCTGGCTCTGAGTCAGGCGTGCAGGGCTCCAGTCCCAGTTCCAAGAAGTCCTGGCAACTGCACAGCCCTGGTTAAGTCACTGAACCGCCGTGTACCTTTTCTTTAATGGAGAAAACATCTTCTCCCTTGCAGGATGGCTGAAGAGTTAAGTAAGATAACACAGGGTGGGTTCCTGGCCCAGAGTGGGCCCTCAGTAATTCTATTTTCTGTCTTCTTAGGACCAGCCATGCTTGTTATTTTATTTTAATTTTTGGAGACGGTCTCACTCCATTACCCAGGCTGGAGTGCAGTGACGCGATCTCGGCTCACTGCAACCTCCCTACCCCAGGTTCAAATGATTCTCCTGCCTCAGCCTCCCAAGTAGCCGGGACTACAGGTGCCTGCCACCATACCTGGCTAATTTTTGTCTTTTTAGTAGAGATGGCATTTCACCATGTTGGCCAGCTGCTCACAAACTCGTGGCCTCAAGATCTGCCCGCCTCAGCCTCCCAAAGTGCTGGGATTACACATGTTAGCCACTGGGCCTGGCTGGCCAGCTGTGTTTATAAACTGCCTCCTGCACCCCTGTTGGTTCTATACTATTTCTTCCCTCTGTAACCGCCTTCTTAGAGACAAAGGATGTTGGCCTTGCACTCTGCAGCACCCCTGTGGGCACAGGTTTCCTAGAAACTAAGCCCCCCAGGGCTCTGATCTCTCTGGGGCCCTGCCTAGTTTCCCAGGAGGCTCCCCAGTTGTCTTATTTCTTCAGAGGGAGGCCGCAAACATGAAGGGTCTGGAGGCTCTGGAAGATGTCATGAGCATCTTAGGAGCTCTTTTTGGGCTCTCAGAGACAGATCAGTTCACAGATGTGGGAAAGAAAAAATAAAACATGAGGCAAAAACTTGCAAGAAAATGTGGACTTACCAATCTCATATTAAGCAGACGGAATGTCAATCTTTTCTATAGGGACAGGGTCATTAAATGCATATTTTTTGAAGTAATTTTAGGTGAGTCCCTTTGGCTCATTCATTATAGTTATTTATTTTCTGCTTCTATTCTGAAGTCAGAAAGATCTGGTGTTCATGGGTTCAAATTCTGGTGCCCGCATAGTTCCCTCCAGCTTCCAGATGGGAAAGCTCTCTCATCTGTTTTCCAGCCCAGCCACTCCAAAACCTCAATGCCCTCAGCTGTAGAACAGAGGGACAATGACAATATCTATCTATGAGGATTCCACGTGCTCTTTGGATGTTTTACAAATTCAGCAGAGTTGGGAATGTTCTGGGTGGTTGAGATGACACTAGGTCTGGCTTACTTGTCTTCCAGCAACAAAGGAGGAAACTTTTCATAGGGATTTGAAGCCTAATGTTCCTGAAGGTGACATGGAGTCTGCTTAGTGGATGGATTGTTGAGCAGGAGTCATTCTCCAGTCTTGGAAAAACTGTACAGAGACTCAACTGCAGGGGAGGAAACCAGGATATGGATTAAATAATGCATGTATTTAATGTACATACCTGTTGTTATGTGTATGTGTGGGTGACATTTACTGAATATTTACTATGTGCCTGGCACTGTGCTAGGCTCATGACATACATTAGCTCATTTAAGGCACAAACGTATAAGGTGTGCATGACTCCTGTTCCCATTGTGCAAATGAGAAAACTGACTCTGAAGGCATGCTGCATGTACATGAAACAGGCAGGACTCAGCCCTAAGTTTGTCTGAAATTTTCAAATCTGGGAAGGAAGCAGACACAGATAGTAACTAAGAAACTGCTAAAGTGGTGGGGCCCGGTAACACTACGGCTTCTTACCTATAGAGGTGAGACTCATGAAATTCCCCACCCTCAGTACAGATAGCACTGGGCCAAGATCATGGGACGCAGCTGAAGCCTTCGCGCTTGGTGGTCAGATGGCCCATGCTGTGCGTAGAGGAAAAGTACCAGTCATTACAACAAGGCCTCAGGAGACCTTATTCTCTCAAAGCCACTTCTTGCAATACTTGGACATCCACGATCCTTTCTATTTTAAAGACTTCTGTCCATGCTAAAAGGTCCAGTTCCCCAGGAGCTGGGAAGGAGGTGAGGATTAAGCCATTGTGCTGGTTGTTTCCCCCTTGCCTGTGAACGCTTGGGGCAACCTCGGGCTCCTGCCTCTGCTAGCTTGACAGGCTGTGGGAATCACTGGGAGTGGGTGAGGGGGGTGCACTGCAAGTCAGTGCGCACAACCCTAGGTTCTCTTCCAGGATCAGCCCCAAGCAGACCTGAGGAAAGGCCTGGGACTTGGAGTCTGAGTAGCCTCTTGAGGTCACCCCGTTTTGCTAAGTGCTCCATTGTTTATGTTCTTGTGTCATGAATAAGCAGAGGCCACAGATTTCAGTCCACAGATTTCAGGAGTGCCATCCATGCAGTTTTATTTGAATTCAACCTAATTTCCATCAGAAGTCTTCATTATCCTAGTAGGCAAGAACTTTCCATGAATTCAGTGTCTCTCTGCCTATTCCCAGGGTTTACCTGAGGCCAAAGAGAGAGGGGGTTATTTAATCATGTCATCATGCAGGCATTTCCTGAGTCACCCAGTCGCATCTGGTCTTCTGTCATCAGTCCAGGCACAGGTCAGTGCTATGGCCTCCTCATTCCAAGGGAAGGTCACCTTCGAGTCAGTCGGCAGCTCCCTGGGCCTCACTCTGAAGAGCCTGCGGGAGCACGAACACTTCCCCACTGAGTTGTCTGTCTGTGGCCTCTGGGAGGCTGTCTCCTTTCTGGCAGTAGCAGGGCTTAGAGCAGGGATGCTTTCACATTCTTCCCAGCAATAGGAGAGAAAGGACTGTGTGGAGCAGAATACTCCTCACTGCTCTGGTAGTTTCCAGAGTTAGACCCAAGGTAGGAAGGCAGATGCCTGCCCAGACATCAGGGTGCATATCTTTCTGTCGGGGTCTACCAGCCCTTCGGCTTCCCTTTGATTCTCTTCCCTTTCCAGTCCAAATCATCTTTCCTGAGCAGCTCGTTCAGGAGGCTGGAGGTAGGGTGTGGAGAAGACAGGGTGCAGAGAGGACAAACTGGCCCAGGCAGTTCCCCTGTTTTTCTTCCTGCCCTGAGATTCCCCAGGCCTCAGCTTTTGAGAGTCAAAAATCCAGAATCTGCTTCTTTGTTCTCTGGATTCCTGTGTGTCCTCCCTTCCCTGAGGCCTTAAGCATGGAATGCTTTAGCTGAGGGAACAGAGAAGAGCCAGGGGGTGCCAGGAATCTTCAGAAAGAAGAACAACTGGGTTTCAGAGTTATTTCTCAGAGACAGCATGAGAGGCGCCGATTAACCTCCTTGTGTCTGGACCACAGTGCATTTGCTCATTCATTTACTCATCTAGCTTTTATTGAATGCTTACTGGGCACCAGCTATGCTTAGGGAATATGAGAGGTGTAGAGAAAACTTCCCCTTCACCCTCTGAAGGTTTGCTGAAAATCAACTGACAAAAGACCGATTAGTAGGAGAGAAGACATACAAAATTATTCGAACGTACGTAACATGGGGAATCGTAGGAGAATGATTATCCAATAACCCAGTGGGGTACAGAAGCTTACATACTGTATATACATTTTTCACAGGGGACAGGGGAGATGGGGACCCACCCTGGAGGAGACGGGCAGACATTAGGGAAGGTGAGGGGCAGAGCTGCACAGGGACAAAGGTTGTCTTATTATGCAGATAATGTCCCGCAGGTAATCTCTTGAAGCTACTCTCAGAAGAACAGATGAAAAGTCTGTCTGGGCTGGTGATGACTCCCACTCTCTTCTCTGGTCATTGATCTTTCCTGGTTATTTGATGAGATTTCTAGGGCAGGGGTTTAAGACAATTGCATTTCTTTTGGAAAAAAGAAAAAAGAAAAAAAAGCTCTCTTGGTCAGATGAGGATATTCCAAAGAGAGTCCCTCCCTGCACTTAGGATAAGAGGAGAAACAATACTAAGCTAGAGGAACGTTGATTCTGAGGCAGCTTCTAAGGTCTATCAGCATGTCAAAGCTCCAGTCTTTGGGATATCATTCTTTGAGTCCCAACAGAATGTTGGTGGAATGGAGAAATGTGTAAATTGAGGGACACTGAGATCAGACAGCCTGGCTCTCCCCTGAGGCCTCTGTCTACCGAGGGGGCTTTTTTGGGTATTGGCCCTGCTGAGAAGGAGTTGGAGTTGACCTGCCAAATCAGATGGGAAAGTGCCAGCCCCACCTCACAGCCCACCCTCAGGAGACCTGACCAGCTAAGCCTGCTCACGAAACCTGGTGAGAGTCAAGGAGCAGTGGCTTAACAACAGAAGATGGCTTTTCCAGCCTCGCCATCTGCCTGATGAAGAGAAAAAATTGGTATTCTCCACTCCAGGGCTGACTCCCACATATTCTAAGGTCCTGAGATTCCAGGAAATGAGAGGGAAAAAAGTGCGTGATTACTCCAGAGTGCCGTCCGCCCCTCCTTAATGTTTCCCTGTCTCCTTCTCCCTCCCCTCCCTCCTCATAATCACCTCATGTGCAGCTCTTCTGGGAGGATCTGCCTTGGGCCAGGTCTGCTGCAGCTGATCATATCTGCCACCCAGGTGTTTGACTTTGAAGTGGGTATCTCCCTGGCCAGAGGGAACCAAGCCCAGTGGCTTGCCTTGCCAGGCTGCCTTGCTGCATGAGCAGACCCGTAAGCGCATGGTCTTCCCTTGGCTGTTCCTGGTGTAGTCATCCTTTCCATGTACAATGAATTGGAGATTCCGGGAAAAGAAAGTGATGGTCTTGTTGACCCACCACCAAGGGGACAATTTTGCTGTGTCAGGCTATCCCCAGAATAATTACCAGTTTTTGTTTTAACCTTCCTGTCTTTGTCTTTTAAAGGCCAGGAAATGCAGCTTCCTAACTTGCATGGGCCACATGGTCTTAACGTTCTCAGTCTTTTCAAACTCGTTACCAACCTAGGATTTTGTGCACAGCCAAAAATACTTTCTCCCCCACTCCCTCTTCAACTGGTCTTAGGCTGTCATAAATTCCTGCTCATCCTACAGACCCTGCCTCTTTAGTGGAGAGCTCTTTAACTCTACCTCCAGATTAGGTAATTTGTTCTCAGAGTAATCTTAAGGTAATGGCCTAATCACCTAAGCAAATCAGTCATCATTACCTAGGGGAAGACAGAACCCATTTGAATATTTAGATGCATTAATTGGTGCAAATATTCTAGAGTGTTTAGGTAGCAAATGACTTACCTTGATACCTCCAGTTTGCATTTTATCTGACAGAAAAGAACACCGAGAGCACACTACATCTTACAGTTAGGGAAACCTCTTTGCCTTTGCTGTATAGGTTGAAAACAGGGGTGAAGGTAACTTCTTAGTAGGAGACTTGAGGCCCATAACTTTCTTCTATGACCCTTGCTCTTCTCCAATATCAAGTTTGCAGGATGTTATTAGGATTAGCAATAAAGTTTTTTAAGCTTCTAGCAGACACCTGGCACATACTAGAGGGCTTCATAAATGGGATTAATTATGATTATTACTACTGCTATGATTACTATGTGATATAATTCCTATGAATCAAGTTATAAAATAATTTTCTTTTTTTTTTTTTTAGAGACAGGGTTTCTGTCCCCCAGGCTGGAGTTCAGTGGCACAATCATAGCTCAATGCAGCCTCAAACTCCTGGGCTCAGGTGATCTTCCTACGGAACTTAGACTATAGGTGTACGCCACTGCACTCAGCTAATTTTTTAAAACTTTTTATAGAGATGGGGTCTCACTCTGTTGCTCAGGCTGGTCTTGAACTCCTGGCTTCAAGCAGTCATCCCATCTCAGCCTCCTAAAGTGCTGGGATTACAGGTGTGAGCCACCACACCCAACCATAAAATAATTTTCATCATGGAATAAGTCTTAGGTAATTCGGAGACATATCTGGTGAGCAGAGAAATATGTTTCATTAAATAATTTACTTGGAAGCCAAAGCATGTTCAAACTTATCAAACTAAAATGACAGAGCCTTGAGGTCTGGTGTGTGTGTTAGGGAGGGCCGGTGGGGAAGTGCTGTAACTGGCCAGATTCAGATACGACTGATGGGCCTTTGGCAAACTCAGGGGTTCCAGGCCCCACCCAGTCAGGAGGGTTAGAAACAAGATCACACCTCTCCATCCCTGGTGCCCATTGCTCCATGCCAGTCCGTCTGTCATCTCTCACCCGGTAGGATGAGCACGCATGACCCCTACACAGTCCCCCAGACACAAACCATGCATCCCAGCAACTTCCCCTGTAGATTTTTCCAAAGCACAAATCTATTTGTGTCTCACATCCTTCCCTCCCCTGCTGAGAACCTTTTCATTGCTCTCTGTTGCTCTTGGGACAGAGTCCAAACCACATGGATGGCAGAGGTAGATGTCTGGAGAGAGCAAACTCCCTGAGAATAATTGATATCTCCATCCACATTGCATTCAACCACCCCGTGTGTGTTCACAAGTGCCTGCCTGTGCTGGTAGCTTCTCTAGGTACAGGGAATACAGCAGTAAACAAAGAGCCTCAACCTCTAGTTGGATGAGGATGAAACACAATAAATAATATAAAATGTCATTTAATGTCAAATATTGATAAATGCTATGAAGAAGCAGGTTTAACTGCTGACAAGAAAACCAGCAGAATATTCCATGTATCGGATGGGTGTGGTGGCTTCAGCCTATAATCCCAGCTACTCAGGAGGCTGAGGCAGGAGGACTGCCTGAGCCCAAGAGTTGGAGGCTGCAGTGAGCTATGATTGTGCCACTGCACTCCAGCCTGGGCGACAGAGCAAGACCCCACCTCTATTTTTTTAAAGAGTATTTTTAGGTCAAAGTCAGTTTATTCCCTACAGCAGTAAGGGAGAATACAACCTTGATAGTCTTAGAAGTGTCTCAGAAAGAGGAAGCCAGGGTGGATATTTACAGCATTTTGGAGTCTGGGCAGGTCTTCCAATGTGGGGATCTGGTTGGGATTGGGACGTCTCCTGAGTAAAGCAATAGTTATTATCTTTCTGAGCACGAATTTTCTGGAACTAATAGCAAAGTCATGAAAGTCATGTTGATGGAGGTGGCCTTGGTCCCAGTCCTAACTGTTAAGCTGCAGGATACAAACTGTCTCAATTCTCTCAGGGCTAAGTATGCAACAGAGATCACCCCAGGTCATTGCCTGGGGATGTTCTGTGTAACCCCCAGCCTAGAGTTGCCAGATTTAGTAAACCAAAAATATTTTATCTGCCTGGCATGGTGGCTCACACTTGTAATCTCAGCACTTTGGGAGGCCAAGGCAGGAGGATTGCTTGAACCCAGGAGTTTGAGACCAGCCTGGGCAACATGGCAAAACCCTGTCTCTACAAAAAACACAAAAATTGAGGCATGGTGGCACATGCCTGTAGTCCTAGCTACTCGGGAGACTATGGTGGGATAATTGCCTGAGCCTGGGAGGTCGAGGCTGCAGTGAGCCATGATCGCGCCACTGCACTCCAGCCTGGGCAACAGAGCAAGATCTTGCATCAGCAAAAAACCCCTTTATCTGGCAATCCTATTAGAGTGCTGTCAGTTTTTCAAATGAACTGTCTGTATATTGAGTCTCGTGTTCCACAAGGTACCAGTTGGGCCAAGCTGAGCTCTGCAGCTCCCTGGAGACTGCGGCACAGGGTGGTGTTCAGTTCACCACAGTTCCCTGTCAGCTCTGGAGGGAATTTGAGTTTGGGAGCTCCACAGGGGACTCAGGTCCCTCCAGGGAGCTGGGTGTGCTTGGGCAAGTTCTTTGCCATCTCCGTGCCCTGTAACATGAACCTGACAGTCAGAAGGTTTGCAGGCATCCCTCCAGCTCTGTGGACTGCCCACGTGGAGATTTTAGTGCTATTTTATATTAAATAAGTCATAAACATCCAACTCAGAGATGTTTGGCAACTATATGTGGCTGTTCTATTATTATTGGTTTGGAAATGTTTAGAAACTTGACCCCCAATTTTGTTATGGTCTCTTTAGTAACTGTTATTAGGTGGTGACCTAATAAGAAATTATTAACTAGGGAGCTATAACTTGGAAGCTTATAATTTTTTAAAGGACATTGATTTGTGCAGCCCTGATTAAAATACAATGAAGCCCGAGGCTTAAATGTTTTCTTCTGAAAGGTTGAAAGGGTGGGAATTGACTCTAAAAATGTATTGGCTTGAAAACTTTATTGAAATAATATTATTTGAAGAACTTTGTGAGCATAAAATGATCTGACAAAAACAATTTGATGCTAGCTCCGGCAGCCTGGGAAAGCTGAGGGAATATAGGTTTCTTCAGATGAAGTCTGGAAAAATGCTTCCAGATTACCTCAAGGGTGAAAAGAAAATTATTATTCCATTCCACAACCCTGCTAATTCTTTTCAACATCAATCCAGTCAAGTAATTAGAACCCAAATGGAGGAAACATTTATAATTGTCATTTACTCTACTTTACCAAAGGTGACAGTTCCGAGAAGCTCTGACAGGACAAAAAAAAAAAAAAAACCAAAGTGATTATGAAAGAAATGTGTGGCCAAATGGATCAGGCCTTCCTACACTGGTTCCCAGAAGCCAGTCACAGGCAGCAGGTAGGGATGGTTACAGATTAAAATAGGCCTCCTCAGCAAAGAAAATCTTCTGCTGCGGCCTTGTCAATGGTGTGATAATGTGAGCTATTTCTCCTCCCTCTCTCTCACCACAGACATATATCATGGAGTGCTTTGTTATTTAAAAGCATGTATAAGAAAGATTACCAACCCCCCATACCACAGGGAATACTTCAGAAGTGAAATATGCAATCATTTAGGGGTTACATTTAAAATACCTCCTCCCCTTTTATCATTATATTTCTTCACTTGCACTAGGCTAAAATATGAGGTGTTTCTGCTGCTGTGAGAATTTTTTTTTCTAATTTCTGAAATAATACCATAGCTTGGAGATTAATGTTCAGGCTTTACCAAGATTATAACAAATGCATATTGCTTTGATCTAAATATTTCTCCAAAGGTTGTTGCTGATCATTCTCCCTTGCCTATAATCTTCTAAGAAAGCTTTTGAATTTGCCAGCCTGATACCCAGGGGGACAAGAGTGCAGCTGCCTTCCCTTCCTTCCCCCTCATCTTCCCGAGGATACTCTGTTCTCAGTTTTGCCCAAATTAGTCCCAGGATTTCAGTTGTCTTTTTTGTCCAACATTCCATCATGCAATTCATTAACATCTTCACATGAAATATTTAACAGATGAGTTATGTCCTAATTCACATTGCAGTTTTAAATTGTTATTCATGTGGTAAGTCATTTATCTTGGACACCAACAGACCTCCGGAATGGGCTCACATTTGATGTAAAGAAGGTTGGAGTTATTTTCCTTGATGCTCCAGAACAGTGCCCTTTTTCCAAACCCTGGGTTAATCATGAAATATTCCCAAAAAATGACATTCAGATTCGTTGTTAGTTCTACTTGCAGTTAACTGTTTTGAAAACAAACAGAAGAAAACATTTAAACAAACGTGGCTTGGGTAATGGCTATTACAGTTGACCGTTAACTAAGGCAAGTTGGAATCCAAACATGCCAGGCCTTGTTACTATCACTGCTAGCAATCTTTGCCATGGTGCACAAAGAAATAAAAATTCAGAGACTGTCAAAGTGGAGGTGAGACTGGATAAGAGATATTAACCAAGCCATGTAAAAATACCCAGTGCCCTGATTAAGAAATATGACCAGCAAGGAAGCTGATGATCTGGATGAGCATTTATCTGTACAATTTGGGTTTTGGGAAAAGTCACTCTACTCCTAAGAGATGAAATATATGGGAAATCCTTAGCAGGTAATTTATTTATTATTAACTTATTGTAGTTGTATTCCCTCTAATAAAACTACAATTTTCTACTATATTCCTACCTATGGATTGGAATCTATTAGGAGAAAATCTTCTGTTTGTAGAACAAGCCAGTGCAAGTCAGCTCTTGGATCTGTTTCTCTGCCTGGACACCACAATGAAATGGTAATTGTCCACATTTGCAATTGTCCAGCAGTAGCCAGGTCATTGAGAAGTTTTGTGGGCAGGTGGCCTGATTGATGTGCACAGGAAGCTGATGGCACCAGTATCATGGACAGCAGTCTTCTTGGGTTCTGTACCCTGACCTGTCTAACCTTGTCCTGAGTATGCATGAATGATCACAATTCCAGAAGGGGTGGGTGACAGGACATCTTCTGTTTTCTTTTGCTTTTAACAGAGTGGTAGAAGCCGGGTAATTTGTAAAGAAAAGGAATTCACTTCTTAAAGCCTCTTCTCAGAGGCTGAGAAGTCCAAGTTCAAGGGGCCCCATGTGGTGAGGGACTTGCTGGTGGGGGCTCTGCAGAGTCCCAGGGAGGCACAGGGCATGGCATCGTGAGGGGACTGAGCGTGCTCACTCAGGTCTCTCTCCCTCTTCCTGTAAATCCACCAGTCCCACTCTCATGATAACTCATTAATCCATTAACCCATTAATCTATTAATAGATTAATCCATTCATGAGGACAGAGTCCTCGGGACCCAATCACCTCTTAAAAGTGCCACCTCTTAATACTGCTGCATTAGAGATCAAATTTTAACATGAGTTTCAGAGAGGACCAACATTCAAACCATAGCACAGGTTTTGAATGGTGGAGCACACCTTTCCTTAATCCTGAAGGAAAAAGATTAATTCTCTAAGAGCCTGCTTGGCTGATAGCATGATTTTGTAATGCATTTGCTCACTGATATAACACTCTAAGGAACATTCCTAGGAGTGGACAGTTTGCATTGGTCATAGATGAATTTTCTGCTCACTCTCAACATAATTGGCATGAAAGGCATATTAGCCATGAAACATAAGAATAAAGAATAAAAGCTCTAGGAGCAAGTCATAACATGAATGATGACAACACTATCAACTAGTTAGAGTATTTTAATACCCGTGATTTTATTTACTCTCACTGATTTTTGTCCCACAAAAATTCTGTTCAGAAGCCAGAGCCGGTGCAACTCTATTGGTGGAGACAGAGAGGTAAAGTGACATACCCAAGGGTACACAGCAGTGGTCTTAAAACGGGTTTGCAATCAGTTCTCGCAGCAAAACAACTCCTGATTGGAATTCACTGATGGTGGCAGGATTGTTTTTCTGCCTTTTGGATGAGCTCTCTATGTGTATGTGAATATATTGTATGACTGGAGGGCTGGGCAAATGGAAGTAGGGGTGTTTGGGTGAGCTTGTGTGCCAGGCATAGTGAGCACTATTTTACAAACCAGATCTGTGCCCCTCTAGTATGTTGCAAGTTGAGGCCAACCCCACAGGAAATTATTTCTAAATGAATACGATATGAGAAAAGTTGTTTTATTTCTAATTTTATATGTTTTATTTCTAATTTTATATTTTGTGAGTTTCAGATTACACTTGAATGCATGTCTATTAACATGATATGAGATGCATGCATGATTTCATCTTGAATGCATTTAAACATAATAGCACTGCAAATGTAATTTGTAGTCTCAAGTTTTATAAAGCAAAATAAATAAATCTGGAGGGTGGTTGTTGCATTGATTTCTTTAGGGTTCATTCAAACTCATTTCCAACTTCCCCTTGCAAGTCCAGGTTGTCTCACGCTGGCAGTCCTGTCTGATCTAAACCCCCTATACCTAAGTCATCTCATTTCTTCTACCTCTGGGGAGTGGTAGTATGGACGGGTTTGTGGAGAATTGTACCTTCCATCCTTAAGGAGTGCTAGGGTCCATTTCTTTTCTATGGTTCCTTCTGGGATCACTGGTCATCGTCCAGTAGAAGTCTCTGCAATGATGGAAATATTCTAGATCTGCATGGTCCAGTACCGTAGCCTCTAGCACCCTGTGGCTACGGAGCACTTGACATCTAACTAGTGCAACTAAGGAACTAAATTGTGAATATTATTTAATTTTAGTTAATTTTTATTTAAATAGCCACATGTAACTAATGGCCACTAATTTGGACAGCACAGGATCAGAGCATTCAAGGTCAGCTGCCTGTCCCTAGATTCAAGCATGCCGATCATTGGTATTCTGCAAAGCAAATGGTCTATGTGTTTTGGATGATGCCCTGCATTCGTTTCTGTCAGCTCTGGGGATGCTGAAGTGTGAATCTCTCTTCGGTGATTTGACTGCCCTCCCCAGGCCTGTACCCCTGGCGGTTGTGTCTCTCACATCTTTTTCTCAATACACCTATCACCCAGCACATACTGGGTTTCTGATAAACATGGGAGAAAGGAATGGAGGAAGGGAGGGTAAAAGTAGATAAGAAGGAAGTTAGACAGTTGGGAAAAGAGGAAGTCTGGAAGGAAGATACTTTGTTGAAGTTTCGATATCTGTAGTTAAGCCCTCTTAGAGTATTGAGAGGAGTTGTGAGAACAGTCACACAGATAGTTCAAAAGAGAGGTCAGTGCTTCAGATTCCTGAATATTTCACATGAAAGGATTCTGGGCTCTTTGAGATGGCAATTCTTATAACAATAATTTTGCTGTCTTGGTTTCCAAAGACCATCCCAGTATCTTGGGGTCGCTGTCCTAGGAGGCTCACCCCATATTGGCACATGGGGAAGGATCCTATGGGATAATATTTTCTGGATCGGTTGTGTTCCTGGGTGGTGAGTAAGATATCACCAGATGCAGTTGTGTAAAGGGACTTTGTCTCTATCCATGTGATGAAGATTCCCAGCAGGGAGGGAGCCCTGGGACATCTGTAATCAAATTGAAGTAAGGAGCACTGTGACCTCCGGGGAAATATGTTGATGATTTTCTGGACTGTCTAAAACATTACAAACCCCAGGAATGGTGATTTTTTTTTTTCTGTAACTCTCCTTGGGACTTGAGTTTCACAAAAGCATTTGCTGTCTTTGTTTTCCTTATTAAATTAGCAAGACTGACTTAAATCAATATACTGTTACTGCTTGAAATGTTGCTGAAAGAACAAAATAGACGGGCTTGACAAATGTCTCAGGTTCCATTTAGGTTATGTGGGGGCTGAAGGGAGAGAGTGGGACTCACTGAAGTAGTCGTGTTTTCTCTGATAAAGGTCAAGAAAAGAAAAATGTGGACCAAAACTAAGGAAAATAGTGAAAGGAAGCTACACTTCTGTTTGTGGCTTGTGGCAGGTGATATTTGTTTTTCTGAATAGAGTTGGCCATAGGATTCCCTTAAGCATTTTTGTTTATTTGCTTGTTTGTTGGGGGAGAGGGTTATTCTTATTTTTTTTTTTGTTGCCTTGTTTTTTGCACTTTAAATCATTTTCACGCTCAAGAAATAATGAGCTCAATCCCGTTACTCTCGATCCCTTACTCTCATTCTCCCATTTCCCATTTTATAGGCCCTTTCCCTAGCACTTCCTCTGCGAGCTTTCAGAGTGGGCTTTCTAAAAATATAAACCTGATCCTGCCACTTCGATACTAAAGACCTTCAATGGCACCAACGGCAGATGTCAGAATACTTTTTCTGTAAAGGACCAATAGTAAATAACTGAGGTTTTGTGGGCCATGCAATCTCAGTTAAAACTACTCAGCTCTGCTATTGGAGTCATAGACAGTGTGCAAACCAATTAGTGTGGCTGTGCTGCAAGAAAACTTTATTTACAAAAAGAGGCTGGATTTCACCATTGGACCAATCTCTGGCCTACGTACTCTTGAAGCTTTGGCCTGACATTCAAGACCTTTTGCCATTTGACCTCAGCCTGAACAACTGGGTCCCCGTTCCCATTCTTCTCAAGCCTCCAAACAAATGATGGTCTTTAAAAAGGTTCTCTCCCTTCCCCTCCCTTACTGTTTCCTCCATTTGGATTGCCATCTTCCCTGGCTTCTTACTGTTCTGTGAGTGGGCTCTCCATGCCTCACCTTACACAAAGCTCTCACCAGGCCAAGTCAGCCCCATTCTCTGCACGCTCCAGTTCTTTATGCCTCTAGTGTAGCTTTTACAATGGATCTACTCCTCAACTGGACGTGGAGGGAGCTTAGTACCCAGTGTAGAGCTTAGTACTCACTGAACAAATGGTCGTGAAGTTGATCCATCAATGAAATTGTGAGTCCCTTAATCATAGGAGAGTATATTAACTTATGGGTAAAAGAAAACACTGCAAACCCCAGATATGCCACAGGAAGCCAGGGGCCAGTGTTACTGGAAAGGGGATGAGGTCAGCTAGCCGGAACACAGCTAGGTCAAAACTAGCAGAACAATTGCAGCCAGGACTATCCAGGAGCCTTTGGGCAACAACCTCATGGTGCAGGCAGGGGTGTGAGTGAGGAGAGAGGGAAGCAGTTCTAGTTCAGGGCATCAGGACCAGGACGAGGATGCAGCCTGCTGGAGGGAGATCAGAGAGAAGCAGCCTGCATGATTAATGGGATGGAGGGACTGACTCATGAGGAAAGATGAAAGCGCCCCAAGGAGCTGGGGTAGAGGACCGACAGGGGCAGATGAGAACAGACTGCAAGTATGTGAGATGGATAAACACCCAGCGGGGAGCAGCTGGCTTCATCAGGGAGGTGAAGATGAGGGCTCCATCAGAGAACGGGGGTGGGGGTCTCAGAAAGGGCATCAGGAGACTCATGGAAGCTCAAGAGATGACAGGTGGGCCCAGGACAGCTCTGGGCTGTTGGAGGGAGAAGCACCATGGAAAGGCTACCCTGGAGTGACTCTTTCAGGGAGTCAGACCCTGTTTTGCACCCTGCACCCTGGCCTGTCAGGCATTTGGAAGATGAGATTTATTTGAAATGCAGTCAACTACCATCAGACTCAAAATCAGCTTCTTTCAGGCATTCTCTGAAATGTTCTCCAATGCTGGGAAGAACAGCTTTTGTGTTGTGTAGTCTGGCCACGTGGCCCACATCACAGTAGGTCCCCAACAGCTGATTTACTAAAGCCATCCCCCACCTTGGCTGTGCGTGAGAATCATCTGGGACACTTTTAAAACATACCCAAGCCAGCCACATGGCTCACATCTGTAATCCCAGCACTTTGGGAGGTTGAGGCAGGCAGGTCACTTGAGCCCACGAGTTAGAGATCAGCCTGGCTAACATGGTGAAACTTCACCTCTACAGAAAATACAAAAATTAGCCAGGTGTGGTGGTGCACACCTGTAATCCCAGCTACTCGGGAGGCTGAGGCATGAGAATCACTTGAACCCGGGAAGCAGAGGTTGCAGTGAGCTGAGATCACACCACTGCACTCCAGCCTGGACAGCAGAGTGAGATTCTGTCTCAAACAAACAAACAAACAAACGATTCGCATAGGTGTTACTCTTCTATATTTCTCTCTAACTGCTGACTATAATATCACTTGAAAGTTTTTTTTAAAAAGCAAGCATTTACCTATGGGTCGTCTGTGTACTCAGCATCTTGCTGGAGGCAGGGGTCCAGCAGGGAGCAAGAACAGGTCCTCATTCTTGGGAAGGCTGTGGTCCAGAGAACGAAGGACACTTAAGGCAGAGCAGAATGAGCCTGGGCACCGACATGGTGCATTTCAGAGGCTTTTCACGTTCTGCATGTTGCAGCCGTGCACTGCTCTAGTCTTTATCCTAGAGTCGGAAATTCTAAGTGCAAACACAGATGGCAAATCTCTCCCAATGTACACACCCAGTTAACCTTTACTCTCAGGGCTGGCTTCAACAATTTCTTTAGGAAGTAGAAATGCCCTTGATAGTTATCAGGGTAACAACAGCCCAAGACCTTTATGAATCTCCAAGTTCCTGAAGCCAGCACAACAATGATTACCCAAATGGGAGGTCCAGTATAGTGGCACGCAAAATTTTTAGAGTATTTAAGTGATTTTTTTTCTTACAATTGTGTATTTCTTTTGATGGGTGTTCCAGTTTTATTTAGGTTGAATTACTGTAGGTCTTTAAGCAAAAGAAAGAAATGTGGAAGGACAATAAGAGTATTGGTGGTATGCAAATATGGTAAAAATGGGGAGGTTGTGTGCAACAGACTACAGTTTGCAAAACTGCACTGGGGTAAATGACGTGCTCCAGGGAATTCAGTATTCCCTGTAGTCTCATTCTTCTGAACGCCTCTCAAGTTTTCCCACCATCTGAGGAGCATTTTGCCCTTACCATTTTACTTCCTGAGATGGTTTCAGGTCTTTCAAGTGGTTTGGGCTTCATGGAGAAAAATAAGGTGAACTTCCTCATGTTATAGTTTTGAGGTTCCACTAAATTTCACTTCCCAAAGTTTCAAGTCACATTCTTAACCTCTTCTCTTTTTGGCTGTTTCTGTCACTAGAACTAGCATTCACAGTTGCTTTAGGAAGCTTTTCACAGACAAAGAAAAAATTACATAATTTTACCAGAGTTCCATGGGAGAGAAGAACCTTGAGATGTGGACTCTAGGAGGCCAGTTAAACTAAGACACATTATAGTAAAGTGACTCACTTCTGAATTCTAGCCTCATGACAAGTGCTTTTCAAATGTTACGTCTCAAAAACACATGCAGAGTACACATTTTAGACATGCAAGTTCAAACAGTAATAGCTGACAGGAACTGAAGCAATAGTGATCTTTTGAATTTTTTTTTTTCTTTCCTCTTCTCAGCTTGTGTTGGGGTGGGGGTAGGGGCAGTGGTGCAAGCATATGAATTTTAGAAATGCCGAAGTAACATGTCTCCAAAGAGCGATCTGCACTGTGCTGTTTGTTTTGTATCGAGAGTTCTGTGAGTGCAGGTAAACTTGAGAATTCTTTACCTGAAAGATAAAATGTTTTAGTTGTATGCTTCACTGTACATTTTATTTTATATGCTTATATCAGCTTCTTGCCATGACGGATAATTTTCAACGATAATCTTAAATAATTGTGTAAAGGGATCACTAATGCCTTGTTTTATTTATAATTTGTCCCAGCTGTAGGCATTCAGATGAAACTTGAATTTTTCCAAAGGAAGTTCTGGACTGCCAGCAGACAGGTAAGTTATAATCAGCATCTTGAAGCATTAGCGACACTGTTATTATACAGGTGTTCCCATTTGGGTACCTGGAGCCTGAAAGTGCCAGATTTCCGATGAATGTTTGTAAAATCAACTGCCGGCTGCTCAGATTACCTTTCATTTCACTGCAAAATAAAGGGCTGTCAGCATGTTAGACACCACATGCTGAGCAAAGCAGGGAATTTGCTCCTAGGAACAGTTTTAATTGTGGGATCAAGATAGTGACCTTCCAAAGGAGTTTTTCTTTTAAGTATTGGGGCCTTTTGTGAGATTTTCATTCTGACTTTCTCCTAATCCTGTGGTCGTGCCTGGTTACTTACTTGTGAATCTCATTATCAAAATCTAGAAACCCTTTACGTAACTAGTTTCTCCAAAACATGTATCTGACTTCTTTGTTCACAGGGTCTACCTTGGAGAATCTGGGAACATTGTTTTCTTTTCGCTATGCTCTCTGTACTAAGTCATCTCAGTGGTATTTGTTGAGTAATTTGGTAGAAAGGGCCACTGATAAGTTGCTTCCATCTGACCAAGAATAAATGTTAGAATGGCTTATCATCCTTTAAATTAAGATACTTTAGGAAGCTATAAACTAAGGAGATGGACAGGGGTTTTTTAAAGTCACTGAGAATTAATGAATTTTAAATTAATTACATAATTGTATTTTTAGTTACCAAAAGATTTGAGATCTTAAAAAGATATCATTACTGTTTAATGACAACATAAAGTAGACTTTTTTTTTTTTTTTTTGAGATAGTCTTGCTCTGTCTCCCAGGCTGGAGTGCAGTGGTGCGATCTCGACTCACTGCACCCTCCACCTCCCTGGTTCAAGTGATTCTCCTGCCTCAGCCTCCTGAGTAGCTGGGATTACAGGTGCCTGCCACCACACTAGGGTAATTTTTGTATGTTTTAGTAGAGATGGGATTTCGCCATGTGGCCAGGCTGGTCTCGAACTCCTGACCTCAAGTGATCTGCCCTCCTTGGCCTCCCAAAGTGCAGGGATTACAGGTGTGAGCCACTGTGCCTGCCCCACCCCGCTCAGTTGTTTCATAGATCTTTTATTTTACATTACTACTTGGAATTGATACTGATTCCAGAGATAGTAGACAAGACACATCATGGAGCATTCCTTTTCAATGAAATTGGGTATTTGAATTCTAGCCCATGACTTGGATAGCTTGTCCTTAAGTAGCTCAGTGGCAGCCACAGCAGGCACTGGGATGCCCAAGTAACATAGTAACACATTTCCCTCCACTTTTTGCCTTCACAGTGTGCTTCCCTGGATGGCAAATGCTCCATCAGCTGTGATGATGAGGTAAGACGGCCTCCTGGTCCTGTTTCTACCCCTGTGGATAGAAGGTGACAGATGGTGCTTTATGACCGAGGGAATGCCCTTATAAACAAGGCCAGGTTGACGCATTGTACTGGGCCAATCTAAAAAAAAAAAAATCATTTGCTTTATTTGCTTTGTTTCTTTTTTTTTGTTCCCCACCTCCCATCAGTTTATGACAGCTGGAAATGTGCTTTAAATGTCTCATGGATAGCACTATTGGAATTTTGACATTTTGTAGGAAATAATACAAACTCCTAACTCCTACTGTTTGAAGCTCACATTACAATTCTCAAACCTTTTTCTACATGCCTTAATCTCTTTCCATCCTTGCAACAACCGGTGAAATAGGTAGGACTTGTTGACCCATCTTGCAGATAAGAAAAACTGAGCATCAGAGAAATTAAGTGATTCAGCTAATTTCATGTAATAAGCAAACAAAAAACCTAGGAGTTAAAAACTTTGAAACTCAAAATGTTTCTTTGTAGCATACTGCTTCTCTCCTACAAATCTTTTCTTTTTTCTTTTCTTTCTCCTCTTCTGTTCTCTCTCTCTCTCTCCGTCTCCCTCCTCTCCTCCCCTCCCCTCCCCTCCTCTCCTCCCCTCCGTTCCTCACCCCTCTCCTCCCTTCCCCTCCCCTCCCCTCCTCTCCCCTCCCCTCCTCTCCTATCCTTTCTTCTCCTCTCCTCCCCTCCGTTCCTCACCCCTCTCCTCCCTTCCCCTCCCCTCCTCTCCTCTCCCCTCCCCTCTCCTCTGCTCTCCTCTCCTCTCCTCTTTTTCTCTCTCTCTGCCTTTTGGGAGGAGGGATTTTAATCCTACACATGCGCAATGGAAGAAGAAACTATGCCACTACCCAAAGTGTTTCCATCTGCCTTATGTTTTTATACCTTGCCATCCCATACCCTCTGCCCCACGTTTTGGAGCAGGCAGAAGCATGGTGGCCTTTTCACTTCTCCTGAGGTAGCCTTTCTCTCTCTGCATCAGTGAAACAGCAGTCAATATGTAAACTAGACCTTATAAATAGTCACATATTTATATTCCTTCTGCTTATCATGAGGACTTAAGAAATCCTAACCAAACAATTTCAACCCAGAAAACATAGATTAGGAAGTAGATTTCAAAAAGGTGGACAAAGGAAAAACAAGTAAGGAAATATAAAAGGAAGTCCAGGATGAAGTTAAAACAAAATGCTCGGTCCCAGAGGATCTGGCTGCTGGTTAGAAAATCATAATCATTGTATGAGTCACAGTATCAAAAAAAAAAAAGCCAGTCAGCAAAGTTTTCTGCAGAAGCCCAAGTTTCTGTGATCATCAGATCAAAACTAATTTCCCCTTAGGAAAGAATACCCTGTGAAGTTGTATGGTCCACACCCTTTTCAGCAAGTTCAGGGATAATTTTTGTAGGATAGTCAAGTGGGCCTCAAGCCTCTCCCATGTCTTTGAGACATTTATTGTCTTATTGGAGTGCTCAGCTCAAGAACAACACAACTCAATAGTAGTAGTGATTAATCAGTGTCTCGAGGCCCTGTGTTAAGCTCTTCACTTGCACAGTGGGTATAATTATGAATCCCAGTTTTACAGTAAGAGGAGTGAGGATGGTTAGTTGGTTAGTTGGCTGATTGTACAGATGGTTGGACGGGTGGCTCACAGCTAGGGCAGTAGCTTGAATAGTTGGTTGGCTCATTGGTTGGTTGGTTACGTAGTTGGTCGATTGATTGGATAGATGGTTGGATAGTTGGTTAAACAATTTTATAACTAAAGCCAGAGACAGTAATCTTCCCAGAACCCACACTGCCTCAGTGCATCCTTATATAAAAACAAGTGGAAATGGATTTCCACTTAGAGTTGGAAACATCCAATACATGTTCATTCTTCAATGACTGCTTTCACAGGCAGTCTAACATGGTGGTTAAAGGCAAAACTATTTACACTGACTAGCTTCAAGTCGTGACTCTGACAGTAATAAAATGTGTGACCTTGGGCAAGTTTCCAAATCTTTCCATGCCTCAGTTTTCTCAACTATACAATGGGGATAGAAATATCCACCTCACAGAGTAATGGTGAAGAATGAATAGATAAGACATGAACAATGCATGGTATGGCTCCTGGAAATGATAAGCATTCAATAAATGTTGTTTATAAATTTAAAAAAAAACAAACTCTGAAGATGTTTTCTTCCATGCTGTGGTTTCAGGTTGCTGGATTTGAAACCTCAGACAGCAATGGTATATACACTTTGGGCAAGTGACAGTTTCCCCTGGGCATAGTAAGCACAGGCTACGACCTCTTGCTCACTGCTAACAATGTTCTTTTAGCAACCATTGGGATAAACCCCTATTCAAATGTCATTTAAAGGTCCACATGCTTTGAAAATTAAGCCTTGAAGTTGCCCTGATTTCTGAACTTGATCTGATGCTCAAATATCCTGAGTTTGTACTTTGAAGCTGTCATCCGTTGTCCTCTTTGACTCTTAAATTTTGGTTCCAGGCAACCAATTGACACTGTTTTAAATAGAAAAGTCAGTCCTGCCTTCTCACCAAGGCCCCTTTCCATTGTTTCAGCAGACTCTTGCCATGTGTCATTCTCTTTTTTGTAACTTTTAATTAGGCATATGAGACCATGTTCCTCTCCCCCAACTGCCCTCGAATGATCAGGTCTCCATTAAAAACAGCTGTGGGGGCTCATTAAGTTCAGTGGTCTGACTTCTCCATTGCACTTATGACCTGGCCCAACTCCCTCGGGCTTATCAGACACACTTAGCCTTAGATCCACTCCAGCCCCTTTGTCTCCCCAGTCAATGCACTCTCTGGGCCTTGGCAGGAGTGCTGTGGCTGGTAGGTGGAGCCAGTGTGCCAGATGCTCTGCCATCTTGTAGAGGTGCATCTTTGGTTGGCCCAGTCAGAACCTGAGCCATGTGACTTGAGGGCCTGGCCATGGGGCTGACTTTTAAGGAGCTCCATTTCACCCAGGGTGAATGTTAACTTCCAAGCCATTGAGGCAACAGTTCACACACTCATTTCTTCCTTCAAGACATCTTTACCGAGCCCTTCTTAGGCACCTGGTGCCTGGCTGAGCACGGGGCAGTCAATGGGAAGCAGTCAGAAAAGGCCCTGCTCTCCTGAAGCTTACCGGTTAGCAGGAGAGATAAACTTATATGATCATCAATTGTGGTAAGTCCTGCAGAGTAAACTGACATGCGGTAGTCAGCGAAGGCTTCTCTGAGGGGGTAACATTTAAGTCAGCCAAAGAAGGAGATGATATTGAAGACAATTCCTGAAGCCTGAGAAGAGCTTTGCAAGCAGAGAACACCACTGTAGAGGCACCAAAGTGGCAAAGGGTCATTGTGGTCAAGGAAAACACAGTTAGCATTCAGGACAGAAGGGAGGAAGGAGGGCCACGTTCACCTCTGATCTCAGTCTGACCTGCAGGTGCTAGTGTTTCCTCACTGCTTTCAGTCTCTTTCTCCTTTTCCACTCACCTGTGCAACACTTCTCATCTCCTGATGAGAGTACCAGGAGTTAGCAAAGACGGTGGAAGGTGAGAAGGTGTCTCCTACTGAGGCATTGGAAGAGGTGTGACGGCAGCGAGAGAATCGAAAACTTCATGATCAAAGTCAGCTCTACCCTTTCTTGTTCCAAAGGAATAGAGGCTAATAACCCTTATTAAAAATCTCTAAGACTTTTCTAAGGCTTGTAGGCATTTCCTCTGGCATCAGAAAGACCTGCTTGAATTATGACAGGGCAACGAGAAGGGCTGCCTCCAGGCAGCCAGGCGCCTGCCTGCATGTTGGACTGCCCACCTCAGCCAGAGGGTAGGTTTGAGGACGATTTGAATAGCAAAGGAGGACAAGGGGGCACAGGTGACCCCTACCAAGTGCATCTTTCCTAGGTGACCCCTCTGCAATAAATTTTTTCAAAAGACAGTGTTTTGATATGATCATTAGTTAATGCAAAGATAGAGCAAATGATGTGAAGTAAGTGTCAAGCGTATTCCACAATGGAAATATTAGGGATTGGATCATGAGACCTGGAGAAAAGTAGCAAGGAGTGGCACCTTCCTGTGCCTGATGTACAGAGATTCAGGCCCCACCCTCAGATGCAAGAACCTAGTGTGTGTGTGTGTTTCTCTCTCCCTCTCTCCCCACAAATGAAGACAACAGGCAGTACAATACCGGGTTTCTAAGTGAGTTGTTTCTCCAATCAAACAAAAGGCATCCTTCCAAACAAAAGGCAAAAAGCAGCAAAGCTCAGCCAGTCAGCCGGGACCTCCTGCTATGAACTATGTAACAACTTCCGTTTCTGAAAAACTGTACAATTGTAGCATTAGGATACTTGTAAAAATCACACATCATAGGTGACCAATAAACATTTGCTGAGCAGATGGAAGCCTGTGTTCTTGGAGGACTTACTATGCACTAGGTACTATGCTCAGTACTTTACATGCACCCTCCCATTTAATCTCAGCAACATTATGAAATAGTTGGTGCTATCTCCATCTTTCAGATCAGAAAACAGACTCGGAGTGTTAGAAAGACTTTGTTTGAGGTCACACCGACAGCAGATGTCATAGTCTGTGATTCTCAAACTGGTGTCTTAGCCTTTGGGCTAGTACCCCTTCCAGTGTACACAAGGTTAGTACTGCCATTTGTCACTCCCAGGCACCCTGCCCTTCCAATCTGTGACTGCCCAATTCCCATGGCCTGGGTTTGGGCTTTAACTTCAGGTATCTACCTGATCCACCTCTGTGACTAAGAATCAGACTTCTCTGAGTAATACGGAGCCATCCGAATAGTTGCAGGAAGATGCCTTTTTTAAAACATCAACTTCCCTCTGTGCTCTCCACCCTGCCCTTTATTGCTGCCTTTTTAAAAACAACCTCATCCCCAGATGTTTTGCCAAAGGTAGTTGTGGAGTAGGTGCTTACAAGTGTCTGTTTGAACTCCTAATTTCTTCAAGCTCTTCAACTTGTTAGTGCACCCTTGGGGCAGGGTGACAGATAGACATCTTCTAAGATGTTGGGCTTAATTTGGGAGGAAAGGGTAGCACAAGCGAGGGAAAGCTGAGAAAATAGTTCCCATTTCCTTTTATTGGACAGGCCATATGGAGAAGGGAATTGAATATTATTTATTGTAAAGTGATATGGAAAAAACAGTTGATCAGACTGGACTCTAGCTAATTCTGTCCTAATTTATCCATAAACCCAGCACTCTGACCCCCTAACTCCAGTGGGCTCACTCCACTGCACTCTACTTCTCAATAATAATTTAATCCAAGTGGTCATTGACAGGGAGGTCTGTTTAGAAAGTCATCTTGTCACTCAATTTGCCTTTTAATGTTTACAGTTAGACAAAGTAACAGCAGTGTCTATAAAGAAAATGTGGCTGGGCACGATGGCTCACACCTGTAATCCCAGCACTTTGGGAGGCCAAGGCAGGCAGATCACTTGAGGTCAGGAGTTTGAGAGCAGCCTGGCCAACATGGTGAAATCCCGTCTTTACTAAAAATACAAAAATTAGCTAGGCATTGGGGTGTGCACCTGTAGTCTCAGCTACTCAGGAGGCTGAAGCAGGAGAATCACCTGAACCTGGGAGGCAGAGGTTGCAGTGAGCTAACATCTCATGCCACTGCACTCCAGCCTGGGCAACAGAGTGAGACTTGGTCTCCAAAAAAAAAAAAAAAAAAAAAAAAAACAACGTGGCCCCCTTTGGTGGAAATGGAAGCTTAGGCATGTTGTCCTTCAGGATCCCTGGCCAGTTCTCCGCCTTGTTCTCTTCCCATCATTGTTTGCTAGGATGTAGAGCAATCTTACCAAAATGAGTGGTTCATTAAGTATATTTTTAGACTCTAGCCTATAATGGACATATTTTTTTCTTCCATAGATTATTCTGTAGCAAGTTGTGGAGATGGATAGAAAAAATCCCCCTAAACTATGTCTTGGTTCAGATATTAGCTCAAGAATTGCTATGCCCAGGGAGTCTAGGAACCTATAATTGGGGTTGATACCACTTGACCAAACTGACCCAGACGTCAGTCACTTTTATTGTTTTTACTTGCTTTCAGCCACAATAATAACACCCCAGACACTTGGTACATTGATTTTTCTGCCATTTGTTGTGGTTTCCTTTGGTAGCAGGTGTCAGACAAGATCTGTCTTAGGTATCCATAGAGATTAGATATAAATATAGGTATAGATATAGATACACACACACACACACACACACACACACACACACACATTATATAAAGGGATTGCTTTTTTCAAACAAGCAAAGCCTTCCATGAGCAGGCAAAATCCCTAGACCCTACTGTGTCCTGCTGTCTTTTAGAAAGTAAGGGTGGGGGTCAGCCAGTAGAAAGAGTGTGGGCTTTGGAGTCCCATAGCAATGGACTCAAGTCTCACTTGTGTGTGTGTGACCTTGGAGAAGACAACATCTCACAACAGTCCCCAGAGTGTGATGTTCCCCTTCCTGTTGTGGGGTGGGGGGAGGGGGGAGAGATAGCATTGGGAGATATACCTAATGCTAGATGACGAGTTAGTGGGTTGCAGTGCACCAGCATGTCACATGTATACATATGTAACTAACCTGCACATTGTGCACATGTACCCTAAAACTTAAAGTATAATAATAATAATTAAAAAAAGACAACATCTCAGTTTTCTCTTCTTTCCAAGAGAAAAATTCCCTGCTTGATGCTGTGAAAAGTGAGGTTTTCATGAGTCGATGTCCTCCTGTAGCTGCCATCCTCCTTATTCTTCTTCTTACATTCTTATTGTTACTATTATTAGTGACAGTCATGTTTTATGAAAAACTTCTTTGTGTGATAGTTTTCATCTGGTATTCTCCCAAGGAGGCCACTCCCCTATTTTTGCAGCTTGGTTTTCCAAGTTCTGAGTTAAAGCAGTGTTTGCCCCTGCTCCAGAGCTCTCAGCTCTGTTCCTTCCACACCAGAAGTGGGAGTGGGAGGGAGCAGGGCAGACGCCTGAGAAGTGAGTCTTCTGATCTCCCTTCTACTGGTGCTGGCTGTTATAAGGAGCATTATAAGGAGGGCCTCGTTCTAAGAAGAAAGGTCAGAAAAAGAACCAAATGTTTACAGCAAATAATAAAAAGTTATTTTGAATATTTTTCTCTAAATAAAGTGGAAAGTATGAAACTGTGTTTATTTTTTAAATAAATTTAGGTTATATTTGCAATTGTACTCTAATTTTCCAAAGAAACAAATGGGGTAAGGGGCCAGGAGTTTAGTGTTTCTGATAAGATGATAAAATAGCACAATATGAAATCCTTCACTTTATATTTTGATTTTTCTCAGAATGACCACAAAAAGGGTAAAATATAGTAAAGAGTTTGATCAATTTTCCTAGGGTACTTTTCTTAGTCCTTTGCTGTTGAAATTATTCTCTTTGGAAGTACAGCTCATGTTTTATTTGTAGCAGGTATTTTTTCATCTTTCTGCCTCTGACAGATTCTAATGTGCCAATGGCTTCCTGTGCGATTGGAGCTGTTTAACGTTACTTTCATGGACTTCATGAAATCTTGCCTCTTTGTCAAGATTTTCAATTGACTTTATAATCTATTTGCCTTGTACCTGTATTGCATTGCTCAATATTTACAGTATTAGGCAAACAGAAAGATATTGACCAAAGATGTAGGTCTAATAGCAAGAGTACTAATTAGTTAGAGATGTTGGAGTAGGGACTAAGTTTTAACTAGGAGTAGAGGTTATGATGATTTGTGGCCTTATATGCAGCTGTGGGGATTTGAATATTGACAGTATCTGAATATGGAGGCCACTTCTGTACTCAACATGTATTTACTGACTCAACAGAGGTTAGCCGCCCCTTGCTTCATTGTCTGTATCTGCAGAATGAGCATCATGATGTTACCTGAAAGGGATCCCAATCCAGACCCCAAGAGAGGGTTCTTGGACCTCATACAAGAAAGAATTCATGGAAAGTCCACAGAGTAAACTGAAAACAAGTTTATTAAGAACATAAAGCAATAAAAGAATGGGTGTTCCATAGGCAGAGCAGCCTCGAGGGCTGCTGGTTACCCATTTTTATCGTTATTTCTTGATGATATGCTAAACAATGGGTGGATTATTCATGCCTCTCCTTTTTAGACCGTATAGGGTATCTTCCTGACGTTGCCATGGCATTTGTAAACTGTCATGGCACTGGTGGGAGTGTAGCAGTGAGGATGATCAGAGTTTACTCTCATCACCATCTTGGTTTTGGTGGTTTTAGCCAGCTTCTTTACTGCATCCTGTTTATCAGCAAGATCTTTATGACCTGTATCTTGTGCTGACCTCCTAACTCATCCTGTGACACAGAATGCCTTAACCGTCTGGGAATGCAGCCCAATAGGTCTCAGCCTCATTTTACCCAGCCCCTATTCAAGATGGAGTTGCTCTGGTTCAAACACCTCTAACATTTCCCCCGTCCCTTTTATAAGAAAACCCTTAATCCTAAGGGTTGCAGAGGGATAAAGATGCATCTTCTGTAACTTCTTCAAGCTGATAGGGGCAATGCCATTCCTGCCTAACTATTGGGTCTCTTGCATTCAGGGTAGATAGAGAGGAGCTCAGTCAGAAAGCATTGGTATGGCAAGGGCCGTTCATGACTCCGAGTTCTGACAAAAGATGATATCTAGAAGATTAAAAAGTGCTCAGTGTAAGAAAACATTTAGTAAGCTTGTCCAGCATTTCTACACAAAGAGTACAATAGCAACGTATTCCAAAACAGTAAAACAAAATAAGTAAAATTATCCCAAGTAAACTAAATAAGGCGTTCCATGAACTGGGCAACTATTGGAACCAAGCTGATATGAGGTTGCTAGCTGATTCCAATACATGCCCAGAATTAGAATATTGATCCAGATTTTTACATTACCCATCCCTGTTGTTTCTTCTGAGCAGCAGTCAAGAGATCACTGGTTGGTTCACAGGAATAAACAGGGTTGGCCTAAATTACAGAAAAAAACCTTAAAATCAACTGATGAGACTAGAACTTAATAACAGGTTATACCACAGTTCTTGAAACATAATTGTTCTCTAGTTTCCCATTTTTGCTGGAGACAAATCATAGTAAGACTAATTTGCTTTATTATACTTGGCCTGATTATTTGTATACAGTGCAGCAAGAATAATTATTTTTCACATAGGCTTTTAAATTTGTCTTTGATGAAATTTTGTTCCATAGAGGGAATCTCAGATAAGACTTTTTTTTAAAGCCAAGCCTAGCCATGGGTTTGTACCCCAGATATCTATGAGTTGAGTAAATTCTTCTCCTCTTGAGGTCCCAAAATAACTTGGGGCTCCTGGGCCTTTCAGAAGGTGACATTCTTTACTTACCACAGGTCAGGAACCCTGTACAGGGACTGTGTAGACAAGGTATGAGGCTAGTTTTTTTCAAGGGGCTCTTCTTGGCTCTCTAAGTCAAGTTTGATTCCTTAAAGGTAAACACACCATTCCAGTCAAAGCCTTGGTAAAATAACCAGTTTCTCCAGTTGTATCCTATTACAATAGAAAAGAGATTCTTACTGCATTTATGCAAATAACTATATTGCCATAAGTTAAGATACTCTCAAATAGTTTCCAAATTCTGGAGGAACCAGGTAGAGAGAAACAAATATTCTCTAAATTTTTTCGCAGAAGTATAGTTTACTCAATTGTTAAAAGCTGTAAATAGCTCAAAAGAAAAATTTTCTTGGCCCTGGAAAACAAAAAGGATCAGCAATGTTTTAAGCAAAAAAGTAAAAGAAAAATATTACTTCAGTTTTTTATTAGTTCAGTTCATGCAGTTGACTCCTATTCTGCTTGAACAGAACTCCTGTTCTGTCATGAACATTTCAGCTCTCTGTGAGAGTCCTGAAACTTTCTTCCTCTATTCTAATGTCACAATCTCCAACATTATCAGAAATCTGCATTCAATAGCACTGTCAGAGTTCTATAGTTGATTATAAACCATCTCTTGAAGAAGATTAAAACAAGACAACAGTTGTCTGTGGATGATAAAAAGTCTTAGGACAGCCACTATTAAAGCCACAATTGATAAAGAAATTTGGTTACTTCTGTGGCATCCAAATCTTACATAACAATTATAACTATTAATAACATACAGTAAGCCATGTTAGAATTATAGGACTTCTTATAATTTTGGAACACATACCAATAGCACAACTATATAAATATATCCCAAAGAAAGCCAAACACTGTTTCACATTTGATAATGCTTCCTGTTATGATTTTTATACCAAATAAGCCAAGTTTTACCTTTGCATTAGTGTACTATTAATGTTAAATCCAATTCTTAATAAAACCTTATAGACAAATGTATTCAGTCTTAATCAGTTTGACCACGAGGTAAGATTTTCATAAACCTTGTATAACCCTTTACATTTTTTTGTGAAAGAGCAGATCAGTGTTCTAAGAAAAACCTGTTGTGCTTTTATTCCAGTGTTTAATTTACAGAAAAACTGAATACTACCTCTTTAACTTTAGTCAATGTCCACACACAGAATTTCTTTTACCATTAATTTTTTTACAAACCTTCCACAAGTCATTCAAACTTTTAGCTTTATCCTAACTTAAAACAATCCTTTAACCCTTTAATCTAGGCAGAAAAAATCCACCTTCCAAAATATATTCTACTTTTCTTACACACCTTGAGTGTAGAACTGTTTCCTTGGTGGTCTCAAATACATGTTACAGTGTTAACTCTTAGCAACTTTTACTTTTGGTAAAAACCTTGGTAAGTAAGGGATTTTAATTATGTACTAGGTGCCGAGCCTAGGACACCATAAGGTCTGACTGTTTCCAGCATAACTAGAGGGCATGACTCTCCATATGTCCCCAGGCCTTATCTAGAGTCTAATGCTGCAAAATAGGTAAGCTGAACAATTTTCAAAAATCAAAGAAGCAGTTTATGACCTTAAAATATTTAGCAAAGCTAATATCTGACTTGCATAATTTAGACCAAATGTTTACATTTTTGAAGGTATTTTTATTTTATCAATAATCTTTAAAACTATCTTTATTTCCCAAAGATTACTAAAGTCACCTGAACTAAAAGACATTACACTTTTTACTTTTCTGACAATATTTGATTTAAGCACCTATTATTTTTAAGCCAATGAATCAAAGCTCTTTTATATTACACATACAACACATATAAATACACAGACAGGCAGAAGATAAAAGACTCATTCCCTAAACCAGGAATTGAACCCTGAACCCATGCTGCCATGGTGAAAAGAGAAAGCACAGTCACATGGTTACAAGGTCAAGTTTCCAAGGACATACAAGACAATAGGGAAATGTCATCCAGTTCTTTTTTCTTTTTTCAGGGATGTGCAGCAAAGTTTTTAACTGACCAGTTTGTTGCGCCTTCTTGAACAGTGGTTTTATGGGAGTCCTAGGCTCGCACTGTATCTTAGAGTACCCCTCTTTTATGACAGAACAATACAGAAAGACACACACAGCACACCAGATTCACTACAGTTTAAGACTAGCCTCACAAATCCTTTTTCCCATTTATCAAAACTTTACAGAGGATTTTTTACCTAACAGAGGATAAATCCTTTACAGAGAATTTTTACCTAAACAGTGATTTTTACCATTCATTCAACCCATTGGGAGCGAGGGGGAGAGAAAGAAAGAGAGGAAAAAGGAGAGAGAGAGAGAAAGGGGGGCTGGGGAGAGAGAGAAAAAGAGGCTAGAAGTCTGACTGGTAAGAAATGTTTACCCTTTTATTGGCATCCCAGGCTTCTGGGTTCCCTTTCCCTGAGCAGCCGTAGTGACCGGGCTGGCTGGACCACAGCCCTGGGAGCCAAGCCGCAACACAAAGGAAAATGATTTTCCATTCTGGCCAGAGCAAAATACATGTGACAAAACACAGACATTAGCCCCTTTGCTTAGCGCCCAGTATCAAACTGGCAAGGCTCATACTTGCCCCCCCATTGGGTCCCATCATTGTTAATCCAACCTCTGACCAGGAGTTTCAACTTGTTGCCTCTGGGCAAGATGGTGGCCCTGGGTAACAGAAAAGATAAGAAAGGTAAAGGAGAGAGAGCAAAGCACTGCCTGTGGCAGGGTGGGGAAAGTGAAGAGCTCAGGGAGGCCAGAAAAAGACTCACCTATTGCAGTGAAACTAAAAAGTTCAGGTGGCCACTTGTCGGTAGTGAAGGGATGTTTTCTGGCAGTCCCATCAGCTCTCAAGTTTCCCTTTTTCGGGGGAGGAAAAAGCTCCCCATGTCCTGTGGTCCTGTACATGCCTTATCCTGTCACCCATAGCCCTTAGCAACAAGTGCAAGACAGATTAATCCAAAGAGAATAGTAGTTAACATTCCATAGTGCCAAACCCGTTCTTAGCTGAGAGGGACTTTACTGAGAGGAGCCTCTAACCCCCTAAATCCTAGGAATGACTCTAACCTTCCTGAGTTGAGCCTTGAACCCAAGTTTGATCAAGCATCTTTGCCTTTCATTAATAGGAGCCTTTAGCCCACTCTGCCTTAGGAGAGACTCTTAACTCCCCTAAGTTGGGCCTCTAACCCAGTCCCATCCTTTACCCAGGTAGATGCACCCCACTTACCCAAAGTCAGTCAACTGGTGCATGCAGATGATTTTCCTTTGGGTTGGGGGTCTCTTCAGTATCATCCACCTGGGATTCACCAGAAAGATGTTACTGGAAACGGGTCCTGATCCAGACCCCAGGAGAGGGTTCTTGGATCTCATGTAAGAAGGAATTCAGGGCAAGTTTATAAAGTGAAAACAAGTTTATTAGGAAAGTAAAGGGATCAAGAATGGCTACACTGTAGGCAGAGCATCCTTGAGGGCTGCTGGTTGCCCATTTTTATGTTTTTTTTTTTTTTAATTATAGGCTAAACAAGGGGTGGATGATTCATGCCTCCCCTTTTTAGACCAATAGGGTAACTTCTTGACATTGCCGTGACATTTCTATACTGTCATGGCATTGGTGGGAGTATAGCAGTGAAGACGACCAGAGGTCACACTCATCGCCACTTTGGTTTTGGTGGGTTTTAGCCGGCTTCTTTACTGCAACCTGTTGTATCAGCAAGGTCTTTATGACTTGTTGTATCTTATGCCGACCTACTATCTCATCCTGTGACTTAGAATGCCTTAACTTTCTGGGAATGCAGCCCAACAGGTCTTAGCCTCATTTTCTCCAGCCTCTAAAGATGGAATTGCTCTGGTTCAAATGCTTCTGGCAATGACATTCAGATCAGCAAGGATACAGAGTTGTCTGTTATGACCCAATGTAGACTAGGTTAAAACTCATTGTAGTACTAGTATAATCTAAGACATTGCTGTCCAGAAGAACTTTCCACAATGATATAAATGTCCAAAAGTGTAGTCACTAACCAGAGGTAGCTGTGGAACCCTTGAAATGTGACTTGTGCAACTAAGGAACTGAATTTTTAGTTGCATTAATTTTAATTAAGTTGAAATTAAATTTAAATTTACATAAGGCTGGTGGCTACCATATTAGAAACACAGTTCTATGAGATTGCTTCCATGATGCTATCTCCTGACAATGGAGAAAGCTTATCAAGACTCCCTCCAGGACCAAGGTAGTTTCCCTGAGGCCAAGAGCTTCTTCAAATAGCAAAGCTGTGAACAGGTTACTCAAGTAATTCATCTGATCCCTTTGTATAACCAGGAGAAGCTCTGCTGTTCACCAGAGCAGCCAACTCTTTTATAAGAGGTGCTAGCAGGGCTTTTAATTTTCTGTTGATTCTGCACAGTCACTGTCTAGTAATAAAGGACGGACCATTCTGACCAACTCACTGCTGCCCTTTTGTGCCTAACCAAAACCACCCCTGTGGATAGGCAAATGTCCCAGAAAACATCAGCCCCGTGGTGGCCTGGAGCTAGGCGGAATTTAGCTCAGAGTAAAGATATGTTACAAATTAAATGTTGCAGTTGGTATGTAAAGCTGTAATAAATAGAAACTGAG
This sequence comes from Homo sapiens, assembly GCF_000001405.40. Lineage (NCBI taxonomy): Eukaryota > Metazoa > Chordata > Mammalia > Primates > Hominidae > Homo > Homo sapiens. The sequence goes on from NC_000003.12 coordinate 54,983,833, forward strand.
TTACATCAAGGACGGAATTAAACCTTAAGTTTAAACTCCACAGCACTGTAATTAAAACTTAGCCTGTAGCAAATCATTCACTTGAGATTAAAGTAGTGTGGGGGAAGCAGAGGTTTGGGCTTACCTTGCTTTCTACAATTTATAAGTCTGAGCTACCAAAAGCTAACGGCCCTGCCCCCAAATCCAGCTCCCAATTAAAAACACAGTTTGAAAACCTTTAGGAGGCCTGAGGGGCCCCTTTAACAGAAGTCTGCCCCTTCCCCCCTGCCTCAGTCTATGAACAAATTAAAAAATATTACCTGGTCCCCTGATGGTCCTCTGAGCTGACACGGTGTTTTCATTAATACATCATTAGAGTAATGACATTGTGCTGGCGTTTTGCTTTCAAAACAGCCTGCACTTCAACCGCCAATACAGGCTTGGGGGCTTCTGAGCACTTTGTTCCTGGGAAATATTATTCAGGTCATATAAAGAAAAAAAAAAAGGAAGACAAACTGTAATTCATCATTTTTTAATGCAATTTTATTCCAATCTGGATCATTCAAGACTCGTTCAGTCTTTTATTTTTGTTAGTTTTGCAAAGTAAACACCGGGGTTATCTTAACCGTGGCCTTAAAGCCTAGAACCAGCAGGCTTTTGCAATTGCCTGAAAACAATTGCTTTCCAAAAAAATAAGTTTGTCTAAGGTTGGAAGTGTGTCATTCTGTTTAAAAGCAGTGTGATGGCCCGAAGTTGAAGCTGTTTTTTTGTTTTTGTTTTTTTTTTAATTTTCTAGACTGTGAATTGTTACCTCATAGACAATAATGGATTTATTTTGGTGTCTGAAGACTACACACAGGTGAGTGAAAATTTTCTACCAGCTCCAAGTAAGGATCTCAGAATGTGCTTGGGTCAGGGGGAACAAATTATGGTGTTAAAACTTGGAGACAATGATCTTTATTTAGGAGGTAATAGCAGGAGATTATAAAACCTTATTTCCATCCCTCTAAGAATGCCACAGTCTGCTTCTCAGCAGGCCCCAAAGAGTTTTTACCTCCCACTGGGGGGTGCAGGGGGGTGACAGTGCCCAGGGTCTGTTCTCTCACTCATAAAATGTTCAATTTATAGAACTCTTAGCCAAAGAGTTGTCTGTGCCACATAAAGAACTTTTGCCTCGAGGGTGGGGTGCCTTAAATAGTTTGGGCAACTTTAAGGTTTTTTTCCTTCCGATATTTCATCTTCATATGTGTGCACACACATACACGTATGTTTCTACATAATTATTGTTTATGGCTTTCGTTCTGGTTTTTGCTTTTTAAAAATCAGTTATCTGAGTTCAAGGATTAACAGCTTGGGCTCTCAACACCGAGGGACAAGGGTCCAGAGATAGAAGAGGAATATTCTTCATTTGACTGCACCATGTGCAGTGTAGGGGTGGGAGGGAGAGAGATGAAAAGAAACCAAGCTGTGGACTTGAGCACAGAAATCTCCACTCTGCCTGGAAATCAAAATAAGAGTTAAAGTCGATGGTACTGTAATAGAAAAACGAGTTTTTCCATTCAAATTTTCTGCATTAAAACTTTTCCTGCAATTAGAAATTACATTAACGTATAAAAAAAGGTAAAATACAAACAAGTTCAACAGTGCATATAATAAAGTAACGCCATCACAGGAGGAAGGTGGTTTCTGATGTTAGCTCTCTTCCTTAACTAGTTTTGGGATCATCAGCAAGTTCCTTAACTTGTCTAGACCTCTAGATAGGCTCTGTGCAATGAGGATGGTTGACGATATAAGGTTTCTTCTAATTCAAATATTTGAGTATACTAATACATTATAATGAAGTCTCTTTTAAATCATTTAAAATTCTTTAGTAGTCAGCAGTATGATAGGTTCACTGCTTAATCAATTAGTTAATTGTCCTTAAGTGTGGCTTCTTAGGGTCTGAAATGAATGGTTTGGTAATTTATAAACAGGGGCTCCAGGAAACTTGAGGAATTGTGCTTTCATTTCCTGTCTTATTTTATGAGAATGTTGTAGGATTTTCAGTGCCCCTTGGTTGCGCTATTGAGACTCAAAATGCCCATTCCCAGTCTCCTCTGATGCTTTACATCACTAGACATGGGACAGTCCGTGGACATTAGATAGGATGAATGGGCCCATGAAACAAGGCCAGTCCCTGAGACAGCAGGAAAGTCCTTTGGCCTATAGTTATATGCCCTGTTGGCTGGGAGGAGGAACATAGGCATTCAAGAATCTATGGAGCAAGAATACACATTAGTTGCCTAGAGGGAGGAGCTCTAGTCTTCTGCTCTACTCATGTAGGGGTGAGAGAGGAATGATCCCGGGGCTCAGGAAGGGTGCAGTGGATGTCTTCCGGGGGTGAGTCCTGGAGCAGCCAACAAATGATGGAAACAGTGTCTCTGTTTCAGCCATGAGCAGCCATGGCCACTACAGATTCTCTGCTCTATGTCTCCATGGAATAAGCCTGCGATAGACCCAGTGAGTTTGCCAGCCTGCTCAGCCTGGGCTTGTTTGATGTTGTCTGACTTCCTGTGCCCCAATTAGGATAATTCTTCATCTAACAACCAGTTTCATTGAAACTGGCACATTACACACACGAAATACAAATGTCCTTCTTGCTCCTAGCAGTAGTACACGCCCACAGAGTTTGCAAAAGTTTCCAAGTTTCCCTGTAGTGAAAAAGGAAGTGGTCAATATTCAGTCAGAGAAATGTTGTTTCCTTCTTCCTCCTTTTCTCCCCCTTTACATTTTGCCAAAGTTTATATATGTGTCTTGCTACCTGAAAACTCCCAGGAGTGTGGTTGAGGTCACTCAGTTAGTTGCAATGGAATTGGGGTTTAGTTAATACAAAGCCTACGGAATATACATAATTTGGATTCTTATTGCAGTGCCCTCCACCCACCCACCCACCCACTCACAAGCTACAAATCTTCAGAGCACCCAGAGTAGAGATGGGGCTTCTCTTCTGGTCAACACTGGCTCATTTCAGCATGTTGGCAGAAGGCCCTTACTGCAGGCTCTGTTCCATGCACTGCGTACGCCCTCCCCCATGGGACACCTTGCATGATAGTAGCTCCAGAAATTCAGAGGGCATGCATGAGGATGTTAATTCTTCATTCCACCAAAGTTTGCAAATCTTGGCCAGCACCAAGAAGTAGACTTACAAAAACATCAGCCTGGTGGTGGGGAATGACTGCAAAGCTTCGAATGACCTTAAGACAGCCTCAGGTGTGGGGTAGGCCATTAGAAGTCTCATTGGCCATGCTGTCTCCTCAAGGGGCTGGATAGTCTTACTCTTGGTCAACATGTCAACTGCCTATGACAAAATGAAAGTGATCCTCAGAAAGTGATTCTGAGAAAGGGTGGATTCTCAACTGCAGGAACTTTATTGGGCTGATGAAGTGGACTGCTGTATTTCCCTAAACAGGTCGTCCAGGAATTATAAACAATTCTTTTTATTAGTGCTTAGGAAGCCCTCTCATAGTCTGTTTCTGCCTATATGAAGTAGTGTTTTAATCACACGGGATTATGTGCATATTACTACCTACTCCATCCAAGGGTAGTGGGGTATGTGTGTGTGCACATGTGTGTGCATGCGTGTTTTAATTTCAGCATTCAGCATGGGTTACGCAGCCCCCTCCCACGTACTGTGGAAGCATTCACATCTGCTCTCTAGTTTGCTGTGTAATCCCATGAGTTCTCATGACTGTTAAAACCTTTTCCACTTTCCTGAAAACCTGCCTTTTGCTCCTGTCAGTTCCAGGACACAGACTGTGTCCCTTTTCATTTCTTCTCTCCTGTTTGGGCACATTATTTATCTACACCTCCTCATATGTCTTCTTCCCCATAGACTGGAGACTTTTTTGGTGAGATCGAGGGAGCTGTGATGAACAAATTGCTAACAATGGGCTCCTTTAAAAGGTAAGGGTTTTATGGTCCACTGCATTCCCCCCAAAAGTTTTCCTAAATAAAATAAAACAAGCCAAGGTCAAATAAAGCAAGCCCAGACTTGACCCTGTGGCTGGTTTTTACTTGTGTTCATGCTCCAAAAGATCTCTCTGAAATTCGATGCCTCTTGCACGAGTGTTAGAGTGTTAGAGTCTTAGAAACTCAGTTCACAATGAGTTTCCTGTTCACCCAGCAGAGCATTTATTGGAGGCCAGTATTGAAGTAGGAGGCTGCACTGTGATGTGATTATGTCAGTCTGAAGCAAGTCACTGCGAAGAAGTAGGAAAGGTTTTCACCTGGCCGGAAGGGTGGAGTGTATTTTGTCTCCTATTGATTAACCTGGGAAGCTCCCTAGAAATCTGGAACTTGGGGATGAAAGGTGGTATTTAGAGACTTCTTGATGTTGTTTTAGAAAATCAAGTGAAAATTCTCAAAATCCGCTCTTGATGGAGGTAAGTTTAAGTCTGCTTCTGGAAGAAAACCTAGATGGTGCCAAATTCCACAGGTGGCAGATACTGACTACTCATCCAGGTGTAAGAACTCTCGCTGATCCTGAATAAAGCTTGTGTAGAGCAGCTTCCTTATGGCCCCATGTCCCTCATGGGCAGGCCAGCCATGCTCTTGGGAATACCTAAACTTCTGGGAAAAGCCATCATCCCATGAGATCGGGTGTTAGAATGCCTCCCTGGGGGTCCATGCTGTCTCCCTTCCCTTGGCCTCCCAGGAAGAATGTTAGCCTTTCAAGTGGTGCTTTAATGGGCATATTTGATGCTGTTAAATATATAATGGCAGGAAATGCAAGGATGGCCCTCCAGCTTCCCTGAGAGATCCATTGCACATCGGTGGCCAGTGGGTAGGCAGGCCCCTGGTTTATTACTCTTCTGCGGCTGAATGGCTAGGAAGTGTTAGCTCAGGAAATCAGACTTTTAAGCTAGTCAACAAGACCAACTGAGCACTTTGCTGAAAGCAGGGAATTCAAAAATGATGACCCAGTGTTTGAAATTCCATAGCTTGTTTGTGCCAGAAGGGAAGAAAAAAAAAAGAAATGATATAAGAACCTGGCCTAGTGCCAGCACTTCTGCAATCTCTGACATACTTGCTTGCTCTCAGGCCTGCCTGTAGCAGATCGTCCCCTCCTGCTCCCTTCCCTTCTAAAAAAAATTCAAGTACAGTTTTCTTCTTTGCTGGGAGTCATTGTACACATGCTTGAAAACTCTGCTTGGATCTGGGCTGGAGTGGCTGTGGAGTTTTCCACCACTTCTTCAAGCTTCCTGCAGCAGCTCCTGGCCTGCCATCCACGGCACCACTGACTTTTCCTATCTTTATGTGGATGTGTGCATTTGTATCATGTTAACTTCTTTTCAACTTGGTGGGGGGAGGAGACAAAAGATGAGGAATAATCGCACACGTGTTTCTCATTTGAAAGCACATTTTTCAACTTCTTTAACAAACCTATTTTTTCCTCTCCCTCTTGGATATTCCTTTCAAACTGTTTGGTGGGAGAAAGAGAAAGGGTGTAATGGAATTTTGAACCTCTAGTCTTCTCCTTCATGTGGGTGAAGTACAGTTGGCATGAATCTAGAACTTCCTTTTACTACAAGAGTAGCCAACATATTTGAGAAAAAGGAAGGGCTGGGAACTCAGTTATTACAGCAACTGCTGTCATCCAGGAGCAAGTTGACAAACCTCCTGGGCTTCTTTGACGGGCCTCCTCACTGGGGCCAGTAGAGCATTGAGAGTTTGATTTTTGGAGTCAGACAGACTGGGGTCAAATCTAGGCTCTGACATTACCAGCTGCTTGATTTAGTCAGATTACCTCTCCAAACACTGGTTTCTCTACATGGAAAATGAAGATGACAATAATTACTTCCAAGGGTTGCTGTCAGAGCTAGTGAGATCATAGTAAGCATAAAGTTCTTAGCACAGAACTTGGCATGTATGAAGAGCTCAATTAGTTGTGAGCTGCAGCCATGATTTTTGTTGTCGATCTTTGTTCTGTCTTGAATTTGCTTTCCACTTAGCACCAGGTATTGCTTCATCTACATTTACACGTCTCCCTACAGGCTTCCTATGACACCATATGATGGGTCTCTGGTGTTGGAGGACCACAGTCCTTGCAATCACACATTTGTGCCCTTGCCTTTCCCAGCATGCAGTGCTTGCTCAGAGCATAAGGTTGACACTCCTGTCATTCAGAGAAGATCTATAGTTCAGAAGCAGTGAAAGGATATAGTTGGCTGTAACTGACAGCACTCTGGATCAGAAGTCATGCACCATATTGAATTGAGCCCACCCTCAAACATGGGTTACATGAAGCTGCGTTGCTCTGGTGCTGTGGTTAGCCCAGGTGAAACTCGAGATCAGTTTACTGTGCTGACCCCTCATCTCAGCATCTTGGACAGCACCGGGCTGGCCCTCAGTTTCTTTATCTGATAGTCTTATACCCAGTCCTAAAGAAACAAATTTCAGACCGGGTGCAGTGGCTCACGCCTGTAATCCCAGCACTTTGGGAGGCAGAGATGGGTGGGTCACTTGAGGTCAGGAGTTCAAGACCAGCCTGGCCAACAAGGTGAAACGCTGTCTCTACTAAAGATACAAAAATTAGCTGGGCATGGTGGTGTGTGCCCATAATCCTAGCTAATTGGGAGGCTGAGGCAGGAGAATTGCTTGAACCTGGGAGGCGGAGATTGCGATAAGCCGAGGTCATGCTACGGCACTTCAGCCTGGGTGACAGAGCGAGACTCCATCTCAAACAAAAAAAAGAAAGAAAGAAAGAAACAAGTTTCATGCACAAGAACTCCACAAACCATCTTCTCCAGAAAGACAGAGCTCCAAGAGGAGAGCACTACCTCCCTTCATAGCCTCCCCTTTGTTTCTCTGTCTTGGTCATTTTGCTGCCTCTCTCCAGGGAAGCAAGGTGATGCTTGTCTGGGTGACAGCAGACCTCTCCCCTGACCATTCTGACCACTCACCTCGTGACCCATTGGCTGTTCTACCTGACAGTGCCATCAGAGGGAAAGAACATCCACTTCTGGGTCTGTAGTGCAGGCAGAAGGAAAACCACTGATTTATGTGAACAAATTAACAACTTGAAAGAATTTTGAGAAAGTCTCACAGCAGCGTGTGAAACAATCTAAGAGGCAAAATTGACCACTCTTGGGCACTTTAGTTGACTCTTTGACCTGACTCTAGCCAGCTTACATATGACCTAGTATCCAGGATCCAACTCACAGACCAATAGGTTCAGCAGCATGACAGTAATAATCATGGCTGCGTTCGCTGAGCACCCACCAGACTCCAGGCTTGGCTTGTCCTTGACAGATCTTACCTCTTTGCAGGCTTTCCAGTAACTCTGAGACAGGCATAAATAGGACCAGTTGCACAATTTGCAGGGCCCAGTGCAAAATAAAAATGTGGGGCCCTGTGTTCAAAAAGTGTCGAGTATTTTTTTTTTTTTTTTTGAGACAGAGTCTCGCTTGTTGCCCAGGCTGGAGTGCAGTGGTACAATCTCAGCTCACTGCAACCACCGCCTTCTGGGTTCAAGCGATTCTTCTGCCTCATCCTCCCGAGTAGCTGGGACTACAGGTGCACACCACCATGCCCAGCTAATTTTTGTATTTTTAGTAGAGACGGGGTTTCACCATGTTGGCTAGGCTGGTCTTGGACTCCTGACCTCAGGTGATCCCCCCAACTTGGCCTCCCAAAGTGCTAGGATTACAGGTGTGAGTCATCATGCCCGGCCTCTTGCAACTATGAAGAGAAAATCTAGTCTCAAAATCCTTTCATTAGAATTTGTTTACCCCTGGTAATGCAAATTCAATGTTGTCATGTATCTAGGGAAAAGGGAGAAAATACAGCCTGTCATAGGAGTCTTCTTCTTTCAAGGTTCCTGACGGGGCCTTTGTGATACTCTGGACTTGAAATAAGAAGACTTCAGGTTGAGCACAAGATTCTCCACTGTGTGGCCATGGACGGTGTCGTCAGCCTCTCTGAGCCTGTTTCTTCATTACCAAAATAGGGATCTCAATGGATTTTCTGAGAATTAACTAAAATACAATATGTTAAAATGCTTTTCAAATTGCAAAGCCATTGCAAACAGGAGATAAGAATACCTTTTGAGTAGAGTTCCATATGTCTGAGTTCTTCTTATTTTCCAATTTTCTCCTGTTTTGTTTTGTTTGTTTGTCTTATTTTATCACTAATAACCCCCAAAGGATAGTTACTACATAGCAGTTACCTTTACAGCACAGTGTTGGGGTGATTCATGGACCTGAACTCTCTTGTGCGTTAGCATCCCTGGGGACCTTTAAAAACACTCCAAGTTCAAGCTGCAGCCCAAGAAATCGTATATTAAGTTGATTTGGGGATGTTGCCCAGGCACTTGTGCTCTTTAAAAGCTTCTCTGTGATTCTCATGTGCAGCCAGCATCAAGACACGAGGTTAAAAGCATGGTAGCAGTCTAGCTACTACGCTCTTAGGAGTCACCTGATCTTTGCAGCAAAATAGGATGAAAATAATTATTCATATACCTACAAGTGAGGGATATATGGAATGATATGTGAGTAACTGAGGTGTCCCCAGCTTAAAGGTACATACATGCCTACAGCCCACCCTCCTGAGTGTGGGCACTCAGCTTCCTTCCTGGATGTCTCCCATTGTGACCACAGGGGAGATCCCTGCAGGACACAATCAGCTGGCACAAATGAATCATATCACAAAGTGAGAGCTCCTGGCGGTCCTCTCTGATCCACAACTTCTACCTTTCTCTGTTTCCTCTGTTCTTTCTCCTCTTTTTAGACTTCTAAGCAATGTCTGAATCCGTCTCTTCCTAGAGGGAAGAGCCCCCAGCCCATCTTTTTGAGGTCAGCTTCTTGGATTATCTTCTTGTCCCTGCATCCTCCCCTTAGGGTGTGATGGGAGGGGCCCCCACCTTCAGTGTCTTGATGGTGCTTGTGTTAGTCGGTTCTCACACTGCTATAAAGAAATACCTGAACAACAAGAAAAAAAAAAAAAAGAAAAAAGCAGTACCTGAGACTGGGTAATTTACAAAGAAAAGAGGTTTAATTGACTCACAGTTCCACAGGCTGTACAGGAAGCATGGCTGGGGAGGCCTCAGGAGACTTACAACCATCACGGATGGTGAAGGAGAAGCAGGCATGTCTTCACATGGCTGAAGCAGGAGGAAGAGGGAGGAGGAGATGTGCTAAACACCTTAAAACAACGAGATCTCGTGAGCACTCACTCACTATCACAAGAGCAGTACCAAGGGGGGAAATCTGCCCCCATGATGCAATCACTTCCATCTGCCCCCATGATCCAATCTCGGCCCCACCTCCAGCATTGGGGATTATAGTTCAACATGAAATTTGGGTGAGGACACAGATCCAAACCATATTAGCACTTTACTCTCCTAGAGGCCCCTGGGGGGCACTGGAACTACTGATGCTAGGGCAAAACACTAAGCACATAGACAGCAAGGATAACACTCTGGGTTAATCTCAGGTAGGGCACCTTGCTCCAGCAAAATATCTAGCAGATTGCTAGTAAGACATGAAAAAGCAAAGGCTCTTCCACCCTTTTCCAATTCCTCTCCTCCCTTCCCCTTGTAAGTAATGTAATACATCTTGCCTGAGTTCTGCGGAGCTGGGCACCAACCTGGACATGAAGTGCCATTTGTTACATGAGAAGCACAAATATGACTTTTAGGACATTTGAGCCAGGGAGACCGAAGGGAAAGTTGAAATGAGTTCAATATGGAGCCCAAGGAAAGAGCAAGAGCCTTCAAAAAACAGGTAAAGAAAGAAATCTTTACTGAAGGATGAAAATGTGGCTGTTATCAAATATCCAGAACTTGAGGGTTTGCCCTGGGTTTTTTGCTTTTACCAACATACTTGTGATTTCTGGAAAGACCAAAGGCTCTTCCCTTGTTCTTTGTCTATCTGATTATGCTGGAGGCCAGAAAGACCAATGGAGCACACCTGGCCCTTGGCTTGCCAGGAAATGGACTGCTCTCGTCGAGCCACCAGTAGTACCTATCTTTCATGGCCATTGTCTTATCTGTCTCTCTCTCTCTCTTTTTTTTTTTTTTTTTGGTTGCAACTGCTAGTGTGTGTGTGTGTGTGTGTGTGTGTGTGTGTGTGTTTTGTGTGTGTGTGTGGTTTTGCGTGGTTTTTGTTGTTTGTATTTCTGCTGTGCTTGGTGCAACACGCTTGAGCTTTTACCTGTCCAAGGCCATTCATATTTTCCCTATGGGATCTGGCAAATGTCCTTGTCGCTGCACCCCACAAGTGTTCATTAACATGGCTGGCTTGTGTGGAATTCCCTGTGGCAGCTTCTGCTATTTAAATCACCTTTCTAAAAGGTGACACATCCAGGTAGAATCCAAGATCTGTATCATTTCTACTCCTGTCTCTGTGTGGTGGGACTTGGGAGCTTTCCCTGTCTTTGGTAATCACATTACACTTCAGCGAGTGCCCTGGCCTTGGAGTGTAGAGAGTGTTAAAGGAGAATTCTGTTATGTTTGGATGGCTGCTCGCCTTTAATGCCGACTGCCCCGCTGATGTCTAATACTCAACAACTCATGTAATGAGTGTAATGGCTTCGTGGCTTCCTGCTGACCTGACCATGTCCTCAGAATTATGCTTTGTCAGAGGTGGCATTGAAGGGAACAAGGAGACAGATTGGTTTGGACAAGTATATTTCTGGGCCAAACTTTCTGGAAGGCAGAGACATGGAGCTTCCAATGAACCACTCTTTAAAATCCAAAAGCTGCTGCTTGAGCATCCCCAGTTACAGCAATAACAGTAACTGCCCTCATCTTCATCATCATGCAGTCTGTCTCACTTATTAAATACTAACTATAGGCAAGGCATTATTCCAGGCAGTTAACATGCATTACCTTAATTAATTCCCATCACAATTCCATGAAGTAACTACTATTATTATTTCCATTTGACAAACAAGGGACTAGAAGTGGAGGCTCCCAGCAACTTGTCAAGCTCTCTCACAGGCATGAGTGAGAAGACAGAATTTGAACTCATGTCTCTCAGATTCCAGAGCATGTTCTCCTGATAACCATTCATGTCTTCTCCATAGTTGGAGCAGACTAGCATATCTTCTGCAGAGTTTTTCTTTTTACATTCATATTTGCTCTGCCTTAAGAGATAGAGAAAGAAAGTCTTTCTTTTTATTTATTTATTTATTTTTTCTTGAGATGGAGTTTCGCTCTTGTCACCCAGGCTGGAGTGCAATGGTGCAATCTTGGCTTACTGCAACCTCTGCCTCCCGGATTCAAGCGATTTTCCTGCCTCTACCTCCTGAGTAGCTGGGATTACAGGCGCCCGCCACCATGCCCAGTTAATTTCTGTATTTTTAGTAGAGACAGGGTTTCGCCATGTTGGTCAGGCTGGTCTTGAACTCCTGACCTCAGGTGATCCAACTGCCTCAGCCTCCCAAAGTGCTGGGATTACAGGTGTGAGCCACTGCACCTGGCCAAAGAAAGTTTTTTAATCAAACTTAGAGTCCAATGTATTAGTTAGAATTGGTCCAGCCACAAATAACAGGAAAATCCAAATTAACAGGGACGACTTAAAGAACATAAGAGGTCTTTTTTCATCTCTTATGGTAAGGAAGTCTAAAAATACTAATTTGGGACCCTCACGTTACAGACCCAGGACCACAACTTTTTCTTCTACCTTTCTCCAAGATGGCTTTTAAGTTCAAGGTTACCTCATGATTCAATGTAGCTGCTGAGCCCCAGCCATCATATCTGCAATTCAGGCTTGCAAAAGAAGAGTTCAGGGAGTTCCAAAAGCTCCAAAAGGCCAAGTTTCAAATTACTTTTTAATAAATGCTTTAAATAAGATTTTTAATGTATTAAGCAGCCTCCCATACAATACTTGTGCTTAATCACTTGGCCTTACCTCACTACAAAGGAACCTGGGAAATGTGCATATTAAAAAGTCAGAGTTCTGCTCACCAGAAGAGGAGAATAGTTATTGTGAAACTACTGATAGTTTCTACCACATCCAGCATGCCCCAGTTTGCTTCAAACTATATGAGTCCTCTGGCTTCCTCTGATAACCCCTTTGGAACTCCTTGAGTGATGGGGCTGTATTCATAACTCTTCTCCTAGTCTTCCCTCCCCACAGCATGCCCAATGCGGTCCTGAACACAGATTGTCATAGCCACCTTCTAACCACCTGTCCGTGTGCCTGCCTGACCCCAGACAATGGAAGTAGGAACATTCAATAACACCTGTTGGGTTTTATGAATAATAATCATAACAGCAGCAATACCAACACTCAGAGGTACTAACATTTATTAAGCCTCAATGACATGCCCCACACTGCCAAGTGCAGTACAGGCATCATTGTGGTGCAGTTGCTATGAAATATGGACCTGGCTTCACGAATGTGGCAGAGCCCAAGGACGCTTCCCCAGAATCAGCTCTCCTGCTTCAAATGGGTTTTGCATTAACTCATTCCCAAAGCAGAATTCAGCTTTTTCCTTCTAAGGAGACAAAAGAAATTTAATATTTTCTATATTGAATTAATTGTGATTCCATTTTCCCCTTCAGTTTCATAAGTGAAGCTAATTTCCATGGGAGGGGCTGCGTGAATGGGCAAACCAGCTGGCAGCTAGGTGCATTTACTGGGCACCCATGAATTTGATCACTTGCCCCAGGAGCAAAGCAAATGCGGTTGGTAGAGCAACATCCGCTCTGAGTGGGGACAGGGACTGTCTTGATGCTTGAAGTTTGTTGGTCTCCCCAGGGCCACCTTCTTTCAGAGGACCCTCTCTTCTTGGCTCTGGGGCACTCACACTTGTTTATCAAATCAGTGCTGCTCTCCAGGACAATGGGAAACTGTTTATCCTTGAGGTTTGCAGGTGGCACCTCCTATTTGGTGAGTCAAGGAAGTACCCCTGAATGTGTCCAGACTGGTACTAAGCCCTGGGAGGATGCGTCTGGGTTTTAAAGTGGAACCAACCCAAATGCCCATCAATGATAGACTAGATAAAGAAAATGTGGCACATATACACCATGGAATACTATGCAGCCATATAAAAGGATCAGTTCGTGTCCTTTGCAGGGACATGGATGAAGCTGGAAACCATCATTCTCAGCAAACTAACACAAGAACAGAAAACCAAACACCACGTGTTCTCACTCATAATTGGGAGTTGAACAATGAGAACACATGGACACAGGGAGGGGAACATCACACACCGGGGCCTGTCAGGGGGTGGAGGACTAGGGGAGGGATAGCATTAGGAGAAATACCTAATGTAGATGATGGGTTGATGGGTGTAGCAAACCACCATGGCACATGTATACCTAGGTAACAAACCTGCACATTCTGCACATGTATCCCAGAACTTAAAGTATAACAAAACAAAAAATAAAATAAATAAAGTCCAGTTCCTGCCTGCAAGCTACTTACAGTTAAGGTGAGAGGGGAAGAAACAACACAAGAAAATGCAAGTGAGGTATATCACATTCTAAAATTCATGGCTGTCAAACCTGTTTGCACATTAGAATTCCTTAGGGAGCTTAAAAAATAGCCCCACCCCAGACTAATGAAATATTGCAGATAGGAGGTGAGATGCTAGGTATCATCATGTATATAAAATTACTTTGGCCCGGCTCAGTGACTGATGCCTGTAATCCCAGCACTTTGGGAGGCCTAGGTGGGGGAAGTGCTTGAGCTCAGGAGTTCGAGACCAGCTTGGGCAACCACATCCAGCACGTGAAACCTCATCTCTACCCACCCCCACCCAAAAAAAAAGAAAAAAATTAACTAGATATGGTGACATGCACCTGTAGTCCTAGCTATCCAGGAGGCTGAGGCAGGAGGATCGCTTGAACTGAGGAGTTGAAGGCTACAGTGAGCTATGTGCCACTGCACTGAAGCCTGGGTGACAGAACAATACCCCATCTCAAAAGAGAAAAGAAAAGGAAAGAAAATTTATTTGAAGTTCCCCAGGTGATTCCAAAGGGCAGCCAACGTTGAGAATCACTGTTTTAAACAAATGCCAATGTGTATGCCTTAGGAATTGAGAGTGAGTTTACATCCAATTTTCCAGATTCTTCGATGAGGCCTCATCAGAGGCCCATGAGATCCCTAAGGAGCAAGATATCCCTTGGGAATTCATGTTTGGGAAGCAGTTTAAGTGTGCAGCTTTAAACTATGAGACCTGGACTAATAATCCAGCCCCTTTGATTACTAGCGTGCTGATAATCTTGGACCTGTGACTTCATCTGTCTGAGACTTAGTTTCCCCTTATATAAAATATGACCATCAGAGATAATGTCAACACTGCTGACAGAAAGTAATCAATTAATTCTTTTTTTTTTTTTTTTTTTGAGATGGAGTCTTGCTCTATTGCCCATGCCCAGGCTGGAGTGCGGTGGCACAAATCTCAGTTCACTGCCACCTCCGCCTCCTGGGTTCAAGCAATTCTCATGTCTTAGCCTGCCGAGTAGCTGGGACTACAGGTGCGTGCCACCACGCCAGGCTAATTTGTATTTTTAATAGAGATGGGGTTTTGCCATGTTGGCCAGGCTAGTCTTGAACTCCTGACCTCAAGTGATCGGCCCACCTTGGCTTCTCAAAGTTGTGGGATTACAGGCGTGAGCCACCACACCTGGCCTTTAATCAATTAATTCTTATGGTTACTGTTCTTCTTACCTGGGTAAGATGCTGATGGGATTAATATCTCAGTATCTACAATTTTGTTTCTCTTTATATTATCAGCACCTGTTGATGAAAGGTGTTGATTTGGTGCCAACAGACCCTCTGCTTAATCCACCAAATGAGTGACGCTTTCTTGTTGCTCCCCATTCAGTGTTCAGCAGTGAACCCTGGGAGGTCCTGATAGCCTGTGTGGTTTATTCTTGGCTAATGATGGGTGCTCATTAGCTAAAGTTGGTTTTTGTTTTGTTTTGTTTTGTTTTGTTTTGTTTTGTTTTGTTTTGTTTTTTGAGATGGAGTCTTGCTCTGTCGCCCAGGCTGGAGTGCAGTGGCGTGGTCTCAGCTCACTGAAAGCTCCGTCTCCAGGGTTCACGCCATTCTCCTGCCTAAGCCTCCCGAGTAGCTGGGACTACAGGCACCTGCTACCATGCCCGGCTAATTTTTTATATTTTTAGTAGAGACGGGGTTTCACTATTTTAGCCAGGATGGTCTCGATCTCCTGACCTCATGATCCGCCCGCCTTGGCCTCCCAAAGTGCTGGGATTACAGGCGTGAGCCACCGCGCCCGGCCAGCTAAAGTTGTTTAACTAATTTCCAGTTGGAGGGCTCAAAGGCAGTAGGACCAGGGTTTTGTAAATTCACTGCCTCTGCTGTGTTAGAGACACTGCACCAATCTTAAAGAACAGTGCCATCTCTGCAAGAAGTTGCTGTGGGATGAGATGATGACTGATACGAGCAGGAGAGAAGGGAGAGCACATTTTGAATCTTCTATTAGCACTCCTATCAACAGGTTGAGCCTTCTACTTTCCTGGCTTTCTGAGATGTAAGAATGAGTAAGGGCTTCCCATGGCGACGGTCTCTTTGTTAAGAATTTCCTATGTTCCTCCCCCATGCCTTTTCAATTGCAAGTTGAAAGCTGCCCCCAGAGGACACATTTTATAGCGCAACAAAGAAGACATATTTTTACATGCTACCTTAGTGAGTCATTTTGCTTCTCAGACTTTTCAATTCGGAATTGCTTAATTATGTCCCATGATAGGTCTCTATGTCTAATGCCTCCCTTGTCCTGTTTTTAGGGCTGTATTTGCAGACATTAAGCTGTTTCAAGATTGTTTTTAGGCCAGTTGTTTAGCCAAAGTGAGCTAATTTGATGAATCATTACAGGAAAATTACCTGGCCTCACGGTACATAGTAGGTGTTTAATAAATGTTGAGCCCCACAGTTGCTAACCACCCCTAAATTAGCCAGCCTAAATTAGCTGAGCTTATGCTGTTAAAATGCAGCCTGCTAATTCTTAGAGCAAATATTTTTCTTGGTCAGGATTTTTGTCTAGTTGGAAAAGAAAGAACAGTATCAGCAAAATGGCTTTAAACATGTCTTAATGTCATGAGTTTGTCATCCAAGGCTCTACCCAGCATGGGTGCAGGGCTACCAGGCTTTGTTTGTATTGCTTTGAGTTGTTTCTTCAGAGGCCGTATCTGCCTTCTGTCAAAGTTTAAAGTTTCAAAGTTCCACCATCCATGTGGGCACACAGCGATGCTAATGATAAGGTTGGTTGGAGTAGCCTGGTGGTGATGTCATGGGGATTAAGGCATGTTATCTGTAATAAGAATACACCCCCACTGCTGAGTGCAGCTGCACACAGCACCAGTCTTGGGCTGGGCATGATTCTCAGAGCTGATTTTAGAGTCAAATGAAAGCAGGCAATTATCATGTTCTTTAACTGTAATCAGCCGAACAGGATACAGGTAGCCGCAAAATGGAGTTATTTAAAACAGTAACAAAGTCACTTCAAAAAGGGTAATAATCTGGAAGTCTCCTGCTGCAATATCTAGTTAAAGCTGTCCAAGTGTGGAGAAGACAGGGAAGGCTTATTTTGTAACCTCGTCAATGGCAATAGTATCAGGAAAGCCTCCTTTTGAAATAGAGGAGTGGGGAACAAGGGGAGGGAGAGTGTTAGGACAAATATCTAATTCACATGGGGCTTAAAACCTAGATGATGGGTTGATAGGTACAGGAAACCACCATGGCACATGTATTCCTATGGAACAAACCTGCTTGTTCTGCGCATGTATACTATAACTTAAAGTAATATTTAAAAATAAATAAATAAATAAAAGGAACCTTGGCCTGGGGGCTGCCCCAGAGCAATTTAGTTTAGCCCCAACATGTAAACTAGAGCCTTTGAAAATGATCCAAGGAGAATCCTGAGTTTCCTGCCATCTGTCAGAGTGGTTACCATGGTAAGAAGTATTCACAAGTGCAGCCAGCTGTTCCAGTCTGGCCTGGTGACTCATCAGCCCTTCAGCTTGGGTTGAAAGTTGATTCTGGACATTGGTTATCTTGGGCAGCATTTTTTGTGACATTCCAATAAGACCCTGGGCTGGGGAACAGGTCTGAAGCCTAAGCATTTCTTAGAATCTGTCAGAGCCTGCTTCTGAGCAGAGAGCAAAAGGTGGTGGATTCAGCTTGGCCCCCTACTAAATCTGGCTCTATCACCAATGATCTATGTGAACTTGGGCATATTTATTTAGGCTGGCTAAGACTTGGTTTTCCCCTCTGTAAAATGGAGATGATTATAATCTATCTTATAGGGATGTGTTTAGAGGAGTACCTCGCTTATGGTTGCTAAACAGAGTTCAGTACACATCAGCTGTTGTTATCATTGCCTTCCGCTAAGAAGCCCATGGACAGAAGTTCCTGCATCATCGCTTGGTAACACCAGCACAGCTTCTGATGGTGTCCTTGTATTGCAGTAGCAAGCATGGATTTTCCTCTGCATTGTCTATGCCAATGAGCTAAGAAAACCGGGAGCCTTGTTCATCTTTCAGCCAGCTGGGTAATGCCTGTGTCAATTCCCATTCCTTTAAACACCAGCCCATTAATTGGTAGTGGCAATGAAAAGATACCAATACTTATAACAGCAGCTATAGCTCTGCCTCCTGTTGGAATACTTCCTCTCTAGCAGGCACTGTGCTGAATGCAACACATAGATAACCTTCTTTAACCCTATGACCACCCTATAAGGTAGTCATTATTCTCACCATTTCACAGATAGGAAACTGAGGCACCAAGAGGGTTAAAAAGACATTGTTGTAAGTGGATGAGTTAGGATTTGAGCTCAGGTATTACTGACTTCAAAGATGGCATTTTCACTATGTCACATTGCCTTCTCTTGAGCCTTTGGGAACAGTGCAGCTTTAAGAGCCCGAACTCTAACAAAGAATAAAATCAGTCTTCTGTTGTAAGGATCTTAACAACGTTGGCACACTTAGAGCATATTTCAGTGTACTTCTACACAGCTGGTTATTTAGATCTCAGAACATCTCTGTAATTGTTTAATAAGTCAGGAAACGAAGCCTTTGAAGAGTACCAGCAAGCTGCTCAAGAATGCACCCTGGAGGCCGAGCGCGGTGGCTCACGCCCATAATCCCAGCATTTTGGGAGGCTGAGGCAGGTGGATCACAAGGTCAGGAGTTCGAGACCAGCCTGGCCAACATAGTGAAACCCCATCTCTACTAAAAATACAAAATTAGTTGGGTGTAGTGGCATGTGCCTGTAGTCCCAACTACTCGGGAGGCTGAAGTGGGAGAATCGCTTGAACCTGGGAGGCAGAGGTTGCAGTGAGCCAAGACCATGCCATTGCACTCCAGCTTGGGTGACAGAGAGTGAGACTCCATATCAAAAAAAAAAAAAAAAAGAATGTACCCTGTATATACGACAGGACCAACTTTTGAAACCATGGCCATCCTGCATCCATGGCTATGAGACTCCAAGCACATGCACATTCCTCTCAACCCCATGCTGCCTCTCACCTGGCTCTGGCACATGTTTTAGGTGTAGAGACAGCATTGGGCAGTGGGAAAAGGATAAGTCAATACCAATTCTTGCCAAATGCTAGAAAGCCCTTGCAGGGGTACCTGTAGAAATCTCCTGAGTGAGGATGGAGATGGTGGCCTGGCGGGCCAGTCAGGGACCAATTAGAGTTGTCCATTGTGGTCTGCAGTTGATTCTGTGACATATCCCGGTGTCTGGGTTAGTGCTAGGGCTGTGTCAATGGTGAGAGCGTTTCTGTGAGAAGTTTGTGCGGGGACATCCCCAAGCCTAATGCTTGGCTGATTTATGGTCTTCGTTTCTGTTTGTGTAAACAAAGCTTCAAAGCTTCTTGCCTGCATCTGTGTAAGGAAAAAAGCCAGAGGACAGTGAAGAAATATTCTGATGAAGAAAAGACCTTGAGGACTGGCTACGTGACCACTGGTATCCCCTTGGGCTTTGCTGCCCAAGGAGTGCTGTGTGATGCTGCTGGTTAGGAGCTGGCTTTGATCTTCCATTTGGTCAAATGTGGCTGGTTTTCTGCTTGGTACCCACAGACGACTGTGTTTAATCCATTTATCGGTAATGTCCGTAAGTTACTGTCCAGATAAGGAGCCTCCACATCACATTTTGCAGTTGACCACTTTGTTCTCATCATCTGTGTAACATTTGTGCAATCAGGCAATCATTTATGCATTCACCCTTTTAAAACTGAATGCCTTCTGTATGCTGGGTGCTGTACTAGGTGCTAGAGGTCGGTGTGAAACAGAGCCAACACCAGTCCTGCTGCATGAAGCTTTTACATCTACAGGTCTTTCCGAGCACAGCAGTAAGTGCACTCAACATTAACCATTGTAGTATTCTAGAAAGGAATTCCTGTGGAGAGAATTTCATCCAGTCATGTAGAAGCACATGTATTAAAGTGTTTAAAATCTCATCTGGCAGTTGTTATGTAACTCAGGCTCGACTTTACATGTCTCTCCTTTGGGCTGCTACTCATGGCAGGAGGGGATGCCGAAGGGAAGGGTGGGAATGCCAGACTCCTTTGGCTATACCTTTCAAGCATGGGATAAGATGTTCATACCATCTAAATACTGGAACATGTGTAGGGGCAAAGAGGGAGAGCTTGCCCCATCATCCCCTGAAGGTTTGCTGAAAATGAACTGACAAAGGGCAGGTGAATAGGAAAAAAAGGCACACAAAATTTATTTTAATATGGACAACACAGGGGAATCATAGTAGAATGGTTACCCAGTAACCCAATGGGGTACAGATGCTTAAATGCCCGTCTTCGTAGGGGAGGGAAAAGGGGGAAATATGGCTACTTGAGGGATAATAAATGATTTTGAGGGGGAAACGAGTGGGCCTAAATGGTTAGTAAATAATTTCAATGGAAATTGAATGGGATGGAGAGCTGACAATGATTTGGGAAGAAGTTGGCCTGGGCTCTAGGTGTGGTGTTTAATTTTCAATCTCTTCCTCTGTAATATGAATTGTAATCTTCTCTTCTCTGGTGAATGAAATGTCAGGAAAGGCAATTGTATTCCTCTTTGGCAGATCTGGCTTTTAGATAGATAAGGGAACTTCAGAAAACAACTGCATCCTGTGGTTTGGGACTGTGTGGTAAGGGAGACAGGGAGCAAGGTCGGAGAAACTTTGAGACTGCTTCAAGTCAAAGCACCATATTTTGGCGTAATGGTTTCTGAGTCCGAACACATGCTACCAGAAATTGCCATTCACCTTTCCTTTGTTGATGGGGGAATTAAAATACATTGAATAATGTTAAAGTAAAACATTTTTGCAACAGAGTAAAGGTCATAATTGGGATGAAAGCCATACTTTTATCGCCAGTGTAGGAAAAAAATGTCCACCTTGTTTTTGTTTCATAAGCTATGCTGTTTTCAAAATAAGGTACATTCACTCTTATGGTGATGACAATAAGGAGTAGGGATTACAATTAGTAAGCCAGCTGGTTTCCTACACTTTGTCAATGTACAGGGCTTATCCTGGTCCAAACCTGTTTCCTGGTGCTTAAGAAACACAGAATCCTGCCATGCTTTATCCCAAAGTGGTTCTTCTTAGTTCTCCTGTCCCTTGGAGACATGGCCCAAGTAAATTCCATCCGGGTCTTAGAATCCAGTTCAGAACAGCACATTCCCTTTGGAATATCTTGCTCAATGCAGACCATCCTTGTTCAGACCAAATGACTGTTTCGTCAAGTTAGATGGGTCCTCATCCCCCTCTACCCTTTCCAATACCTTCGTTCCCTTTGTCCTTCAAATTCCAAGTGGTAACATGACTGTGCCTCCAGCACTGGCCTTTGCCAGGCTCCTTGTTCATCATCCATGTTAGGGCTGCATGGTGTTTGTCACCGTTGCACTTGATGATAGTGACTGCTCACCTTGTAGTACATAGCATCAATTGGTTCCCGTGTTTTCTCATTTAGTGAAGCTCCCTTCCATTTCTTTCCTGTAGAATTACCCTTTATGACTACCAAGCCATGTGTAGAGCCAACAAGGAAAGCAGCGATGGCGCCCATGGCCTCCTGGATGTAAGTACTATGCTGTCACTCAGAAAACAGCCACACATTTCTGTCTTTCTCCCTGTCTGAGTGTTATCTTCCTCTTTGGAGTAATCAAGTTTATCTTTTTGCAAAATCATGAACATTTTGACTTTACTCACTTAAAAAAAAAAAAAAACACTTCAGGCCGGGCGCGGCAGCTCATGCCCGTAATCCCAGCACTTTGGGAGGCCGAGGTGGCTGGATCACTTGGGGTCAGGAGTTTGAGACCAGCCTGGCCAACATGGTGAAACCCTGTCTCTACTAAAAATACAAAAATTAGCCAGGCGTGGTGGCGTGTGCCTATAATCCCAGCTACTCGGGAGGCTGAGGCGGGAGAACCGCTTGAACCTTGGAGGAGGAGGTTGCAGTGAGCCAAGATCATGCCACTGCACTCCAGCCTGGGCAACAGAGCGAGCCTGCCTCTCAAAAAAATTAAATTAAATTAAATTAAATTAAAATTAAAAAAAGCCACTGCTATATCAACTGAAATCCAGTAATTATATGAATGAGAAATGGATCTAAAGTCTTTGATGGATTAATGCAGCAGCCCCTTGTGACAGATGGAAAAAGGGAGAAGTTTTGTTAATTCTCTCATTTGTATATAAAAGAACTTGGTTTTGTTCAACAGAACTTTTCCTTTTAGTTTGTAACAGAGTTGTGAGCTTTTGCCCTAATTCCCATTTTGATCACAGGTATTCCCTCTCCCCTAATCATGCCACTGGGTTTCAGCATCGTTTTCCCTGGAGCTGATTCCTTGGTGATGTCACAGACGAGGATCAATCAGCATAGCTATTGTACCATTAGAAACTGGCTTTCAGATGGCCAGAAATTAACTGTTACCACTTACTCCCAAATTAAAAATATAATTTACAATGCGTAGACAATGTAAATTTGGCCAGCAATACCTAAAAACACAGAAAAAAAACCAGACATAGTGTACCTCTGGATAGTCTGTCACATGTGTTTAAATATAACCCTTACAATGTTATTATTTTGTAAATACCAAAAATTAACCTAAAATTTTGTTTGAAACACAACACTTAAAAGCCATTTTGGCTTTAAAATGTGCATACTTTCTAATTTGCAGATGTAAGATGTTACAAGGGGATTATTTAAAAAACAGATAATTAACACGGTTCTCCTACACTGAGGGAGCAAGAAATGATTCAGAGCTGGCAAATTTGTAAGAGGCAACTAAAATGAATATTTTGAAAAATACAGCTTTTTAGTGAGACTCACTATGTCTTTCTAACCCAACTCCCCTAACCTTAGCATGAATATTTCCAGACATTAAAGGTTCCCAAGATATATTTTCACCATTAGATTTAAAAGCTCAGTGGCTTTACGCTTTTAGATGATAATGTGCATTTAAATTTTTTTAATCCTGTATTTGCATAATCCCTTTGTTTACTCATATATTGAGCCAATGCCTGGCATGGAATGCCTGAGTGCCTTCCCCTGGCCTCAGAGCGAGCTGCCCCTGCTTCTGGCCCTCTTTCCCCCGCAACCTCCAAAGCTTCCTTAATCCTTTTATTCACTCTCTCCTTCCCCTGACCCACATTACCCACCCAGCAGATACAAAGACACAACATCGTCCCATAGTCTGACCAGCCCGGTCTTTTTGAAAGCAAGATGATTATTTTTCAAGCCGTAAAATGTAATGGCAAAACCGCAGGACTGCAAAGTGTGGTTTCAGGAAACTGTTAAAAGTTCACATCCTTATCTGACCCTAATCCTGGCGGCCCAGAACACTGTGATTCAAGGAATGATGTGGAAGCACTCGGTTGAACCAGAGCAAGAGATACACCAAGTCTGAAATCTGGGTGGGCTGGGAAGAGCCTCAGCATTGTTGTTGTTGTTGTTGTTGTTCTGCTCATTTACTTTCTGGCCGGACTGGGAAAGTTTTGAGAATGATTGGGGGCATGTAAATTTGTTCTTGTTTCATTTAAAACTGGATAATTCCTCCATTCTCAGTTCTAGTTCTTATAATTAAAATGCTCAGAAGGTGGGATTAAGCAGCTCTAGCTGCAGAAGCAAGGATTTGGCATGCATTTCAATTCTCCGATATCTAAAGGCAACCACAAAAGGTTCTGAGATTCTTCTGGACCTGACATCTGGAGCCCAGAGCCCGGGATTTGCCAGCGTCATTGTCTGTCTCTCAAGTTCACCCACCACTCACATAACTGGCATAGCTAGGTACAAAGAACCAACTGAGGGGGAGACTTGGTATTTTCCAGAATTCAGGAAATTGAATTATCCACATAGGAAATATCACAGAGTAAACAATCCAACTGCTTTTTTTAATTAAAATATTCTGAAATAAAGATTAGGCTTTCAATGCCTTCTTTTATAGAGTGAAGGAGATTTTCAGCAAGGATAAAATCACATGTTTATATGGTTATCATTTTCTTCAAGTCCAAATATGTAAGTGTGAGAAAAGACAGCTTAAATCCTACATAATTCGTGGACGGCATTAAAATCAGGTGTATGCAATTTTTGCTTATTTTAGTGAATGACATACAGTGATGGAGAACAGGGAATCACCTTTCCAAGAGGCTGCCCTGTAAATTACCATTTGAAATTAGTTATATGATTCCAGCCCCCTCAGCATTAAGCTTCAAAATATTAGCCCCTAGAGGGTAAAGGTTTAAGCATCGGGTGCTGAACTTCCTTTTTCCTCCCACTGATAACCCTTGTATTAGATCAGGTTTATTTTACTTGTAAATCACATCTCACTAGAGTGGAGTTCAAAGTTTTAAAATGTTTGTTTTAGGATACAGTATCCAACAATTTTCTTCACTTAGCTAGAACGCCACTGTTTTTTAACATGATATCAATCTCTCTAGAAGAATAACATTGTCCTTATGTAAAGCCCTAAATTAAGCTACAAATTTTGTGTGCACTACATTGTTTTTAATGAACTGAATTCTTCTCTTCAGCCTTATAATGCCTTCCTCTCTGCAGTAAAATGGATCATGACAGAACTTGTCTTGTAAGTAAAATCTGCTGCATTTTTTTGAAAAGTATTAATATTTTCCTTTTTGTATCATAAAGTGATCTAAGAGATTGTGAGTCATGCCTTCAATAACCATTAGATTCCTAGTACTCTGAGATAACTTCATTGAACATCTCAAAATATTGAACACAGAGACCAAAAAATGATCTTCTATTAAGTGACTGTTGATCACTCCTTATGCTATTAGGTCATCGTTTAGCAGATCATTTGCAATACACAACAAATTTACTTATTGTGGTTACTGCTCAATTTCACATGGATGTCTGGCTGATTTTACTGCAGCCTGGGTGGGCTGTGGTCAGAAGAGCACACTGCTGTGACTGTCCACCATGCCACTTTGGCTGTCTTGGCCTGTGCAGGAATGGGTGCCTGTGAGATTGTCAGCTAGGGCTGGGGGCTTTCTCAGGTATGATTTCATTGTTTATTCTGTCAAACTATGGTCTTGTTTGGAGGTGCTGGTTGCATCTATGACTTAGATAACACTTGAAATGGCACAAAGATGAAAGTCTTGACTTTCAGACTAGATATTAGACACATTACAGAAACACCGTGTCACACAAAAGGGAAGAATTACATAGATGAACATGTAAACAAGATTGTTTAAGTTGTACCAAACTCTCTCATTCTTATTTCCCCTGCTTATTTCCTACAGACTCCAGTTCTGTGGGTTTGAGGCAAATTTCATGCCATTTGATGGATAGTCACTGTCCTCTTAACTTAATGTAACCTATATTAATTTAATAAAGTTTGTGAATTCAAATGGGAAGTAAATTCTCCATATACACATGAGGCAGAGAAAGAACATTAACAGATAATAGTGGGATTTTGATTGAGAGAGAGCTGCTAGGAATAGTAGCCATAAGCCTGAAAAACAAATGACCAAATTTTGATCTCTCTTCATCCACTGGAGGATAATTTATATTATTTTTGTAGTCTTTACCAGCCATTGAGAAATGTTGATTTTTATGAAGTTCCATTGTGACATAATTTCATAGAGAGAAGTCTGTTCCACCTCCCTCTATACACACACACACACACACACACACACACACACACACAGGGGGCTTAAACAAGTTCAAGTCGCAGTATTCATTTTGAAAGCATGTTTTATTACTACAGTTCATAGTCTTGGTAGAGGAGAATATTCTATTTGTATTTCTGAACTAAGGGAAGAGAAGCTTATTAGAAATTGGCTTTTTACTGTGGAATCAAACTAGATGATATTAAGATTGAACAACTGGTGAACAACAACGAGAAAAGTATTTCAGCCTATACAGCAGGTTATTCCTCATCTAGGAATCTTTGAGTCTAGGTGAACCTGGCTTTAGGGATAAAATAGCCTTTCACAAGAAAGATAAACCCCTGTGAAAATTTAGTAGTAACTCAGCCAACTGTGTTGATATCTCCAAATTGTGATGTTCTCAAATGAGGTAAGCGATGCCAAAGAATACAGAAAGTCACTGTTCTGTGATATGGGCATGGATGACGAAGTAACATTGGGCTTTTCCACGATCTGTTTAGGTTCCTGGTGGAATTTAACCTCTGCAGTTGGTGGCACTCCGATATGACAGCTAAAGGTGAGCAGCAACTGGTTTCTGTTTCCCAGCTTGGAGGGATAAGCGCTGGGTTCACTGGCTACTTTTCATCAGGGATGTGCTGGCTCACAGAAAATTCCCCAGGACAAAGTGATGATTTTTCAGCTCTGTCAGCAAAAAGCCAGCCTTTGTGCTAAGTGCTGTGCTATCTAGTCTGACACAGAATTCCACAGGCTTCATTCAGCCCACGTTGAATGTACATCTTGACCTGTTTCCTTAACTAAGGCTTTGAGGTCATACATTGCACAGGTAAATTCTTCAGAAAGCTCATGGGCAATGCTGAAATAGAAGGGAGACAGACACACTGCCTGTGTCTCAGGCTAAATGAATGATTAGCCATTCTATTTCTGTTTTCACAGTTACCCTCATAGAACATAAATCTGACCACATTACTATCCCTTCTCAAATACCTTTGATGATTTGAGGAGGGTGTAATTAGTAGAGACTCTTGGAGGCATGGGTTGTGGAGTTAGAATAGGTTTCAGTCCCAGCTTAGAGGTTGGCCTTGGGCATATCAGCTGATCTGTCTCCAAGGCTCA
The DNA here is from genome assembly GCF_000001405.40 of Homo sapiens. Taxonomy (NCBI): domain Eukaryota; kingdom Metazoa; phylum Chordata; class Mammalia; order Primates; family Hominidae; genus Homo; species Homo sapiens. The sequence continues at coordinate 55,010,001 of NC_000003.12, forward strand.
GTTTCCCTATGCTAAGCACAATGGGGAAAAATAATATTTATCTTAGCAAGTGAATGTGTGTGTGTGCATGTATGTTTAATGCTGTGAGAAATCATATTACGTGCTGACCACAGTGACTGGAACATAAGTCCTCAAAAAATAGTAGCAATACTGCATGTTCTCATGTATAAGTAAGGTAAACACTGAGTACACATGGACACAAAGAAGGGAACAGCAGACACTGGGGCCTACTTGAGGTGGAGGGTGGGAGGAGGGTGAGGATGAAAAAACTACCTATCGGGTACTACGTTCACTACCAGGATGATGAAATAATCTGTACACCAAACCCTCGAGACATGCAGTTGACCCGTATAAAAAACCTGCATGTACCCTCCACACCTAAAATAAAAGTTGGAAGGAAAATAAATAAATAAAAGAAAGAGTATCCGTAATTATAATGGTGGTGACACTGTGACCATGACAATGATGATGATCGCCTCCAAATCCAGTGATCCTTAATGAACGCTGGCTCCAGCAGTCTGCCCCAGGCCTGCCCACTCATGTGCTATTTCTCAGATACACTCTGTTCTTTCTTTCCTTCATTCATGTTCATTTTCCTACTTGGGAGGCCAGGGACTAGTAGGCTATTACCATTCTTATTATTTCTAACTGTCTGTCTTTTAAAAAAGAGATTGATTAGTCACATATCAGCATTGCCCCAGGTGCTGGATCTATTTTAATCTAACATTCCCTTTCCTTTCCCTTAAGATCCCAGTCTGTGAGGATTCCCTCAACTCCCTCAGGCAGAATGAACATTTTCTTCTTGCTCCTGCCCCAGTCAGCTCATGCGTTATCCTATCTCTTCTTTACCATTATTGCCTCACTGTTTGTGTTTTACACTAACCTAGAATTTCTTGATGGTAGGAGCTGTGTCTTAAACATTGTTCTCTCTTAACACCTAACTGGTGCTGAGCACACAGTAGGTGCTTTATCTTTGCTGATTCAATATCCTAACAAATCTTTCTGGTGCTAGGCATGACCATTAGGGTCACTATAGTCATGGCTTTGTAACTTACACATAGGCTCGTTTTGCCGGAATCCAGGAACTCTCTGATTTCTGCTTAGAACATGAGATGGAGCAGAATCTGCTGAGTTCTGCCCCTGCTGATGCCCGCATAGTTTGCTCTCTGATAACTGGGAGCCTAATCCATGCCTGTCCAGGCTTGGCTCTGCCCTGGGAGGCTGACAGCCCAGTGGAGCAGGGCCCCTGTGTGCTGCTTTCATCCACACACATGCACATTGGTCTGGTGACCCCCAGGACTGGGACCCAATTTTGCTCCTCCCTGCTGGGTTGAGTTCTGAGTGACAGTGAGTGCCCCAAATCCCACTTATAGAAATTCAGCCTGAGGACATAAACCTGGATGGGAACAAAGGTTTCTATGATAGGATGATCATCACCAGGGAATTTATAATCGCAAATACTGGTAACTCTTTAAATGTCTAACACTAAAGACCATTTTACAATAAATTACAACCCATCCACAGAAAGAAAAATGATTCTGTTTCTGAAAACTTTTTGATGAAATTAAAAAAATGCTCATGAAATTATAACAAAACAAGACAAAACCCAGGAAACAAAACCGTATATACACAAAAACACATAAAATGGTGGGAGGAAGGAGATATGGAGCTAATTAGGGTCAGTAGTTGGTATGGGAAATAGGGAGTCAATAAACAAACACCAACATATGAGTTAGGAAAAGAAGACTATCATGTCCCCGAAAGGAAATCTTACCTGTAGTGTCAACTTGCTTTTGTTAAAATTGCACATGATTTGAAAAAAGAAAGATGAGGAAGAACCTACTAAATGCGCACTTGGTTATCTTTTACCATTCGCTTTTCTTATTTGACTCACTTTTCCACAATTTTACTAATAGGAGTGAAAAAAAATGAGATTTAAAAAAAATAAAATCAATAGAGCCCAGGAAAATGAGTTGCAAGTTGGTTAAATGGCTGCTGTCTCTGCGGCACCAGTGACCTGGGGACAAATCCCCTCTCCCTCTGAATCAGACTGTGAGCTCTGAGAGGCCGGAGCGGCTTTGGAACCTAGTGGTTAGGCACCCTGGGTAGCCTTTCTCTGCTTCTTGCCTGCTGTGAGGTTCTGGGCAAGTCACTTGGTCTCTCTGGACTTTGGTTCCATTTGTCAACAGAGGAAACAATAGACATAATATGGTTGTGAGAGGTGAATTAAGCAATGCGTGCCAAGCCCTTGTGCAAGTACTCCATGCATGGTGGGTGGGCGCTCATGCTTTGGGTGGTGGTGGTTTTTTTTTTAACCGAAATGTCTGGTTATTTCTTAGGAGTTTGCACAGGGCTGAAGGCAGCAGGCTTGTTGTTTTCAGTGGTTTTCTTTTTGGCATTCTTCTTCATACCTAGTGAAGACGCTCCCTTCTCTTCATGTCTGCTTTCACTCCCACTTCCCTCATCCTGGCCTTGACCTGTTTCCCTTCTTTGTGACCTGCCACCACAGACATCTAGTCATACTGTTATTTTGGTCCTATGGATTCTAGAGTTTTTACTGAATGCCATTCACTATGATCTTTGCCTAGAACAGTGGTTTTCAAATGGGGGCAGTTTTGCCTCCCAGGGGAATGGCTGGAGACATTTTTGCTGTCATAGCATGGGGGAGGAGGGTTCTTATTAGAATCTGGTGCGTAGAGGCCAGGGATGCAGCTAAATATCCTGCAAAACACAAGACAGCCCCCATAACAAAGAAATATCCCACTCAAAGTATCGATAATGCCACTGTTGAGAAACCGTGGCCTAGACCAAGGGGTGCAGAGTAGGGGACAGTGACTAAGGGAGCCAGGTATGGTCTGTGCACCCATGACGTTGAGAGATACTTGTGAAGGCTCCCATTCTGCAATTTCACCACCCCCACCCCAGCTGGACCAAAAGTGGTCCAATTTTTAGCTGAAAGGAATAATATGGTGCTTCAGTTCTCTATTTTCTGTCTTAAGGAGCTTTGTAGAAAGGACCCCAAATAGATCATTTCAGCATGTCCTCTGACTCCCACTGCCAGACTGTGAGACCTCCTTTCCACAGACTACAGAGAGACCTTGTCACATAATTGCATCATTGATGCATGGTGTGCTGATACATAAGTGCTTTGCCATTTCCAGAGAGCTGGCACATAGATTATCTTCAGATCTGTTCAACATACCTGAGGGGTGGGGACTGCTAGAATTTGCCACCAAGCCTCTCTGAAGCACCTAAGTCAGACAGCTAAGAGGCAGTGGACTCAGACCTAAGCCAAGACCTCCCTCAGCTAATGACGACAGCGAGAGCTGCAGCTACTGCACTGGAATTGTCTCATTCCAGCTGACAGCCCTCTGCTGGGCATCAATATGACTTTTTCCATTTTATGGATGAAGAAAAGAAAACAAGCAAAGGTGAATTCGTCCATCTACAGGGTTGCTGTCATTGGGATATCTTATTAAATGTAAATATAAATCCCAGACCCAGCGTAAGGAGGGAAATGTTCCAGGCACCATATGCTATTGGCTTGCAAGGTTTCTTCATTCTAAATTTACCATTCCCTCAAAAGATAAAGACCCTGAGCTGAGACATACATCTTTGTTTTAGCTAAAAATGGAATCCATAATTACACTGTTTATCTGCTCCATTTCCTTAATGAAGGGGACTGTGGAAGCCCATTTCTGCTTGATTATCACAAAGGTATCATTTTGGTGAAGTTACACAAAGAGAACAGAGCTTGCTGGCACCCGGTTGTGAACAGGGGTGCATTCACAGAAACAAAAGAAGAGGAAGGCTTTTCAAATGGCAAATCTATTCAATCCCAATTGTCTGCACATAATTACTGTGAACCCAAGTCAGTTTTTCTCATCAGGGACATTTGTTGCTAAGGGAAAATTAAAGAAATTCAGTTGTGCGGACGCTCCCTTGGGTGCTTCATTGTGAGTGGGTGATAGGTCATGGTGACATCGGTGTAACTGGGATAGGAGGCACAGCAGTGTGGGCTCCAGGATGTGAGGGCCAGGCTCGCATCTGGACCCCATCACTCACTGCAGTGTGACCTTGGGCACGTGTCTTCGTTTCTGAGCTTTAGTTTCTTCATCTGCAAAATGGGACAGTAGCAAGGGCTTGTTTATTCTATGGTGATGAAGATTCTGCCCATGCTAAGGGCCTGGCACAGGGTTTGGCATGTAGTAAGTGCATAGTGAAGATTGATGGTGAAGGTGGTGGTGGTTTACTGTGTGAGTTAATGATGATTGTGATGAGTCACTCTCTGTGGGACCCACGGCAGGCAGTGTCTGCTTCTGGAACCTCATTTTTCACTTCTTGTAAAAGAAGGAATCAGCCAAACTGAGCTCAGTGATCCTTGAATACCTACAGCTTTGTAAGATGTGAGTTCTGAATGCCTAAGAGTTAAAACAGTATCCAGTATGGCTAGGCACAGTGGCTCACGCCTGTAATCCCAGCACTTTGGGAAGCCAAGGTGGGCGGATCACTGAGGCCAGGAGTTCGAGACTAGCCTGGCCAACATGGTGCAACCCCCATCTCTACTAAAAATACAAAAAAACTAGCCAAGCATGATGGCGCGTGCCTGTAATCCCAGCTACTTGGGAGGCTAAGGTAGGAGAATCGTTTGAACCCAGGAGGCGGAGGTTGCAGTGAGCCGAGATCACAGCACTGTACTCCAGACTGGGTGACAGAGTGAGACTCTGTCTCCAACAGCAACAACAACAACAAAAACAGTATCCGGTAGATTGCAAGCAGCCTCAGTTATTGGTTTGAAATTCCATAGATAAATAGTAGCAACTGCACATATATGTGGTGTTTTCCATAGCACTCTAGACAAAGTAAGTTCTAGCCATGTTATTTAAATTAAATGTGGCCATGGCTTTACACGATAATTCACGTTTCCCAAAAGCACATCAAGCAATTTCCAGCCAATAGTCGTGCTGCAAATAGACCCAACGGTTTATCACTATATCAGCATGGAGTGCCCTACAATTGTCAAAGGAAAAAGAATTTCATCTCCAGAAAGGATCAGAGCCAAATGAGTCTCACCATTGAGAGTATTGGACTCATTCCATTGTAACTGGGCCCAGACAATTAGAATTAGAGATGGTGCAATTATCAGGCTTATTCAAATCACGTGTGCTGCCTATCTCAGCCTGACCCAAAGACCTTTCTTATTTTTTTTCATTGGCTGAACTTCACAGAGCAGTTAAACATATACATGCTGGAGCCAGACAGCCCAAGGTCAAATTTTGGTTCTGCCACATACTCAGTGGATGAATTTGGGCAATTTACCCTCATTCTTTTTCCTCCATTCACCATCTGCAAAACAGATAACAACTGTTCATACCTCATAGTTTATTTTTTAATTTTGTCATGTTTTACTATTAAATTAATTAATTCATATTAAGCAGGACAGCATCTGGAACGCAGCAATTTCTTCATAAATGTAGCTGTTATGCCATCATTAGTTTTTTATATTCCATCTGCATGCTTGTGCCGCATCCACTTATAACCTAAGCTATTGTATACTTAAATCTTTATTTCATGTCAAGGGACTCACTTTTTGAAATTCAAATAATTTAAATATGAAAAGAAAGTTTTATAAACTGAAAACCAGAATGACTTGCCATACAGAGAAATCTGTTGTAAAAATCAGAACCATGAAAATAAAAAGTGTTGCCAAATTGTAGCCAGATCCTATGAGCTTTGTGTCTGGCCTCTTCAGCTTAAAAGGAGAGGAGAGCAAATGAGAGAAAGAAGTGAAAAAGATAGAAAGGTGTTAGAAACTCCCTGCTATCAAACAAAGATGTCCTTCTTACAAAACAGACGCACTGAAAAAGATTTGGGAAGAGAATGATGTTCCCACCACGTGCCTCTTCTGTGTTGTTACTGTTGGGCCTGGAGCACCTAAAATTCACCTTACCCTCCATCTGAAAGGCAAGAAACAAATGTGTCGTAAGGGACAGAGGTTCTCACATTTTTTGGTCCATTTTATTCTATTTTATTTGTTTGAAAACACTACTCAAGAGAGTCATTCTTGTATTCAGCAGGCATTTAATGTTCCCTCCAATGAGCTAGCATCTTGGGGACAGAGGGATAGTGTCTGAAACCTGGCCTTTCTGGAGAATGACTACCAGCACTGTACAATCAGTGTAGTCAGGAGTCAGAGAGGCAGCCATTTGCTTGCCTTTTCTACCAAAAAGTGATGGTTCAAAAAGCCCGACTCCATGAAATAGCACGAGTGCAGCAGGAGTCATGGTGGTAGTAAAAACATACACTTAAGCAGCACTCACAGCGTGCCAGCTACTGTCCATGTAATTCATTTGATTCTCAAACAACCACACAAGCTTGGTACTGCTATTCCCATTTAGCAGACGAGGACACTAAGATGTAAAATGGTTAAAAGCTTACCTGCTGTCACACAGCAGTGGCAGGATTCACTGCCTGGAATTGGTGCTTTTAGCTACTACATAGCTAGCCAGCCCCTGGCCTGTGGATGGTAACATTTGCTAATGACTAGCATTTCATGAAGGCTGTGTGCATGCATGTAGGTGGGCAAAAGTGCGTGCAGGCTTCACTCTGCTAAGAGCTGTGCATGCTTTTGTTCATTTATTCCTCAGAACGATCCTGTGAGGTTACTATAGACATTTCCCCTTAATGTCAGTGACCAGTTACTGAAAATTCTATATTCTGACTAAAAGAGCTGATGACGAGTCTACTTCCTTTTGTTTTAAATAACAAAGATTACAATGCATTGTGCTCCAACCCCAAACCCCCAACCAATTTCCTCAAAATAATTAAACCTCAATGAAAAGCCTACATATAAGAAACCGTCATGCTAGGATACTACAAATGCTTAGAATCGTTTCCTGATCACCCCACAAGTGTTTGGTTGTTACTCAGCAGTTGTTTTGTGTGCAGTAGCACTGATGGCTTGCTTAGTGACAGCAACATCCCACATGGACAGTGGACAAAATATCTCCCCGTAGTTCTGCCCACCAACCAGTTATATTTGGAATGTAACATGAGAGTTTGTTCACACATAGTTTTGTTAAAATCCCATTGAATTTTGGAATTGAAATGTAAATAAGATTTTTTTTTCCTACAAAAACAATAGCTGAAGGCTTTGTACAAACTTTGGTATTGGAAATCTACAAACATTCTCTTGGGGAAATGTTAACCAGTAGACCTCCTGTGAAGAGTACCTATGCTACTAGCATCCCCATTTTACAGGTGAGAACAGTGAGGATTCGCTAGAAGTAGCAAAGCAGGGATTGGTACTCCAAACTTCTCTTACTTCAGAGCCTTCACCCTTAACCACTATACTATAGTGTCTATCATTATTGTCATCATTATAATGTCAAAATGGCTTCATTAGAATGCTACCGTTATCTTTGTTGTTGTTGCTATTATTATTATCATTATTTGACATTTACTTAACACTCATTATGTTCCAGTTACTGTACTAAGTACTCAATATACATTGTTTTATTTACTTCTCACATCAACCTCTGATAGAACTTTATTATCCTCAGTTTACAAATAAGAAAATTGAGACCTAGTGAGGTTTTGGATCTTGCCCACTGGACAATCAACTGCCAAGCCTCTACCGAGTGCCTACTATGTGCTCATCCACATACCAGGGTTATTTAGTGCTTTAAAATTGACATGTTGTATTATTGGACAGAGAGCTTCATAATAGTAGGATTTGGTTCATGGCTGTGCTTCAAAGACATTACGTATTTTACTATTTCATATTTCAATTTTCTTTCTATAATAAAACCATGCAATTGTATCATGACCTTTGTCTCACCCTAAATAATATGGTATAACTTATATTTTATACATTTATTCAGATACACATATGTGTTGTTGCTAAGTTTGAGTAAGTCTGAAGTCAGAGACCCAGTGACTGATGTTGTCCCAGAAAGTAGAATTCTTGTGATGCATAAATGATAGCTGATCCAGCCAACACAACTGTTGGAGGAATTATAGCTTATAGAGTTGCTTGGCAGATGAAATCACTTGACTAATTAGAAAATAATGCATTATGCTGTGCTAGAAAAATCACAGAGCAGCAGAAGCGGAACTGTGTTCTGGGTTGCTGTGGGCTGCCAGTCACAATTTTGAGCCTGTGCCTTGCATTCTTTACCTTTTTTTTTCCCACTATCCCTACAGCCCAGAAATTGAAACAGACCCTGGAGCCTTGTGATACTGAATATCCAGCATTCGTCTCTGAGCGCACCATCAAGGAGACTACAGGGAATATTGCTTGTGAAGACTGCTCCAAGTAAGCCATCCCCCCACCCTCTAACCCCCTACACCTTTCTGCTCAGCACAGAACTTTCCCAGATGGGTCTGTGTGACTTGCAGGCACAGTTACACCAATAGAAAACATGGCTGCCCTCTTGCGTAAGGAAGTATTTCTATCAGCTTGGAAGAAACACCACTTGGCTTTATAAGATATTCTAGACACTGGGAAGCATTCAGAATGCATGAAAAGACATCCTGCAGTATAGGAGATTTGTAGGTCAGTTTGTTCATGTTTTGAGAAAGTCTTAATTGGTGCTTTCTTAATTGACGGTTGGCAATTTGAACTGTGTGTTCAAGAATGTCCTTACGTATCTTTACTGAAGGCACAAGCCTTCAGGATTTACCCAAACCTGATAAATTGGAAATGTTTCTTGGTGGTTGAGTATGCATTTCCCTGACTGCTAATGAGGTTGAGCCTCTTTTAATGGCTTTATTGGTTATTTGGGGTTTCTGACCTCTTTATTTCAATTGGACAGTTCCCGTCTGGGTGATTGGATCTACTCTTACTGATTTGGGTGTTCTTTCTCTTTCGGATACTATTTCTTTACAATCGTATGCATTGTATGTGGGTCTTCCTATTGTATGGTTTGACTCTTTACAGATGCCTTTTTTTTTTTTTTTTTTAAGAGATGGGGTCTTACTGTGTTGCCTGGGCTGGTCTCAAACTCCTGGGCTCAAGCAGTCCTCCTGTCTCAGCCTCCCAAGTAGCTGGGACTACAGGCACACAATGCATAGAAATTTTCTTTCTTTCTTTCTTTCTTTCTTTCTTTTTTTAATAAGTCTAGTCATGGGCTGAGTTCCCATCTATATGCAGATCTGTTTCCAGATCTTATGGTTTCTTAATACCTATATATCAATACCGTATCTCTTTAATTATTATAGCTTTATAATATGACTTGGTATTTAAGAGAACAAGCTCCTTTCCTTATTCTTCTTCTAAGTTTTCTTATTTATTCTTGGCTCTTTACTCTTGCATACTAATTTTGGAACTAGCTTGTTAATTTCCATGAATTCTGATAGGGTTTTCATTAAAATTTCTGTAAGTGATAGATCAATTTAAAGATAATTACTATTTTTTATAATAAACTAAGTATATGTCTTTAGTTATATGCCTTTTCTATGCCTTTTAATACAATTTTATAACTTTATATATTTATACCTACACACCCCATAGTTTTTCTTCTATCATAAATAGTATATACTTAAAACTACTTTTCTAATTTGAAATAACTAGTATATGAACATATCACTGATTTCTGTAGATTGAATATTGTATCCAACACACTGCTAAATGCTCTTTGAGATCGACTTGTTTGTGTATGGATGCTCTTGGACTTTTTGCATGGACAGTAATATCATTTGTGAAACATTTTCTTTCTAGTCTCCGTACTTAATTATTATTTTCTGTTTTGTTGCACTATACTTCTGACACATCGTTAAATAAAAGCGATGAGATTAGGCAACCATGTCTCATTCCTGATTTAAAGGAAGTGCCTCCAATAATTACATGTTAAGTATGTTTGCTAAAGGACTTTTTTATTGTCATAAAATATAAAGAATATAAAATTTACCATTTAACCATTTTAAAGTGTATAATTCAGGAGCATTCAGTACATTCACAGTGTTGTGCAACCATCACTATTAATTCCATAATTGCTGTAGATTTTTGGTAGTAACGATTTATGAGGCTGAAGAAAACTTGTAAGAATTTTTGTTGCCATTGTTATTGTTGAAATCTAAATTGATATTGAATTTTATAAGAAAATTCAACATCCATTACAAAAAAATTTTCCTTAGTTTGTTAACATGTTACATTAATATTTCTAAAATTTTAAATCATGAAATATATATATACATATAAAATACTTCTAAATTTTCTTGGTTATTCTTGACTCTACTCTTGCATACTAATTTTGGAATTAGCTTATTAATTTCCATGAATTCTGATAGGGTTTTTATATGTATAATATATGTATTATATGTACATATCGTATGTATGTATTATTTCATGATATCTATAATGTATATTTTGTGATTCTATTTTCATAAAATAAATATATAATACATATGTATATGTATTATACATAATCTAGTATATATTACATATGTATAGTATGTATGTATTACATACTTTATATGTAGTATATATTATATATTAATAGTATGTAGAATGTCTAATGTGAAAATATACTTGCTTTTTCAGGATGGACCTTCATTGTCATAAACAGGCCAGGCGCGGTGGCTCACGCCTGTAATCTCAACACTTTGGGAGGCCAAGGCGGGTGTATCACCTGAGGTCAGGAGTTTGAGACCAGCCTGGCCAACATGGTGAAACCCTGCCTCTACTAAAAAATACAAAAATTAGCCAGGCATGGTGGCGGGCACCTGTAATCCCAACTACTCGGGAGATTGAGACAAGAGAATTGCTTGAACTCAGGAGGTGGAGGTTGCAGTGAGCCAATATCTCAGCACTGCACTCCAGCCCGGCAACAGAGCTAGATTCCGTCTCAAAAAAAAAAAAAGTAATAATATATCACACATATTGCTGGATTCAATTTACTTACACCATGAACTTTTTGTTTTTATGCTCAAAAAGGAGAGTGGCGATACTTTTTCTTCCTTGCACTGTCATTTGGCTTTCCTATTAAGGTCATTTTATTGCCACAAAATTACTTACATTTTCCCTCTTTCTGTAATATCTGTAGCATTTAATATAAGATGGAATCCAGTATCTGTTTCTTGAAGGCTTTGTAAAACTTATAAAACTATTAGTGACTGGTGGGATTTGTATGTGTGTGTTTTTTCATGTGTGTATACATTTACAACTATGAAATTAGTTTCTTTTGTGGTTAGATATTTCTGGATTTTCTTTTTCCTTTTGAAATGGTTTTGGTGATTATATTTCTTAGAAAACTGCCTGTTTCATCTCATTTTTCGAGGTTATTGCAGGCATTGTTGATAGTGTTTTCTTTTGATTAAAAATGTTACTGTATTTGTGATTTTGCCCCCTTTTAAAGTTTTTAATTGATCCTCCCTCTTGCTCCCTTTCCTCTTGCCTCCTTCCCTCTCTCTCCCTTTCCATACTGCCAGAGATGTGTTTTATCTTTCTTCTATGATTCTTGAGTTTACATTGTTTTTTTATTTTCTAACATTTTGTCTTTGATGCTTAGCTTTTCAGGTTCATTTTATATGTATATAGATATAAGCATATATATGTCTAGGTATACATTTCTCTCTGCATTCCAGTGCATCTCTAAATTATATATATATATATATGTGTGTGTGTATATATATATATATATATGTGTATATATATATGTGTGTGTATATATATATGTGTATATATATATATGTGTGTATATATATATGTGTGTGTATATATATATATATAGCCTTCATTCTTATTCATCTCTAACAAGTTTCTCATTTTTACCATTTTTTGATCTGTAAATGCTTAAATCGTGTTTTAAAATGTCCAAATATATGGGAGTTGAGGCCATCCTTTTTATTACTGAAGCCTAATTAAATGGCCTTGTGGTCTGTATAACACATCTATTTTAGTATCTGTGGAAACTTGCTTTGTATTTCCAGTCCTTGTCCACATGTTTTTGAAAGCAAGTTACATTCTCTAATAGCTGGGTACAGGGATCAATGTGCGTCCTTTGGACAAAGTATACAAATTATGTTTCAAACCTACCTTTATTTTCAGTCTATTTTAGATGTCAGTTAATCTCTCACCAGGCTTATGGACGTTTTTGTGCCATTCAATTCATTTTGCTTTCTGTATTTTGAAGTTATGTTACTTACCATGGACATCCCTGTTCATGATTATTATAGCTGCCTAAGAAATCATTCCTGTTATCACTATGTAATAACCCTCTTTATACATGAAAGTGCTTTATGCCCTAATGTCTATTTGGTTTGCTAATAGCAGAGGTACACTAGCTCTATTTTGGTAATACTTGCTAGCCATATTTTCCCCTTTCCCTCCATTTTCAACCCTTTTTCGTCATTTTGCACTAGGATTTTGTTTTATAAACAGAATATAGCTGGATTTGAAGTTTTTATTATTTCTGTTATCTGATAGTTTAATCTTTTAAAATTTATGGTGCTTACCAACAAGTTTGGAGTATTTCTACCATCATTTTATATGCTCTTATTCCTCATGTTTTTTCTTTGTTCCTTTCTTCCTTCCTTCTTTCTTTCTTTCCTTCCTTCTTTCTTTCTTTCCTTCCTTCCTTCCTTCCTTTTTTCCTTCTTTCTTTCCTTCCCTCCCTCCCTCCCTTCCTCCTTCCTTCCCTCCTTCCTTCCTCTCTCTCCTTTTCTTCGTTTCTTTCCCTTCCATTGGATTGATTGGGTTTTTCTATTCCTTTTTTTTTTTCCATACTCTATGTAAAGTACACACTATTCCTTTAGTAGTTGCCCTTTGCCTTTTTACGATGTTTCAATTGGTGAGGATCTCCTCTCTCCTCCAGAACAAACAAAAACTTACATTTTGTTAAGTTGGATTACCTCACATCTCTTTCATATAATATTTTCTAACCTTCTAGTTCTACTGTGTTTTTAACCCATGAAATAACTATTACTATTGCTGCTGCCTATAGTAAATAACATGTTTACCTGCATTTTTTATATGTTTATAGTTACTCTTTAATTTAAAAAAAGCATTGCTTTTTGTTTTACAGTACTTCAGAAGTTTTTCCAAGAATGATCTGAGAGTGATAAATTCTCATTCTTTGTCTAAAATCCCAAATTTAGTATGTACTCAACAGTGATGGTTTATCTCCATAACCTCAAAATTAAAATATTTTGAAGATATTCCATTGTCTTCTCACTTTTAGCCTTGTACCTTTGTAGGTAGTCTGACCTCTCCCCCGTTTCGGATGGCTTTTACAGTGTTCAGTCTCTCTCGAATGTTCTGAGGTTTCACTGAAGTGATTCCAGATATAAATTCATTTCTATTTTTATGTGCTTTATTCTGGATAATTTCTTTAAACTCATATTCCAGTTCACTAATTTCCTTTTGATCCTGTCTGGTCTGCTGCTTAAACAATCTATTGAGCTTTTCATTTCTAGACATTTCATTTGCTTCTCTTAAAAATATATGTTTTCTTTTATACAGTCTTATTCTTCGGTTCTCTGTACCAAATTATAAAAACCTTTTAAGATTGTTCTAATAGTTTAAATTTTAGGAGTATCAATCCTCTTTTTTCTTCTATCTGTGTTTTTCCATGTTAGATTATTGGCTCATGTATTTTGTCATTTTTAACTGTGAATTGATCTCTACTATTAAATATTATTTCTCTGGGAACAGAATAGAATTTGAGTTTCTCTTCACAATATATTTGCATTTTGGCTTCTATCATGTATCCTATTAGTAACGACTGCCTGGGAATAATTGTTATGTAAGTTTTTTGTATTTAGGAATTTCTGTACCATATAATTAGAATACATATTTTTCCTAAGCAGCATGTAGTTTAGGCTTGAAGTTTGATTTCTCATGGGCAATATTGGTTTTCCTATTCAGAGCCTCAGAGAGTGCCAGATTATCCATTTTTTACACTTAGCAGTAAATTTACAAGTTAGCTTTAAGTGTCTTCTCTTGTAAGATCTTTTGTATTTAAACATGTTTGTTTTGTTTTACTATTTCATCTAGTGTGTCTGAGTATTTAGAGCAGGATGGCTTCCACATTTGCCCAGTCTACCATGTTATAGTTTGTTTTTCTGACTTGGGGGCATTCTAGATCCACCACAAGAAAGTACTGAAGTGTACGGTTCATGCAGGAGCCTTGGAAGCAATGGGTTCAGAATGTGAGTTCTGACTTCACTAATTATTCACTCTTTGACCTTGGACAAAAACCTTAACTCCATGAAGTTCTGCTTATTCCTGGGTGATTTGGGGGATTATAATAGTAAGCATATCATGGCTTGTTATAGGAGTTAAAGTGAGAAAATGTGTGTTGTGAATTTAGCGTAATGCCTGAATCAGATTAAGTACTCAGTAAACAGTCACATGTAACATGTGCATAAGGCTATGGTCTGAATGTTGGTGTCCCCCCAAAATCTACTTGTTGGAACCTAATCCCCAATGTGATAGTATTAAGAAGAGAGGCCTTTAGGAGATGATTAGATCATGAGGTCTCTGCCCTTATGAAAGGTATTAGTGCCCTTATAAAATAAGTTTGAGGGAATCTGTTTGACCTTCCATCATGTAAAGACACAGCTAAAAGGTGTTATCATTGAGGCAGAAAACAAGCCCTGACTAAACACTAAGTCTGCTGGTGTCTTGATCTTGGGATTCCCAGCCTCCAAAACTGTGAGCAATAAATTTCCGTTGTTTATAAATTACCCACTCTGAGATATTTTGTTATAGCAGCCTGAATAGATGGAAACACATAACACCAAATATATAAAAAGTTTTTAACACCTGTAAACCATTCTGCTGAAATGTGAATATTTCTTTCCACAGTCTAATGTTATTTCACTACTGTAGAATTCCCTGTATAAAAAGCTATAGCATATATGTCTCAGATATGATCACAGGCCGTGTGTGATGGAAGGGTTGTTGACAATTCATGACTCTATGGTTTTGTGAGGTAAATGCCACTGGTTTTATAATGATTGAGATCCTTTTTGACCAAATGCATACTATACCCTCAGTCATCATAACTACAAACTCTATGAGGCGGCCAGTATCTCTTAGTGAAGATAGGCACAATCATATTTAGTAGAGCGAGTTAGGGTTCTTATTTCTATTCTAAGTGAGAAAACCAATAGAACTAAGATAGGACATTGCTAGAGCAAGCAGTATTTTTCCTTATTAGAAATCGTAATTAGAAAATAAAGAAAGAAATGCAGTTGGATTAAAGAAAGTGACCTAAAGATTTCAAACTAAAGAAATAACTACCTTTCATTCAGTAGGAATAGGAGGTCATTGCATTCCTGCTGTGGTCTAGAAACTGTGCTGGTGCTTTGGGGAATGCCAAGATGGATAAGATACAAAGGTGAAGGCTGGGCGCGGTGGCTCACATCTGTAATCCCAGCACTTTGGGAGGCTGAGGCAGGCGTATCACTTGAGGTCAGGAGTTCGAGCCCAGCCTGGCCAATATGGTGAAACTCCGTCTCTACTAAAAACACAAAAATTGGCCAGGCAGGGTGGTATGCGCCTGTGATCCCAGCTGCTACTCGGGAGCTGAGGCACAAGAATTGCTTGAACCCAGGAGGCGGAGGTTGCAGTGAGCCAAGATTGCGCCACTGCACTCCAGCCTGGGTGACAGAATGAGACTCTATCTCCAAAAAAAAAAAAAAAAAAAAAAAAGCATAGTTGATGCTGAAGAGATTTATATCAGTCATGGCTAGTCTGTTTTAGCTCTCTAATACCACGTTGGGTTGAAGACTCACAGGAGATTGGGTAGTAAGTGGAGTAAAGCTTTGCACAGTGTGCTAGCAGCAGTGAAAAGACACTGTAGGCATTGGAGGATTTTCCTTTCCAAGCTTTATTTCAAGACCACCACCTGGCAGGTCAGTCATACACTGCAGAAGCAGAACAATAAAGCCCCGGGAGTCTGGGTGGGGACAGAAATGGGGACTTGGGTTTTTTCTTTTTTTTTTTAGTAAACATTTGATTGAAGCATCACACCTACAGAAAAGTGTCCAAACTGTAAGTTTGCAGCTTGATTAATTTGCACAAAGTGAATATTCCTGCATAACCAGCACCCTGGTTAGGAAGTGAAATAACATTACAGGCTCCTCAGAAGCACCGACCCCCACACCTGCCCTCCTCTAAGTGTAACCTCACTGACCACAGGATAACCACTCTCTTGATTTCTAACATCATGGAATGGTTTTGCCTGTTTCTTATTGCTAACTTGTGAGATGGCAATTTGGCAGGTAAGATATGAGGGCTGATTTATTAATGATGTTGAAGGAGGTCTCTAAGGAATTCACTCAGAAAACAAATTAGGGTCATAGGAAGAAAATGTGAAGATAGCTCAGGACTTGAGTAAACATTTCTTGATCATCTGCTTGCATCCCAGACACTGGGCTGCACTTTGAGGAGACAGTGGTGAATGAGACACACAAAATTCTTGCCTTCATGGAGTTTGCAGATGAGTAACCAGGCAATGCCAATACTCCATGGTTAGTGCCATGATTAGAGAGTAAATGTTACACGGGGGTCGCAGAAGGAAGGCTTAGGTGGTCAAAAAAAGCTTCCTGGAAGAAATAGCACCTAACACAATATCACCAGGGTGAGAAGTTGGGTATGCACACCCGGGCAGAGAGAAGAGCATTGTGGAGATGAGAGAAATTGTGGTTTGGTCAACACATTGTTAGAAGTTCCAGGAAGCTGAATAGAGAGTTGTGGGTGAGGAGAGATGACAGAGGGGACAAGGGCTGATCAAGGCCTAGGGCTTGTTGCCCTTTTGATCCTGTCAAAGAGAACTAGTCCTTTGAAGGACTTCAAATGCTAACTACCCTGACACCGGTATGGAACCACTGAAAGGTTTTAAGGAAAAGAGTAAAAATGATCAGATTCTAGATGATGGGAAAAATGACATGGTGGCCTCTTGAAACAGAAACTCCTCATTCAGACAGCCATTTGCTACCCCTTTGTCCCTTCCTTCTCTCTCACCGCTAAGCGCGCATGCACGCACACACACACACACGCACACACGCTGGTCCTAACAGAGCAAACAACTCACTTGTTCTCTTCCTCCTCCTCTTCTTTTTAGAGATTAGAAATTGACAGATCACTGGGGTAGCTAGTTGGATGAGAAATCAATTTAAGACTACTTTTATTCCTAATCCAAAAATCTTTGTGAAGCTTTGTTATAGAATTACGATTTAATGTTTATACAATATAAAAAAGGACCCATAAACAGTTTCGTTGAGTGCTTTTGAAGAGTGGAACCCTTTTATTCTTGTCTTTTGCATATTCTTTTCTCTTTATCCCTCCTTGCTCCATTTTATGAAATACAGTTTATTAGAAGATATATTTGAGTATTTATCAAAGTATTTATGAAGCTGTTGTTTGGCATTTTCTGTGAGCTTTGTATTCTCAGAATGCAGTATATTAAGGAGGAAAATAATGTTATTTGATTTTTGTTGTCTTACTCTTCTTGATGACCCATAGATGTACAATGGCCAGCATGATTGGTGGCATCCAGAAAGCTGAATCTGTACCTCTGCTTTACATCTAATTCGCATACAAATTTATCAGCCCTTCCCTGGAAGGAATGAGATTTTTCAGGTCTAGTTCTCTAAGACAATTACTAATTTTTGACCAACTTTGTAGGTAACTTCAGGTCAGGGGCAATGACATTCAAAAATAACACAATTCTGCAGCGTTTGGCCAGGAGTGCGCTGGAAATTGAGTTTGGTGAAAATTATAGTATTTCAGAAATTACGCAGTAAGATCTTTTTCATAGGAAAACATCTCGCCTTCCGCAATGGAACATACAGAACCGTGTCCATTACAAACTAGTCTCAAGGCAGCGATTACTTTCCTCCACAAGCAATGGCAAACCATAGAGCAACAATCCCAAAGAACTGAGCACTTCCCACGGGAACAGGCTTCAGCTGCAGTTTGCTTTTGGACTGTCATTAACAATCTGCCCATCTCTTAGAAGAGATCCGCTGACCCTGGTGTCTAAACATTTTGCTAGAACTAAGTAAATCATGTCAGGTGGTTCTACCCATATAGCAGAAGTCTTTTCAGTCTTCAGAAGTCTTTGAAGAACAAAGTTGAGCTGCGTCCTACTCCATTTCTGTGTCCTGTTTCCAGAATCATTAGATGGTTTCGTATGGAAAATACATCAAGAGGTGACTCAGTTGCTCTAAATAGAAACCTTCAAATTGGCAACTCCAAAAGTGGACATTTGTATGTCTATAGCATAGACAGATCTGTTATAACATACAGGGACAGTATGTAGTGTTTTTAAAGGGATTTTCAAAAATATAGGGTTTATTAAGAATGCAGGAGCCTAAAAGAAAATAAGAATTTACATAAGAATGTCATTAGGGTTGGTGGTTTGGCTGCTCTAACCAATAATTTTTGTCATCCAATACCCCACTGATTATTAAATTAATCTGTTATTCAAACAGCAATCGAAAACAACTCAGCCCATATTTTCTGGGCATTTGTGACTGTCAACAAGTTGGACAAAATTGGAATCTAAAAAGGATGTAATGTTTTACTATTTTCCAGTATGTTTCTTTCCTTCTTGATTACCCAGCCCCCTTTGCCAAGAAAGAGATTCACAAAGACTTGCTTAGAATCAATTGCAAAATAAATAGTTAGAACCAGTTAAGAAAAATAATTAATCAAAAATAAAACTTTAAACACATGTAACATTTTCATTTCAACATTTCAGTGTTGGCAAAATATTAATTTCTAAGGTAAATTAGGTTTTTGTTTTTGTTTTTTAGTGTGTGCTTTTTTAGTTAGTATCACTCATCACTTCTCATAAAAATTATATTGCCGTCGGTTTCACTTTGAGATCTGTACACAAGCTTTGCTCATCTTCCTGGAAGCCCCAAAAGCTGTGGCTACAGTTTTCTTCTCTCATCGCTTCTCCCCACGCACCTTTCATTTATCTGCTAAGCTGAAAGAAAGTAATTGGTCTCGAAGCTGTGTTGACATGTTTCGTGGGCTACAGTTCAGAAAACCATAGTTCAGGGATTCCATTTTCCAACGAACAACTCCAATTTCCTGTTGAGGTCTCAAGCTGGGTGGGCAATTTACCACAAGTCTTTAGACTGTTCTCAGTGAGTGCCCTGCAGGTGTTTCTACCAAGTGAGGCTTCTGGAAATGACCTGTATAATGGATCCATTGCACAATAGGGACACAGCATTTTCCTTGAGTAAAGGCTAAGAAGGTGGCCTCTGGGACTGAACTATGGTCTGGGCTACCACACTTACTAGTGCAAAGATCTTAACACATTATTTAAATGCCCTAACCCTCACTTTGCTCATCTCCAAGAGGGCTATAAGCATAGTCCATGCCTCTTAGGATCTATGTGTGGGTTTAAAAAAAGATGTATTACTTTCATACTTAGCACAGTGCATAGTGCAGAATAAATGCTTCATAAATGGAAGACATTTTTATGGAGCACAGTCCACAAACCCATCTGTGTTGACAGGGATGCAGGAAAACCACAGGACTCCTTACTCGAGATTTCTCAGCCTTGAAGGTAAAACTAATAGTTTCAGTCAGGAAAAGTAGATGGTGAGGTTTTTTTTGCTCTGATGAGACTGTCCTCGATAAAATAGCTCTTGGATTTTTGCCACTTCCTGGGTCTACTTGAGCTCTTGGTTGACAAGAAATTTGGAATTCTGGATCTGGGAATACACATACTCAACAGTGACCAGATCCTTCATTACACAAATTAGATACAGACTTTGTCAGTGGGAGTACATTAGTGTCATGAATAATATAATTTGTAGGTGTTAAAATGTAAGTTTTTTAACCACTTAACTTGCAAGCATATGCTAATTTGTTGAAATATTTTTGTATCTCCTGCTCTACAGATTCTTGCCAAACTACCATACTCAATCTTGTTTAAAACATGTAAATCAATAGGATTCATTTTCCCATGAAATAATCAGCAATCTTTTCAAATGGGCTTTGTTTAATTTCTAAACGAGTCAGCTTTCCACTCTACAGTGAGAGTAGCACCAGTGGTCATATTCTTCCCTTTGGAGATTGAAGGCTCTTCATCTTATTTTTCCCCAAGTTTTCCCTTGTTGTCTTTACTTCCTTATATCTTGCCATGTTGGGTGGTAATGCACAAAACTGTGGATTACCCAAGTCAAAATAGTTCCTGTCTCAATTCTACACAGTCATACCCAAGCAGCAGTAGAGGAAAACCAGCCACATCCTCCCTGTATTGCCTCCTCTTCTGCATCTCAGAAACATGGTAGAAGTAACTTCTGCATCATAAAAACCAATTTCTTTCCAGCATTAAAGGTTTAAAACATGACTATCACATTGAAAAGATTTTCAATGATATGTCATATAATGTTGAGGCTGTGCTAATCAGTCTTTAATACAAGTCTGCCTTCTTTTTGTATTATGGGTATGGGGCCAGGTTTGAATAATTCAATGCTAGCTCTTACAATGAATATCCTAATTAGTGCTATATGTTTATGGTTGCTAAAATCATCTTGGCTTTAAATTTTAAAAAGGGGAGGAAGAGGTAAATGCTTATCCTGGGCACTTTATTTTGCATTGTTGAAATAGTGCCATAAGATGAAAGTGGGGTCCAAAGATACTATAATAATTGGGATTAAAACCTCTGGTCAATTTTTCTACCAATCCCTCTGAATCTCAGTTCAATGAAGCATTTTACTGGGGACAGGGTTTCCCTGATTCTTTTCCTCAGATGCTCAGAGGAAAAAGTACCCTATTTCCAGACTCAAGGATGATTACAACTTTGAGGATCCAGATAGAATGGATGTTGTTGTGTAGGTGTTGCTATCTTTACTTGCTCTTTGATAAGCAGTGTTTGGAGGGTTTTAGTACAGGAAATGTTATAAATTACTGTTTTCCCTCCTGAGTCCATGATATAAAATGAGAGGGGCGCATGTCTATAATGACTAGGCAGGTTTCTACCTGACATGAATTAGTCTCACAATTTCCCATTTGTACATTTCTTAATGTGTGGGGAAGAGGGGTGGGAGCACATGGAAGTTTGTCTGGGCTCACAACACAGTGAGGCTTTCCTCTTCCATGCCGGAGGGTAGGAGACCAGCAGAGCCAAGGAATATTTTTAGAATGTTTATTTGCATGTGGAATGGAGGCGTGCAGAGCTGTGTCCACACTATTGACGTCTGCAAGTTGCATTTCTGCGGTGCATTGTCTCCATCCTGGTGGTTGTTTGTGCTGTGACTCCCTCTATCCCTACCTCAAAGAGCAGTCTGTGTTCCCCCCTTGCTGTGCCCAATACTGCACCTGAAGTGGCTTAGAAGTTGCCAAAACCCTATAGATGTGTGTTTATTAACTCTCCAGCTTGCCCTCCATTTGTTCAGCTTGGAAAGAGTTTATATATTCCTATGGGTATTAAAAACCCATCTGATGTATTAAAGGAGCTCAAAGGATCAAAGCAGAAATGCTGCCTGAAATGCAGCATGTTGAATATAGATACAAAGTTTCTAGACCCAAACCACTTTTTCAAAGGACATCCCGTATACTCAAAAAGAAAATTCGTTTTTTAATGATCAGCTTTTCTTTGGGACTTGAATTTTTTCTTTCTCTTTAGTAACCGCCCACCTTTTGGAGCATCTCTCATGATTTTGACAAGAAGACCACTTGGCACCCCAGGGTAGAGACAGTCATTAATTTCCGTATGTTGTTCGTGCCTTGGAAGATATAGCCCAAGAAGCTTAACCGGCTAATGACAAAGGTTCTTAGTGCATCTGAAAGAAAATGGGTGGAGAGGGTACAAGATGAGGATCAGAATCACCTATGATCCAGAATAATTAGAGGTGTAGATGATCAAAGTCAGGAGGATGTGGGAGAAATTATCAGGATAAAATCATTGTATCAGATGCATCTGAAAACATTGCTGTACTGACTTTTAGAAAACAAATTATATATTTCACGAGTGATTCCATTTCTATTGAAGTAGGTTGCCCCTGCAATCTTGGATTATTTCAGTAGATCTAAGCCTATATGAGAATTCATATATGATTACTGTTTATCGAATGCCTACTTTTCAAAAAGAGTTTTGTGTTCATTTCCACATTTATTGTTTTTTCCATTTTTTCCACTTCATCTGCCTTTCACCAAGGGGAACTTGAGGCTCAGAGGAGTAAACTCTCCTGACCAATCTAACAGAGCCACTATGTGCTGGAGTTGAATTAAGTCCAGATCTGCCCGACTCTGAAAGCTGACAGAGAATTCCTGTTGGCATCCATGTGGATGCCTCTCTGTCATGATACTAGTCATCTGTGTAGCCACATCTCAGATTGAGTTCATCTCAAAATCAGGGTTTGCTTTGGAAACTGAAAATTCTCTGATCCACTTGATCTAAGGGAAGAAATCTACAAGCATCCAGTTTGACAGGAGCCATACACTTCTCAATGCCAGTTTCATGCAAATCTCCATTAGGTGTACCCAGGGGTTCTCTCACAACACTTACCACATTACTGTTTAATCATCTCTTTCTTAGTCTTCCTCCCCCATTAAACCAAATCAGGTAGGTTGAAATAGTAGCAAAAAATACTGGCTTTGGCGTCATGAAGACCTGGGTTTGAGATCTCAATGCCATCAGTTCCTAATTGGGCAACCTTTGTCAGCAAGTCACTTCCCCTCTTAGTTGCCGTCTGTGCCTCTGTAAAATGAAGATGCTAATAGCACCTACAGGGGATTGGCTTGATGTGAATATTACAAGGTATTATAGAAAAACCGGTGCCTGGCATTTAGTTGGTGCTCAATAGCTGGGAGGTCTTATATTTAATTCATTGTAGACAGGAACATGTCATGTTAATTCCTGTGTTCCTAGCACTTAACATAGGACCTTGTGTATAAAGTAGTGCTCAGAAAGCTGTTGATTGAGACGAGGTTTCCCAAGAGAATAACTTTGTAAAGTGTGATGGGGGGTGGGCGGGGGAGGTAGGGCGGGGGTTGTGTGTAATTCTAGTAGCTGAGACACCTGTTATTTTGTGTGATATTTAAAAACAAGTATCTGTTTTGAAAACAACTAGAAGCTCAGATTCCCAAGAGCTGAAAGGCAACTTTGTGATTTTCCTTAGGAAAAGAGAAGGTGGTCCAGAGAAGGGAGGGGGCTTGCCTGAGGTCCTACAGGGAGGAAGCCCCTTAGGATACCAGACTCAAAGCCCAGTAGTTAGTCCTGATGCTTACGAATCTTTCTTCACATCATTGCTTCTCCATAGCTGATAATTTAAAAACAACTATTAACTAACAAAATACATAAATAAATATTTGTATGAAGTAGCATAAACATGGTAAGTAACTAGTGTGGTACATAGGATATGCAATAAGAATTAAGTCTCTGCCACCCATAATCCCCTGAGTTCTCTCCTCTAGAGGAGCAACCATTGTTTCCAAGCCCTGGTGTGTCCCTCTCCTTGCATAGATGGCTTATGCACATACAGGCGCTTAGGTATATTAAATGTTTTGCAACTCATTTTTTTATACAATGATAACACAGTGTATATATTGTACTTTACCTTTTATTTCACCCGATATGTCTGAAACTATCGTGTCATTTATGTGTGTGTGTATATATATATATATATATATATCTCCTTGAAGTATCTGAAATGTGTATATATACCCTTAAAATATATATAAAATAGATATATAAAATATAAATGTGTATATATACCCTTAAAAAATATATATAATATATATTATATATTAAATATATTTTATATAATATATATTATATTAAATATATATTATATAATATGTATTATATATTAAATATATTTTATATAATATGTATTATATATTAAATATATTTAATATATAATATATATTACATATTAAATATATTTAATATATAATATATATTACATATTAAGTATATTTAATATATAATATAAAAATACATATATATTTAAGGTTGTATGAGATTCCATTTTGGGGAATGTTTTCATTTAATCCAGATTGGACTTTCTGTTGTTCCAAAACATTGGCTACTTAACTCAAAGCAGAAAGGAATATCTTTGTATAAGATGCAATTTATCTATACATTAAATTACTAGAAGAATTGATGAGTCAAAGGGTATACATGTTTATAATTTTGATAGATCCTTGGGGAAAAAAAATGCACTCTGGAGATGTGAAACCAAACTCTTCTTCTACCAATTTATGAGAATGTTAGTTATATTCATACCAACACGGTGTGTTATGAAATGTTCTGCTCTTTTTCAGTCTGATAGATGAAAGATGGAATATCATTGTTGTCTTAACTTTTCTTTTTATGATCAAATTTGAACATCTGTCATATGTTTTAAGGTTATTTATATTTCCATCTCTGTGTGCCGTCTAATTATGTCCTTACTTCTCTTTGTCTCTTAAGTTGTTAAGTCTTATATTGTTAGTCTTTTCTTTTAAGGTGCTAGACATTTCTATTGAGTTTATATAGTAAGAAAATTAACCATTTTTCCTATATATTGCATTAAAAGCATAGCTCATCATAATTATTTTCTCAATACAAAAGTAGTACTGGCTTATGGTAGTGTTAGAGAATTATCTGTAGTCTCATCATTCAGCAGTATAACTACTGATAAAATTTTGGTGTACTTGCTTCCATTCATGCTTTCTGGTTTTTTTTCAAAAATAGAACAATATTATAAATACTATTTTATAACATGCCTTTTTAAACTTGAAATGTCATAAGCATATTTCATTGCCTCTAAATATTTCTGCAACATAATTTCTTAAAAAACTAACCACACAGTATGTGGATTTACTAGTTTCTTTAACCAACACCACTTAGGCTCTTAATATTTGGCTATAGATGAATGTCTTTACTCTGAAAACTCTGTGTATTTATGTAGTGACTCTTTCAAGTATCAATTCCTAGAAGTAAAATAGTTTGGAACCATTCTTTATTAAGATAAATCTCAGTAAGAGTTACAAAGTACAGACATAAATGCCATTTTTTTTTATTTCTTTCTCTGTTGCCTATTTTGGGACATAAGATATAACTTTTATAAAGAACAGGTATTAGGTGGAAATTATTTTCCAGAACCCTTCTCCAGGAAGATATAGTGCCAACTGAGAATGGAGCCTAAGAGGCCTCCGCTTTTATTTCTCATATTAAGGTGCTAGGAGAAGCCTGTTTGTAATTTAAATTGTAAGAAAAACAGAAAATACAGTAGTGATAGACATGTTTATACATTTAATGCTTTTGTTAGTAATTATTTACAAACCTTCTGATACTACAAAAGAAACGGTATTGACTTTTCTAGCAGGGTGCCGAGTTAATTATTTCAACTTAATAATGAGCAACATTGAAATGACATTACACAGGCCTGTTGAGGGAGTTGCAGAAAAACGAGCTTCAGAAATACTTTGTGAATGTGTGAGCATGGCTATAAGTACAACTAATCAGGAAAATTAAAGCAACATGAAAAATTGTTGAGATTAATGGACCCTGATTAAAACAGGATAAAGTGCTCAGGATGTATAAAGTCACACAGTTCTCTGAGCAGGCCCATGTGTTCCAGAATGCGTATTTCAGTTCACAGTAAATCTCTCAAATGAATTATGCTAATACTATTGATTCTAACCATTTCCTCACTGGCCTGTTTATCTATTTTTATGTCATTTCTCCGTTATAAAGGACATGGGCTTCAAATGCATGCTTATCAAGCTCCGAAAATTGAATTGGTGTTGAAGAAAGGAGGCAAAACAAATAATAGACAATCTTGTTTGCCGTGTTTGGAAACTGAGCAGGGTAGAAAATATATACCCTTGAATGGTCAGGGTATTTAGGATAATTCTAAAAATGCTTTCCGGCTATGGTTCTATATGTTATGTGAAGTGGTGAATTCAGACAGACTGTCCAGTAACTGATGAGTGAGGATGGATATTAAAATTTGGTAGCCCCAGTGATGTAGATAATTCAAGAGAAAGGTCTTGAATACACGTTAACTTGAATTCTCCATGCCCCTTTGCTGTGTAGATACAACATCAGTTCCACCAGGTGTTGCCTGAAGTCTGATGTGGTGTTAACAAGTAAAGTTTGACAGGGTAAAGGTAGTGACTGTGCCAAGGGCACCTGTACCTGTGGGTGATTACATTAAACCACTTGGCATAGTCTATTAACCATAAAATGAAAACACCCTTGACCAGGTGCAGTGGCTCCCACCTGTAATCCCAGCACTTTGGGAGGCCAGGGTGGGTAGATCACTTGAGGTGAGGAGTTCGAGACCAGCCTGGCCAACATGGTGAAACTCTGTCTCTATTAAAAATACCAGAATTAGCCGGGCATGATGGTACGCACCTGTAATCCCAGCTACTCGGGAGGCTGAGGCAGGAGAATCACTTGAACCTGGGAGACGGAGGTTGCAGTGAGTTGAGATTGCACCAAGCCATACACACAAAACCCTTGTGTTTTATTTTTATTTTTATTTATTTTATTTTTTATTTTTTATTTTTTATTTTTTTGAGACGGAGTCTCACTCTGTTGCCCAGGCTGGAGTCCAGTGGCGCGATCTTGGCTCACTGCAACCTCCACCTCCTGGGTTCAAGCGATTCTCCTGCTTCAGCCTCCCAAGTAACTGGGATTACAGGCGTGTGCCACCACGCCCAACTAGTTGTTGTACTTTTAGTAGAGACAGGGTTTCACCATATTGGCCAGGCTGGTCTCGAACTCCTGACTTTGTGATCCACCCACCTCGGCTTCCCAAAGTGCTGGGATTACAGGCGTGAGCCACTGCGCTCGGCCGTGTTTTATTTTTAAGACAGTCACTATGAGCAAAGGAATTTGACTTTTCACTTTAAAAAATGATACCATTTTTTAAATTCTTTTTCTTTCAGAATATTTAGCAGTAGTTCCTAAACACATGACTAGCCTCCCCAGAATCATCTGGGGTGCCTATAGAAGTGTATGATTCTGGGTCTCAGCCCAGACCACCTGATTCCCAGTGGCCAGGAGGTGAGTCTGGGAATCTGCACTTTGGCCAGGTTTCCCAGGTGATTCTGATGCATGGCCAGGCTGGGAAAACCTCTGCAGGATCTCCTCGTGTATAACACAATAGGACATGACAGTAATTTCCTGGATTTCATTACCCAAAGCTAGACTCTTTCTCTTTTGCATAAACTAGGAAAAAGTGAACAAATAAGACAAAAGAAGAAGAAACCAAGGGTAAAGTTATACCAAAAGTTTCATTTGCACTCCTCCCTCTCCAGAGATCTAGAAGTTGTCTGAAGTGATGCACCACCATTGTGTGTTCTGGGCCACGATTAGGAGATGTGGTTAAAACACAACTGGCTCAGAGAAAGATGGTGAACCTACAGCTTAAAGTTGAACTTATGGAAAATGAGTGGCAGTTAAAATGGGATGAGTAATCATACTTGAGCTTGGAATCAGGGCTTCAGGAAAACCTCAACCAACTCCCTCAGACATCAGTGGCACTTTTGAGAGGAGGAATTTCAGAACTTGTGTCCTAGGGTCTTGGAGAAAGCAGATAATACCTCCCTGCAAGAGGGCGGGCCGAAGATAAACCAAAGCCAGGATGCAGAAGTCTGCCATCGCCATCAATTTAGAGAGGGTAGAGAGTAAACAGCGATGGATTTCTCCAGATCACCAACTCTGTGATTTTTAAAGAATGGGACAAATTAATGGTTTAGGGTATCATGACATACATCTTCCATCTCATTTTAGTGTATGTTTTATTTCTTTTTATAAATTGTCGTCTGTGATGTCACTTCTCCCCTCTGAAGCAATAAGTTTGTTTGCTTTCCCTGGCGTTAACCATATTTTTAAAAGCAAAAACTGTAAGGTACAACCCTGCCGTTTTTAGATGAAAGTAAATATATTTTATTAAATGTATTCATTTATGCAGGTTTCTGCTCCCTGTGAACACATGTGAAGACAGATACTGCAGTGAGCACCAGCGATTAAAAATCGGATAAACTGGGGTCTTGTCCTTGAGTCTGAGATGTAGTTGTATAACCTTCCTGAGAAGTCACTGTATTTTCCTAACAACTTATTTTGCCTTAAATTTAGGACTCTCTCTCTCTTTCACTAACATCCATGATAAAGCAATTGCTTCTAAAAGTTGTGCTGTTTTATCCAAATAGACATGAAATCCTCAAGCAACCAAAGTCTGTAATAGTCGGAAAATTTGGTTGTGGTACCTAGAACAAGCAGATTGAAATCCATGCTAAGACCCATGCATGTGTTTATTTTCATTTAAACCTTTTATTTTCTCCTCCTTAGATTATTAAGGTGAACATAGCAGTTAGCATATTTCATCCTACAATTTTCACGCAGGAGACGCATTTTTCCAATGGGTTTTCTATGGAATAATAGCATCACCAAATGCCTAAAGCAGTTAGGGCCATGGAGCCAAACACATATGAGATGTGTTGCATATCAATATATGAACATGCATTCACAGGCGTGACATCAAATGCTATAGATGCACATACAAATTTGCATCTACAGGTGTGAACATAAGTGCTATATATACATATAAAAACGTGAAATGTGGTATACGCACATATTAATATGCACTCACAGGTATATAACACTGTTATTCCTTGTTCCTCTTAGAAAGTTAGAATTCATGTTAGCCTGTTAAAGACCCTGAGAAGTCCTGCAGCGAAGAAACCTGTTGAACTCTTTTTAACCAGGAATTCACCAAACACTTATCAACAAAACAGGTAGAACAGTTCCATAAAACCCACCTTGAGAGGCACTCAGGCTAATAATTTCCATATAGAATGGATGGGATAAAAGTCAGTCGTGGTTCTTGAGATAGTTATAAGATAGTAAATGCCTTGGAAATAATGCTAAGATAAGTGAAGTAGCCAGGATGCTATATATATATATATATATATATATATATATATATATATATATACACACACTGAATATATAAATATTAACCTATTGGTGTGATTATTAAGCTGGGAGGTTGGGGGGATGGACTAGACTAGAGCTGTGTGCCAAAAAGAAGGGAGTCATCAGCCATGGAACCGGGATTGTGAAGCAGAGATGCTGCCCTGCAACTTTAGTTACAAGAACCAGAAAGGAAGCACATGTTGGCTACCCTGAAAGATCATTCTAGCATCTTCGCAAAATACATTTCTTGAAATAGAGCCATAGAAAAACCTAAAAGAGGCAGAAGCACTCATTTCTTCACCTGTAGAAACCAAAGAACAGTGAGTCCCATGCCAGGACTTTATGATGTTCATCTTCAGAAAATGCCCCAGCCTGCAGCACTATGCTATTCTCTTATCCCCCAAAACGATAATTCAGAGATTGACTACGGGGAAAAGACGCAGAAGAGTGAGAAATCAGAAAAATTCTGATTTGATGCACAAATCTCTTTTTGACCTTTTAATGGTCGTTGGAAAAGATGAATTGTGAAATGTTTTCTGTGGTAGTGTGACAGACATACAAAATTAGGAAGAATAGTGGAATGAACCCTGTGTACCCATATGCAGCTTCAACAATTGTTAGTGTTTTGTCTTGAAGATATAATTTATTTGATAACAACTTTCTCGTCTTTGGCCTGTGGAAGCCACTTCAACTTGGTCCTTGTGACCTTTTGACAGTACCTCATTAGTCTTTGATAATTTCCTTGGGTTCTGCATAACAAGATATTACAGGCTTATTTTGTACATTTTCTGCCTCAAATCTGGAATCAGCCATTTTCAAGGGAGCCTTGGTTTTGTTTATTGGGAAATGTTATTTAGAGACCACAATCTGGGCCTAAGTATTCATTGCTAATGGCTTTGCCAAAATCTTTTAAGTCTTTTTAGGAGTCAAACCTAGGAAATATATTTTTGTTTAGAAAGAGACAATAAATCAAGTGCTCATGCTAATAGTTCTACTTCCAAATCAAAATTGCGTGATTTTTAATTAACTTCTTGGATTCATACTTGTACCTTGTTTAAGTCTACTCTGGCTGCTGTTTAAAAAAAAAATACCGTAGGCTGGATGGATTAAATAGTAGACATTTATTTCCCACATTTTTGGAGGCTGGGAGGTCCTAGATGAGGGTGCCAGCATGGTCAGGTTCTGGTAACGGCTCTCTTCTTTAGTTAGTGAATGGCCTTCTTGCTGTATCCTCACGTGATAGATGGAGCAGGTTCGTCTCTGGTTTCTTCTTAGGAGAGCATGTATTCCACCATGAGGGCTCTACCCTTATGACCTCATCTAAAGCTAATTACCTCCCAAAGGCCCTGTCTCTAAAGACCATCACATTGCAGGTAAGAGTTTCAACATATGACTCTGGGTGGGATACAGTTCAACCCATAGTGTATCTCTTTTCTCTTACACTAAAAATCTCACTTCCTAACCATATCAGCATAATAATTATTTAAGCTACAACATACAAAAATAATATTCAAATATCCATATCAATATTGTTGCTAAAAGTAGAATGACTCAGTATTGTTTAAGAATTCTTTGTAGTTTTTTTATTTTTAGGCTAAATCACAAGATGGAAATAGTTTGAAAAAAACTGTGTTTTAAAGTCATTTAAAGCGGAGTACAATGGCACACACCTGTAGTCCCAGCTACTCAGGAGGCTAAAGCGGGAGGATCACTTGAGCCCAGGAGTCTGAGGCTGCAATGATCTATGATCATGCCACTGTGCTCCAACCTGGGCAACATAGTGAGACCTCATCTCTAATAATAAAAAAGCCATTTGAAATACTTTTTGCTTTGTGGGGTTACTCCAACAATTTCTTATACAGGAGGGTTTTTCGTTATTGTTATTTTTGATTTGAGGAGTGCTTTTTTCAGTTATACAAAATGTGCATGCACATGGTGTCAATGCCACAACCACAAAATGAGGTAATTTAGAGCAGCATCGCTTCCATTTCCCAATCCTTCATCCTATTTTCTCTCTCTCCTAATAGGTAATCATTTTTGGTAGTTGGTTTAGCTTTTTATTTAGCTGTTGTTAAAATATAAGAAAAATTGAAATGTATTCATTTTTTTCATTTCTTTTACAAAATGAAGCATATCATACACACTCTTCAGCACCATGCCTTTCTTCATATTATATTATATGCCACTGATCTTTCCTCATAGGTTTTGGAAATGAGATTTCCCTCATTCTGTTTCAAAGCTGCATGGTACTCCATTGTATAGAGATACAATTGCTTGCTCAGTCTCCTACTCATTGACATTCAGGTTACTTCGAGCCTTGTCTTATTACACATGATCTTACAATGAACAGCTTAATGCATGTATAATTTAACATTTTGGGATCGATTCATAGACTTGGGATTGCTGGGTGAAAGGGTAAACACATATATAATTTTTCTGGATATTACCAAACTCCTCCATGGAAGTTGTATCATTTTGCATTTCTTCTAGTAATGTATGCAAGTACCTGTTACTCTTTAGACTTGCCAGTGGGGGCATTATCAAACCCTTGGATTTTTTTCCAATCTACAGTAGATTTAAAAAATGCTAACTTATTGTAGTTCCAATTTTCATTTAACTTATTAGAAGTGAGAGTGCAGTTGTTTTTACATGTGTTAGAAATAATTCTTTATAATGAAATGTGTTGCAAATGATTTTCTAAAGCTTTTATTTGCTTTTTTCAAAAAATCATTCTTTGGTGTTTAAAAAATATGTCCATATTGTTCACTTTCTATTTCATTGCCTATTTTTTTGATCTTTATGATTTCTTCTATTTTCTTTGGGTTTATTTGCTTTTTTTCTAGTTTCTTAAGGTGAAAGCTTAGATCATTATTTTTAGATCATTTTTATTCTCTAATAAACATTTAAATCTATACATTTCCCTCTAGGAGTGGTGATATTCCACAGGTTTTGATATGATGCCTTTTACTGTCTTGTAGTTTAAATATTTTCTAATCTGCATTGTGATTTCTTTTGGCATGTGTTATTTAGAAGTGTGCCGCTTAATTTTCTAATTATTTTTAAAGAATTTCTAGATACCTTAATATGTTTTATTCCTACTTCAACTCTGTTGTGGTTGGAAATCATATTCTGCATGATGTCAGTATTTTAATGTTTTTCAGATTAATTTTATGGTCCAGAATATTGCTATTTTGGTGAATATTCCATGTGCATTTTAAAAGAATGTATATTTGGTAGTTGTTAGTTGAAATATTCTATAAATGTGAATTAGGTCAAGACATTGTGTTGTTGAAATCTTCTGTATTCTAATTTATTTATGGCTGAAATGTTTGATAAAATCCCAAGAGAGATTTGTTAAAATCTCCAACTACAATTGTGGATCTACGTCTCTCTCCCTTTAGTCTGTAAATTTTTGTTTCATTATTTTGAAATCCTGTTATTATGTGCTTACACATCTGGAATTTTTATGTCTTCTTGGTTATCTTATTTTCTGTCTTATTTTCACTCTTAGAATATGGCCGTCTTTATCTCTGGTGACATCCTTTGTCTTTGTCTGATCTTAATTTAGCCAAACCAGCTTTCTTCCACTTAGAATTAGCATGTTACATCTTTTACCATCTTTTTACCTTCCACTTATCTGTGTCTTTGTATTTAAGTTCTCCTCTTTGAAACAGCATATGTTTTGGTCTTTCTTTTTAGCTGTTATTGCTTATGGTATATTTTACTGTATTTTTATTTACATTTTCAATTTACTCGTGATAAAATTGGCTCCTTTTGCCATAGACTTCTATGAGTTTTGAGAAATATTTACAGTTGTGTATTTACTACTATAATCAAGATATAGCAATTCTATCATCTGAGAAAATTCTCCTTAGGTGCACTGGAGGTCAGTCTATTCCCAGTCAATCCATTCCCCCAACCACAGCTCATCGGAAACCATGATATTTTTGTGACCCTACAATTTGGCCTTTTCCTGAATGTCATATAAGTAGAATCATACAGAATATAGCCTTTAAAATCTGACTTCTTATATCAGCATAATGCATTTGAGATTTATTCATATTACTGCTGGTATTCACTGTATAAATGTATCATATTTTGTTTATCCATTATCCAGTAGAAGGACATTTGGACACTTTGGAGTTTTTGGTGATTATGAATAAAACCACCATAAACATTCACATGTAGGTGTTTGTATGAACATAAGGTTGTCATTTCACCTGAATGAACCTGGGAGTGGGGTTGCTGGATTGTGTGGGAAATGTGTGTTTAATTGTAGAAGAAAGTAACCTCCAAACTGTTTTACATAGTATCTGTACCATTTTGCCTTCTTGTCAGCACTGTAGGGGAGTTCCAGGTGTTCCTTATCCTTGCCAGCTCTTGGTATTATTCATTCCTTCCTTCCTTCCTTCCTTGCTCCCTCCCTCCCTCCCTCTCTTTCTTTCTTTCTTTCTTTCTTGCCATTTTTAAGGGTACCATAGTGGCATCTCATTGTGGTTTTGCACTTCCATGACGAATAATGATTTTAAGATTCTTTTCATGTAATTCCTTGTGATCTACATCTTATTCAATATCTGTTCAAATGTTTTGCTCATTTTAAAAAAAAAGGTACTTTGTTTTCTTTTTATTGAGTTTTTTACTGTTGCAAATTTTTTGTATATTCTAGATACAAATCCTTTGTAAAAACATGGCCTGCAGCTTGTCTTTTCATTGTCTTAATAGTATCTTGCACAGAGCAGAAAGTATTTTATTTCATTGAAATCCCATTGATTGACTTTTTAATGGATTGTACTTTTGTTTCATATCTAAGAAATCTTTGCCTAACCCAAGGTCACAAAAGTTTTTCTTCTATGCTTTCTTCTATAAATTTTATACTCGTCAGCTTTACATTTAGGTCTGTGATTCATTTGGAATTAATTTTTATACATGGTGTGATTTAGCATTATGGATATCCAATTATTCCATTATCATTTGTTGAAAAGACTGTCATTTCTCCACTGACTTGCCTTTGAACCTTTGTTGAAATTCCAGTGACTATATATGTATACATCTGATTGAACACATTTTAATTTATCTATGTGTCTGTCTTTTCTCTAATATAAAACCGTCTTGATTATTATAGCATTATATTAAGTCTTGAAATCAAGCAAGAAGAATCCTTTACTTTATTCTTTTTCAAAATGCCTTTGGCTATTCTAGTACATTTGCCTTTCCATGTAAATTTTAAAATACGCTTGTCTAGAAATATTTTGAAAAGTCTGCTGGGATTTTGTTTGAAACTGGGTTGATTATATAGCTCAGCTGGGGAGCCCTGACATCTTAACACAACCAAGTCTTCCAGTCCATAAGCATGGTGTAACCATCTATTTATTTCAGTTGTCTTTGTTTTTTCATCAGTATTCTATAGTTTTCAATATAATGATTTTTCCAGTTTTTAAAACGTTATACCTATTTCTTGTACCTTTAGTGCTATTATAAATTATACTTTTTCATTTCAATTACGAACTGTTCATTGCTAGGATTTAGAAACATGATTGATTTTTCTATATTTATCTCGTTTCTGAACTTTTCTAAACTAACTTATTAGTCAACACTTGCTTTTTTATAGCATCTTAGACTATTCTATGTAGACAGATTATATCGTATGTGCATTAAGATGGTTATATTTCTTCCTTTCCAATCTGTATGCCTTTTGTTTCTTTTATTTCTTCTTTTTTTTTCTCTCTCTCTTATTGCACTGACTGGAACCTCCAGAGTGATGGTGAATAGGAGAGTGCCAGCAGACACCCTGGCCATGTTCCCAGTTTTAGGGGGGAAAGCTGTTAGAATTTTATCATTAAGTCTAATGTTTACTGTTTGTTTATTTCAACATCCTTTATCAAGTTAAGGGAGTTCCTTCTGTTCCTAATTTCTTGAGATTTATTTCTCTTTTATCAAAAAAGGTTGCTAAAGTTTGTCAAATATTTTTTCTCATCATTTGAGATAATCATATGGACTTCTTTAGTCTTTAGATAATTTTTGAATCTTGAACTGGTCTTGGATTCTTGGGGTAAACCATACTTGGTCATGATATATTGTTCTATTTTATATTACTGTATTCAAATTGCTAATATTATGTTGTGGCTTTTTTACTCTATGTTAATAAGGTCTGTTGATATATAGTGGTTTTTGTTTTTGAGACAGAGTTTCATTCTTGTTGCCCAGGCTGGCATGCAGTGGTATGATCTTGGCTCACTGCAACCTCCGCCTCTCAGGTTCAAGTGATTCTCCTGCTTCAGCCTCCCAAGTAGCTGTGATGACAGGTGCCTGCCACCATGACTGGCTAATTTTTTGTATTTTTAGTAGAGATGGGGTTTCACCATGCTGGCTAGGCTGGTCTTGAACTCCTGACCTCAGGTGATCCACCCACCTCGGCCTCCCAAAGTGCTGGGATTACAGGCGTGAGCCACCGCGTCAAGCCTATAGTGGTCTTTTTATAATGCTGTCATCTGGTTTTGATATCAGGATGATGCTAGCCTTATAAAAACACTTGTGAAGTGTTCTCTCCTCTTTTATATTCTAGAAGATTTTGTGTCAAATCTGTACTACTTCTCCCTTAAATGTTTAGTAGAATTCCCCAGTGAAGACATCTGGGCTTAGAGATTTCGTTGTAGAAAAAGTTGTAGCTATGAATTCAATATCTTTATTTAAGATCATTGAAGTTAGCTATTATTTCTTGAGTGAGCTTTGGTAGTTTGTGTCTTTCAAGGAATTTCTTTAGTTCATCTAAGTTATTGAATTTATGAGCATTGTTTTGATTGTTTTGTATTTCCTTATTGCTCTTTTAGTGTCTGTAGAATCTGTAGTAATGTCGTTTCTTTCTTACTAATAGTTTTAGTTTATGTCTTTTCTCTTTTTACTTTGTAATAGATAAAACAGTCTAAAAGTTTATTAGTTTTATTGATCATTTAAAAGAACCAGCTGTTAGTTTGATTTCTCTATTGTTTTCTATTCTCAATTCTAATATTCTCTTCTTCATTGTTTTCTTTGTCCTCCTTGCTTTGAATTTTACTCTTCTTTTTCTAGTTTCTTATAGTAGAAACTCAGATTATTGATTTGAGGACTTTCTTCTTTCTAATATAAACATTTAATATTAGAAATTTTCTCTGAAGTACTTCTTTAACTATATCCTAAAAATTTTGATAGGTTTTATGTTACACTTTTTTTTTTAACGTCTTTTTTTTTATTATACTTTAAGTTTTAGGGCACATGTGCACATTGTGCAGGTTAGTTACATATGTATACATGTGCCATGCTGGTGCGCTGCACCCACTAACTCGTCATCTAGCATTAGGTATATCTCCCGATGCTATCCCTCCCCCCGTCCCCCACCCCACCACAGTCCCCAGAGTGTGATATTCCCCTTCCTGTGTCCATGTGACCTCATTGTTCAATTCCCACCTATGAGTGAGAATATGCAGTGTTTGGTTTTTTGTTCTTGCGATAGTTTACTGAGAATGATGATTTCCAATTTCATCCATGTCCCTACAAAGGACATGAACTCATCATTTTTTATGGCTGCATAGTATTCCATGGTGTATATGTGCCACATTTTCTTAATCCAGTCTATCGTTGGACATTTGGGTTGGTTCCAAGTCTTTGCTATTGTGAATAATGCCGCAATAAACATACGTGTGCATGTGTCTTTATAGCAGCATGATTTATAGTCCTTTGGGTATATACCCAGTAATGGGATGGCTGGGTCAAATAGTATTTCTAGTTCTAGATCCCTGAGGAATCACCACACTGACTTCCACAATGGTTGAACTAGTTTACAGTCCCACCAACAGTGTAAAAGTGTTCCTATTTCTCCACATCCTCTCCAGCACCTGTTGTATCCTGACTTTTTAATGATTGCCATTCTAACTGGTGTGAGATGCTATCTCACTGTGGTTTTGATTTGCATTTCTCTGATGGCCAGTGATGATGAGCATTTTTTCATGTGTTTTTTGGCTGCATAAATGTCTTCTTTTGAGAAGTGTCTGTTCATGTCCTTTGCCCACTGTTTGATGGGGTTGTTTGTTTTTTTCTTGTAAATGTGTTTGAGTTCATTGTAGATTCTGGATATTAGCCCTTTGTCAGATGAGTAGGTTGCAAAAATTTTCTCCCATTTTGTAGGTTGCCTGTTCACTCTGATGGTAGTTTCTTTTGCTGTGCAGAAGCTCTTTAGTTTAATTAGATCCCATTTGTCAATTTTGTCTTTTGTTGCCATTGCTTTTGGTGTTTTGGACATGAAGTCCTTGCCCATGCCTATGTCCTGAATGGTAATGCCTAGGTTTTCTTCTAGGGTTTTTATGGTTTTAGGTCTAACATTTAAGTCTTTAATCCATCTTGAATTGATTTTTGTATAAGGTGTAAGGAAGGGATCCAGTTTCAGCTTTCTACATATGGCTAGCCAGTTTTCCCAGCACCATTTATGAAATAGGGAATCCTTTCCCCATTGCTTGTTTTTCTCAGGTTTGTCAAAGATCAGATAGTTGTAGATATGCGGCGTTATTTCTGAGGGCTCTGTTCTGTTCCATTGATCTATATCTCTGTTTTGGTATCAGTACCATGCTGTTTTGGTTACTGTAGCCTTGTAGTATAGTTTGAAGTCAGGTAGCGTTATGCCTCCAGCTTTGTTCTTTTGGCTTAGGATTGCCTTGGTGACGTGGGCTCTTTTTTGGTTCCATACGAACTTTAAAGTAGTTTTTTCCACTTCTCTGAAGAAAGTCATTGGTAGCTTTATGGGGATGGCATTGAATCTGTAAATTACCTTGGGCAGTATGGCCATTTTCACGATATTGATTCTTCCTACCCATGAGCATGGAATGTTCTTCTGTTTGTTTGTATCCTCTTTTATTTCCTTGAGCAGTGGTTTGTAGTTCTCCTTGAAGAGGTCCTTCACATCCCTTGTAAGTTGGATTCCTAGGTATTTTCTTCTCTTTGAAGCAATTGTGAATGGGAGTTCACTCATGATTTGGCTCTCTGTTTGTCTGTTATTGGTGTATAAGAATCCTTGTGATTTTTGTACATTGATTTTGTATCCTGAGACTTTGCTGAAGTTGCTTATCAGCTTAAGGAGATTTTGGGCTGAGACAATGGGGTTTTCTATATATACAATCATGTCATCTGCTAACAGGGACAATTTGACTTCCTCTTTTCCTAATTGAATACCCTTTATTTCCTTCTCCTGCCTAATTGCCCTGGCCAGAACTTCCAACACTATGTTGAATAGGAGTGGTGAGAGAGGGCATCCCTGTCTTGTGCCAGTTTTCAAAGGGAATGCTTCCAGTTTTTGCCCATTCAGTATGATATTGGCTGTGGGTTTGTCATAGATAGCTCTTATTATTTTGAAATACGTCCCATCAGTACCTAATTTCTTGAGAGTTTTTAGCATGAAGGGTTGTTGAATTTTTGTCAAAGGCTTTTTCTGCATCTATTGAGATAATCATGTGGTTTTTGTCTTTGGCTCTGTTTATATGCTGGATTACATTTATTGATTTGCGTATATTGAACCAGCCTTGCATCCCAGGGATGAAGCCCACTTGATCATGGTGGATAAGCTTTTGGATGTGCTGCTGGATTCGTTTTGCCAGTATTTGATTGAGGATTTTTGCATCAATGTTCATCAAGGATATTGGTCTAAAATTCTCTTTTTTGGTTGTGTCTCTGCCAGGCTTTGGTGTCAGAATAATGCTGGCCTCATAAAATGAGCTAGGGAGGACTCCCTCTTTTTCTATTGATTGGAATAGTTTCAGAAGGAATGGTACCAGTTCCTCCTTGCACCTCTGATAGAATTCGGCTGTGAATCCATCTGGTCCTGGACTCTTTTTGGTTGGTAAACTATTGATTATTGCCACAATTTCAGCTCCTGTTATTGGTCTATTCAGAGATTCAACTTCTTCCTGGTTTAGTCTTGAGAGAGTGTATGTGTCGAGGAATTTATCCATTTCTTCTGGATTTTCTAGTTTATTTGCGTAGAGGTGTTTGTAGTATTCTCTGATGGTAGTTTGTATTTCTGTGGGATTGCTGGTGATATCCCCTTTATCATTTTTTATTGCATCTATTTGATTCTTCTCTCTTTTTTTCTTTATTAGTCTTGCTAGCGGTCTATCAATTTTGTTGATCCTTTCAAAAAACCAGCTCCT
Source organism: Homo sapiens (assembly GCF_000001405.40). NCBI lineage: Eukaryota > Metazoa > Chordata > Mammalia > Primates > Hominidae > Homo > Homo sapiens. Next base: position 55,049,059 of record NC_000003.12, read on the forward strand.
GGATTCATTAATTTTTTGAAGGGTTTTTTGTGTCCCTGTTTCCTTCCGTTCTGCTCTGATTTTAGTTATTTCTTCCCTTCTGCTAGCTTTTGAATGTGTTTGCTCTTGCTTGTCTAGTTCTTCTAATTGTGATGTTAGGGTGTCAATTTTGGATCTTTCCTGCTTTCTCTTGTGGGCATTTAGTGCTATAAATTTCCCTCTACACACTGCTTTGAATGCGTCCCAGAGATTCTGGTATGTCGTGTCTTTGTTCTCGTTGGTTTCAAAGAACATCTTTATTTCTGCCTTCATTTCGTTATGTACCCAGTAGTCATTCAGGAGCAGGTTGTTCAGTTTCCATGTAGTTGAGCGGTTTTGAGTGAGATTCTTAATCCTGAGTTCTAGTTTGATTGCACTGTGGTCTGAGAGATAGTTTGTTATAATTTCTGTTCTTTTACATTTGCTGAGGAGAGCTTTACTTCCCAGTATGTGGTCAATTTTGGAATAGGTGTGGTGTGGTGCTGAAAAAAATGTATATTCTGTTGATTTGGGGTGGAGAGTTCTGTAGATGTCTACTAGGTCCGCTTGGTGCAGAGCTGAGTTCAATTCCTGGGTATCCTTGTTGACTTTCTGTCTCGTTGATCTGTCTGATATTGACAGTGGGGTGTTAAAGTCTCCCATTATTAATGTGTGGGAGTCTAAGTCTCTTTGTAGGTCACTGAGGACTTGCTTTATGAATCTGGGTGCTCCTGTATTGGGTGCATATATATTTAGGATAGTTAGCTCTTCTTGTTGAATTGATCCCTTTACCATTATGTAATAGCCTTCTTTGTCTCTTTTGATCTTTGTTGGTTTAAAGTCTGTTTTATCAGAGACTAGGATTGCAACCCCTGCCTTTTTTTGTTTTCCATTGGCTTGTTAGATCTTCGTCCATCCTTTTATTTTGAGCCTATGTGTGTCTCTGCACGTGAGATGGGTTTCCTGAATACAGCACACTGATGGGTCTTGACTCTTTATCCAATTTGCCAGTCTGTGTCTTTTAATTGGAGCATTTAGTCCATTTACATTTAAAGTTAATATTGTTATGTATGAATTTGATCCTGTCATTTTGATGTTAGCTGGTTATTTTGCTCATTAGTTGATGCAGTTTCTTCCTAGTCTCGATGGTCTTTACATTTTGGCATGATTTTGCAGCGGCTGGTACCGGTTGTTCCTTTCCATGTTTAGCGCTTCCTTCAGGAGCTCTTGTAAGGCAGGCCTGGTGGTGACAGAATCTCTCAGCATTTGCTTGTCTGTAAAGTATTTTATTTCTCCTTCACTTCTGAAGCTTAGTTTGGCTGGATATGAAATTCTGGGTTGAAAATTCTTTTCTTTAAGAATGTTGAATATTGGCCCCCACTCTCTTCTGGCTTGTAGAGTTTCTGCCGAGAGATCCGCTGTTAGTCTGATGGGCTTCCCTTTGAGGGTAACTCGACCTTTCTCTCTGGCTGCCCTTAACATTTTTTCCTTCATTTCAACTTTGGTGAATCTGACAATTATGTGTCTTGGAGTTGCTCTTCTCGAGGAGTATCTTTGTGGCGTTCTCTGTATTTCCTGAATCTGAACGTTGGCCTGCCTTGCTAGATTGGGGAAGTTCTCCTGGATAATATCCTGCAGAGTGTTTTCCATCTTGGTTCCATTCTCCCCATCACTTTCAGGTACACCAATCAGACGTAGATTTGGTCTTTTCACATAGTCCCATATTTCTTGGAGGCTTTGCTCATTTCTTTTTATTCTCTTTTCTCTAAACTTCCCTTCTCGCTTCATTTCATTCATTTCATCTTCCATTGCTGATACCCTTTCTTCCAGTTGATCGCATTGGCTCCTGAGGCTTCTGCATTCTTCACGTAGTTCTCGAGCCTTGGTTTTCAGCTCCATCAGCTCCTTTAAGCACTTCTCTGTATTGGTTATTCTAGTTATACATTCTTCTAAATTTTTTTCAAAGTTTTCAACTTCTTTGCCTTTGGTTTGAATGTCCTCCCGTAGCTCAGAGTAATTTGATTGTCTGAAGCCTTCTTCTCTCAGCTCGTCAAAGTCATTCTCCATCCAGCTTTGTTCCATTGCTGGTGAGGAACTGTGTTCCTTTGGAGGAGGAGAGGTGCTCTGCTTTTTAGAATTTCCAGTTTTTCTGCTCTGTTTTTTCCCCATCTTTGTGGTTTTATCTACTTTTGGTCTTTGATGATGGTGATGTACAGATGGGTTTTTGGTGTGGATGTCCTTTCTGTTTGTTAGTTTTCCTTCTAACAGAGGGGACCCTCAGCTGCAGGTCTGTTGGAATACCCTACCGTGTGAGGTGTCAGTGTGCCCCTGCTGGGGGGGTGCCTCCCAGTTAGGCTGCCCGGGCGTCAGGGGTCAGGGACCCACTTGAGGAGGCAGTCTGCCCTTTCTCAGATCTCCAGCTGCATGCTGGGAGAACCACTGCTCTCTTCAAAGCTGTCAGACAGGGACATTTAAGTCTGCAGAGGTTACTGCTGTCTTTTTGTTTGTCTGTGCCCTCCCTCCAGAGGTGGAGGCTACAGAGGCAGGCAGGCCTCCTTGAGCTGTGGTGGGCTCCACCCAGTTCGAGCTTCCGGGCTGCTTTGTTTACCTAAGCAAGCCTGGGCAATGGCGGGCGCCCCTCCCCCAGCCTCGCTGCCGCCTTGCAGTTTGATCTCAGACTGCTGTGCTAGCAATTAGCGAGACTCCGTGGGCGTAGGACCCTCCGAGCCAGGTGTGGGATATAATCTCGTGGTGCGCCGTTTTTTAAGCCCGTCGGAAAAGCGCAGTATTCGGGTGGGAGTGACCCGATTTTCCAGGTGCCGTCTGTCACCCCTTTCTTTGAGTCAGAAAGGGAACTCCCTGACCCCTTGCGCTTCCCAAGTGAGGCAATGCCTCGCCCTGCTTCGCCTCGTGCACGGTGCACACACCCATGACCTGCGCCCACTGTCTGGCACTCCCTAGTGAGATGAACCCGGTACCTCAGATGGAAATGCCGAAATGACTGTCTTCTGCGTTGCTCACTCTGGGAGCTGTAGACTGGAGCTGTTCCTATTCGGCCATCTTGGCTCCTCCCCTCACACTTTTCATTAAATTCAAAATATTTTCTCATTTTCCTTATGGCTTCCTCTTTGACCTTGAGGTTATTTAAAGCTGTATCGTTCATTTGAAAATATTTGAGGGTTTTCCGGAAACTTTTCTGTTACTGATTTGGAGTTCTATTTTATTATGGTTTGGGAGCATTCTTTGTATAATTTTAATTCTTTTAAAATTGTAAAGATTTGCTTTGTGATCCAAAACATGATCTAACTTTGTGAATATTCCATATGAACATATATATACATATATTCTATATATATGTTTGTGTGTATATATACACATATATATGTATATACCTGTGTGTGTATATATATATATATAGTGTTGTTGTTAAAGTTTTCTATAAATGTTACTTAGGTAAAGTTGGTTTCTATATTCTTACAGATTTTCTATGTATTCTACTTTTTCTGTTCATTACCAAGAGAGGAGTGTTGCAGTCTCCAACTGTAATTGTAGATTTGTTTATTTCTCTTTCAATGTGTATTCATTTTTGGTCTCATTTATTTGAGGTTTGGTCATTAGATACATGCATATTTAGGATTGTTATGCCTTTTTAGTGAATTGGCTCCTCTGTCATTTTGTGATGTCCCTTTTTACACTTGTAGTATTCCTTGTTCTGAAGTACGCTTTGTCTAATATTAATATAGCTACTGCAGGTTCATTGTGACTAACATTTTCGTGGAATCTTTCCCCATCTTTTAGCTTTAATCTTTTCAGTATGCTTACAATTAATGTGTGTTCTTATAGATAGGACGTAATTGGGTTTCACCTTTTAATCCAGTATATCAATCTACCTTTTAATTGGTACATTTGGGCCATTTATTTTTTTTAAACAACTTGCCACATATTTAATGTAGAATATACTGACCATATTTAAAATGCACATTTAGAAAATTTTTGACAAATGTCTATATCCATGAAACTATCACCACAAACAAGTATGAGTATATCCATTACCTCTAAAAATTTGTTTCTTCCTCTTTGTAATCCCTCCCACTGGTTTCTCTCCACCTAATTCTATCCCCAAGTTACTACTGATTTTCTTTTTGTCACTATCGATGAGCTTGTATTTTCTAGAATTTTATGTAAATGGAATCATACAGTATGTATTCTTTGTTGGTCCAGCTCCTTACATACCATTTAATTATTTTGAGATTCACCATGTTGTGTAGTTAATAGTTTATTCCTTACTCTGATAGGATTTTGATTGATTTGCCTTTTATTTATAAAATAAGGAAATCAGTATAGATAGAACTGACATCTTAACAACACTGGGACTTCTAACCAATGCTCATACTCAAGCTTCCTTTAAATTCTAACAGCAATGATTCATGATTTTCAGTAGTATATAGTTCCTGCACATCTGTTGTCAGATTTCTCTCTAAATCTGAATATTTTTATGCTGTTTAAGTAGTATTACTTCATTTTCCAACTGCTTTTTGCTACCAAAAAATCCAAGTTGCTTAGCTATATTGAATTTTATATCCTGCATCCTTTCTAAGCTTCCTTATCATTTCTAGTAGTTTTTGGTAGGTTTGATTACATTTCCTACAAATATGGACATACGGTCATCAAATAAAGATAATTTCTTCCTTTCTTTAAAATCTGGATGAATTTTATGTCCTTTCTTGCCTTACTGCACAGGCTGTAACTTCAAGTACAATGTAAAGGAGAAATGGTAAAATCAGACATGCTTTTCTGTTTCTGACCTTAAGGTAAAAGCATTTGGTCATTCATATAGACCATTTATTTTTAATGAAGTTACTGATATTATTGGCTTGAAATCTAGCACTTTTCTAGTTGATTTCTGCTTGTTCATCCTCTTTTTTTTCTGTCTTTTATATTGACTATTTTATGATTCCATTTTTTTCCTGCTATTGGCTTATTGTTTATATACTTTTAAGCTTTTTTTTGTATTGGTTGCACTAAGGTTTACAGTATACATCTTTAATTGCTCATGTTCTATCTTCAAATAATATTAAATTGCTTCAGGTGTAGTGTACTTACCTTAGGATAATATAATCCCAATTCCTGTCTCTTGTTTTAGCCCAGTCAGTATTTCTTCAGTGTATTTTTTGACTCATTTTCTCTTTACTCAACTCTGGGATTCTAAATACTTGTTTGTTAGACTACTTGGTACTATTTTACTGCTTACTGAGCTTCTGTTCATTTGTGTTTTAACCTTGTTTTTCTCTTTGTTCTCTAATTTGAATAATTTCTATTGACCTGACTTCAGGTATACTGATCCTATCTTCTGTTGCATTCAGTCTGCCTTGAATATATAACACTCAGTGAATTTTGGATTTAAAATATTTTATTCTTTCTGTTTTAAGATTTGCATTTGGTTCATTTATATAGTTTACATATTTCTGCTGGAATTCCCCGTTTCATACCTCAGTATAGCCACTTTCTAAAGTTTAATTAATATATAAATATATTATTTAATATACTATATTATAAAGTATAATATATTACCATTATCTACTAACTCTAATACCTGGGCCAGATGTTGGTCTATCTTTAGATTGATTCTTCTGTTGACTATTTTGTCACATTTTACTATGTGACACAATTACTGTACAAGTTTCTTCACATGCATAGTCAGTTTTGTACTTTGGATATTGTGGATGGTACATTGTAGATGTCCTGGATTCTGTTATATTCTTCTAGAGAATGTTGAGTTTTATTGTAGCATGTGTTTAAATTACCAGTGGATCTTCTTGTGCTTTTGGTGGCCTGGTTTTAGGCTTCAGAAGGTGATTTTGTTTCGTTTTTGCCTCTAGCCCTGGAATATGATATTTAGTTCTTAAAACTTTTCTCCTTTATCATGTACAGAATTTATCTGTACTAGTTAGAACTGATACACAGGTGTTACATTTCTGGATTTTTGAATTTTAACTTTTAGAGTTTAAACAAGTCTTTTTTATATAAGAAACATGCTGATTAAAGAGAGTTGGTGTCAAATCCAAAGAATCATTGCTCAGACTACTGCTGCATAATTTTTCCCCTGTGTTTTCTGCTAGTAGTTTTATAGTATCTGGTGTTACATGTAAGTCTTTAATCTATTTTGAGTTGATTTTTGTACATAATGTGCGATAAGGTCCAGTTTCATTCTTTTGCAAGTGGATATCCAGTTGTCCCACACCATGTGTTGAAGAGACTGTCCTTTTCTCAGTGTGTATTCCAGTAAAAATCAGTTGACCATATTTGTACAGGTTCATTTCTGGGCTCTTTATTCTGTTCCATTAATAGATGTGTTTATTTCTTTGCCAGAATCATGCTGTTTTAATTACTATAGCTTTGTTGTATAGTTTGAAATTATGTAGTATGGTGTCTCCAGCTTCACTGATTTTTACTTATGATGGCCTTGGCTGTTAGGGACTTGTGGTGATTTCTCATGAATTTTGGAATTTTTTTTCTATTTCTACGGAAAATGAAATTGGAATTTTGATAGAGATTGCATTTAATCTGTGGATCAGTTTGGGTTGGATGGACATCTTAGCAATATTGATTTTTCCAATCTACAAAAACAGGATATTTTCCATTTTTGGTGGCTTCTTTAGTTTCTTTCATCAATGTTTAATAGTTTTAAGTGTACAGGTCTTTGACCTCCTTGGTTAAATTTACTCCTAAGCTTTTTTTGTGGCTATTATAAATGGGATTGTCCTCCTCATTTCTTTTTTGAATAGTTCAGTGTTAGTGTACAGAAATGCTAAAAACTACACATTGGTCTGGGCAATGTTTTTTTAGGTTTGACCCCAAAAGCATAGGCAACAAAAGCAAAAATAGACAGATGAGATTGTGTCAAACTAAAAAGCTTCTTAACAGCAAAGGAAACAATTAACAGTGTGAATAGACAATCTACAGATTGAGAGAAAATGTTTGTAAGCCATATACCAGAAAAAGGGTCAGTATCCAAAATATTATAAGGAATTCAAACAACTCAACAGCAAGAAAACAAAACAAAAACCCCAGTTAAAAAGTGGACAAGGGACCTGAATCAACACTTTTCAAATGAAGACATAGAAATGGCCAATAGATCTATGAAAAACATGTTCAATATTAGTAATCATCAGGGTTATACAAATTAAAATGACAATGAGATATCATTTCACACCTGCCAGACTAGCTCTTATTAAAAGGATGAAAGATAACAAGTGTTGAGAAGGATGTGGAGAAAAGCGAAACTTTGTACACTTTTGGTGGGAATGTAAATTAGTACAGCCATTATAGAAAACTGTATGGAGTTTCCTTAAAAACTAAAAATAGAATTACCGTAAGTTGTAGCCATCCTACTTCCGGGTATTTACCCAAAAGATTTGAAATCAATTTTTTAAAGAGATATCTGCACTCCCATCTTTACTGCAGCACTTTTCATAATAGCTAAGTTATGGAATCAACCTAAGTGTTCATCAATAGATGAATGGATAAGGAAAATGCAGTATAAGCGCACAATGGAATACTATTTGGCATTAAAAAGAAGGAAATTCTGTCATTTGCAACATCATGGATGGAATTGGAGATCATTATTCTATATGAAATAAGCCAGACACAGAAAGACAAATACTGCATGTTCTCACTTATATGTGGAATCTGAAACAACTGAACTCATAGAAACAGAGTAGCATGGTGGTAACAGAGGCTGAGGTAGAGGGAGGAATGGGGAAATGATGTTTGAAGGGTAAAAAATCTCACACAGGAAGAATAAGGACTGTTTCTGGAGTTCTGTTGCACATCATGGTGAATATAGTTAATAATAGTGTATTGTACATTTCAAAACTGCTACAAGAATAAATCTCAAATGCTCTCACCATGAAACATGGTATTTGAGGTGATGGATTCTGATATGATTTGGCTGTGTCCCTGCCCAAATCTCATCTTGAATTGTAGCTCCCATAATTTCCATGTGTCATGGGAGGGACCCGGTGGGAGGTAATTGAATCATGGGGGTAGGTCTTTCCTGTGCCGCTCTCGTGATAGTGAATAGCCACTATGTAAGACGTCCCTTTGCTCTTCCTTCGTCTTCTGCCATGATTGTGAGGCCTCCCCAGCCACGTGGAACCGTGAGTCAATTAAACCTTTTTCCTTTATAAATTATCCAGTCTCAGGTATGTCTTTATTAGCAGCATGAGAATAATACAGATATGTAAACAATCTTAATCATTCCACATTTTATTCATAAATTATAACATCACTTCATGCCCCATGAATATATACCAGTATAAATTGTCAGTTTACAACAAAATAATTTTTTAAATTATAAGGTCAAGATTCCCCCCATCCCACCAAAAAAGAGGGTTAGCAATGGAGAGAGCTCATGGAAGAAGATAATGGCAATAGCTAACTGAAGTCTGTTAACAGCCTGGAGAAATGTGAGATTTTTTTTGTTAAGGAGGAAGCAGTGATGTGAAAGCCAAATATTTTAGTATTATATTGGGAAGGGATCTTAGAAATCACTTATGAGGTAGGAAAACTAAGAAGAGGGAAGGAACAAAACACTTCTCATGGTGATTTGCCCATTAATTTAATTTCACAATGGGAGTTCAATTCAAGTCCATTAACTTCTGAACCAGTTGGCTTTCTGGCATACCCTGTTATCTCCCACCTCCATTTTTTTCTTCCCCTTTATTGCATATTGATATTCTTTGTGTGGATCAAGTATACACTGAATGGGAGAATAGTTCTGATTTTTCTTGTGAGAGATTTTTTTCCTATTTAGAATACAAAATGCTTTGTTCATGTCATGCAAAATGAACAAAATCCTTTGTTCATGTAATGCAAGATGTCCAACCTTTTATAAAGTAATTCTCAATGATCAAAATTTTGACAAATCACCAAAAAAAAATCCATAGGAACAGTAATTTAAAAGTCTAAAACATTGCCTTTCATCCAGTGTTTCTGGAATACATCTGTCTCTCTTCAAACGTCTTCCTGGCTATAGGTCTCTACCACGGTACTCACACTATTCAGAGTGAATAATCATGCTATGTTGTGATAAGGGACAGTTGAATAGGGGTGGGAATTATTTGGAGCATTGATTTCAGAAGTCAGAACCCAAAGTATAGCAGACTACATGATTTGTTTAATTATTTCCCTGGTATATTAATTCAAAGCTACAAGATATATTATTCAGAAAGCTTAGATAGAGTCAAAGTAGGAAGGCATGAATTCAGCTTTTATTTCAGTCAGCAAAAATGTATCAAGCTCCAATTGTAGATCAGGCAGTGATACAGCTGATGTTATAGAGAGATTCAGAGAGGATTCCTTCTGGGGAGAACCCACCCCAAGGATATACGGTAAAAATGAGTACATAGAAGAGGACAGCAAGGCCACTAAGGAGGGATTTCATTGTTCTTTCAATTAATGATCCTGGAAAAGTTTCACTCCGGTTTTAGTTTCTCTGGTGGTCAGCAACTGAGACTATAGAGTAAAATACTGATCACTGAGATTTAGTTTTAAAAATACATATATATATATGTTTTTTTTAAATAGAAAGTTATTATTCCATGGTTCTTGGTGCTTATTAAAATGTGATTCCTATTCATTGCAGAAAATTGAAAAATAGAGAATTGTGTAAAAAATAAAACAAAAATCACATGCCAGCTCATTACTCAGAACTAAGAGGCAGAAACGTTACATGCTCAGGCTCTGAGGCCAAATGGCCTGGGTTTGAATCCCAGGTTCACATCTTATTAGCTCTGTGACTTTGAGCCATTGCCTCATCTGTAAAATCAGGATAAGTAGAAGGATTTAAACGGTGTGATACTTCCCCTCCCCGCCGCCGCTCTTTTTTTCTATGCAAAACTGGCTTCATATTTAGCTCAATTGTTTTCTTACCATTAACATGGTACACTTAACAAAAATATTTTGTTCATGTAATGCAAGATGTCCAACCTTTTATAAAGTACTTCTCAATGATCACACTTTGACTTTGCCAGATCACATAAAGGGAGATGTTTAACTTCCCAGTGAATTCTTTATACTTTTAAAGTGTACACTTTTATTCAGGCTTCCTGATGATTCATTCTGAGGCTATTCTATTTTGCTAAATGAACCCAACAATTCACATGGAAATTGTGAAAGACAGTATAAAAGATGATAGAAAATAGAAGATTAGAACTGTGAGTTCTAGGTAATGTTAAATTCTCCCTTCGATGTAGGGACAGATTCTCTTTTCTCTGTTTACCAGAGAATCATTACATTACTATTGCCCAAACACATTTCCACATGAGATGTTGTTGTATTGAAACAGGAGAGTTATCTGACCCCCCTCGCAGGAAGTGCAACAGGGGTGTGGCTTGTCTGTTCTGGCTGTGGCTGCTGCTCAAACCCCTTATGGGATGGGGAACATGCAGACGGGCAGGTGCAGGAGCCGGGGTGGACACTTTTGGGCTCCAGCCCCACGGTGGCAACTAAGGTTGTGTGGCTGAAACTCTGGAAGCCCCAGTGGGCATGCTACAGTGCTCTTTTAGCTCTGCTGTCCATAGACAGCTTAAGTATTAACCAGCTTAGTGCCCTCTTGGTACCCGGGTTCTTGTCCAGCATCCGAGAAGAATCAGGTCACATATGGACTTGAAGGATGGTGGATACGGGGATTTTATTGGGTGATAGAGGTGGCACTCAGTGGGATGGATTGGGGGGTGGAAAGGGATGGAATGGGAAGATGATCTTCCCCTGGAGTTCAGCTATCCCACACCCGTTCTCCTCTCCAACCGTCCCCAGCCAAACTCCTTTCAACATTCAGATGCTCCTTTTCTTCTCTCCTCTGCCAGGCTGCTCTTCTGTTTATCTGCTCGTCTGCTTGTAGAGCCTGAGGTTTGGGGTTTATATGGGTACAGGATAGGGAGCATGGTGGATCAAGAGGCAATATTTGGGTGCAAAAACAGGAATAACTGTTCCCATTTAGAGCCACCAGTTTCCAGGCTTGAAGGTGGGGCCTTTGTCAGGGACCTGCTGTCTCCTACGCAGTATTTACTTGCCTCCTGTCCATATCAGTATGATGGGTGAGATGGCAGGCTCTATTGCCTGAGAGCTGGAATCCAGATCATACCTATTAAACCTGTGCTATCTTAAAGCAAAATCAGGTCTAATTATTGAAGTTCCTCACAGAGTTGGGAAATGAGTCCATTTTAGGTAAAGACTATCATACAATGCCTGTATAGGGTAAGTGCTCAGTAAGTGGTAGACGATGTTGGTGGTGATGGTGATGGTGATGATAGTCACGATGATGGTGGTGATTAGTTATATAGAGTGTAAAGGATGAAACAAAGGTTAGCATCAAGCAGGTCTAGCTCTGTAGAGTTTTGATACTTTGAGATTTGATGTCTTTTTAGGATTTGGGAAAGTTGTTTAACTTAATGCTTGAGTGTCTTCATCCATAAAATGGAGAAAATGATATTTCTTTGAGTTGGTGTGAAGATTAAAGGGGAACTGCTTAGAAAAGGGTTTGGCATTAAGTAAACACTCCGTAAATGTTAGCTATTATTGTCATTATTTATAAGAAAAGACATTAATAGTTTCAGTGAAAATAGTTAACAAACTCCTTACTCTTCTTAAGGGGATTAGAAGAAAAATGGTTCATGTCATAATTAAGAAGATTTACTGAAGACCCTAGTACAAAGAAAAAAAAAACTTTGAAAAACTAAAATGATAGCCAAGTTTTAAAAATATCCTTTGTTGTGAGCTCTTTTGAGATTCCCTTCCTCTGGGATAAGAAAAGAAAACTGGGCCCCTCTTCCTTTTCATTCCATGGGGGTTTCTCTCCCATATTTCAAACACAAAATACCATTCCTTGCCATCTGCCTTGGGCTGACAATGCCAAAGAACCTCCTGTCCAGGTTGTTTTCAAGCTGTAGGTCGGCACCATAAATCTCAATAAATCCTTGTGGGCTGAGGATGAGTGGAAGTCATTATCATGGCTCTTACTGATGCATTCTGTCTACAACAGAATAAATACCACCATGGGACACTGCCCTGCAGGCAAAGCATCCTTCTGGCTTTTTGTGTGCTTTCTCCATCAGCAAGTCACAAATGGAATGCCTTAATGTGTCTATTGTATACATTTTTGAATAAATAAGTATAACAAAGAGAATATGCTGGTCCGATTTAATCTTAGCACTTAACTATGAAAACACAGCACATTTCCCACACTGGTGAAACGGAGCAGAAGAGGCCTATACCAGCTTGGTTCTTGGCAGGCCATCCAGGGTAAACCGGGTGTGAGCCATGCTTATGGCTTCTAGGGCTCAGCTCCCTAAAGCCTAGATTTTCCAACTGCAGGGTGATCAGGCAATGTAGTGGTGATGATACGGAATTTAAGAGCTTATCACTTGATATCCTTTTGTTTACAAATGACAGAGGCTCAACTCAAGCAAGCTTAAACAATACAGGGAAAAGTTGAGATGTAAGCTTCAGATAGGGCTTACTCAAGTTTCCCAAAGGTTAAGACCAAGATCCAGGTTTTCTCTATGCATTTCCCAGCAGGCATTTCCTTTCATGAGCACAGGAAAGCTGCCAGTGGCTCCTGAGGCTGAAAATGTGTTTGTTTTCATATGTTTGGAGTAGAGATAAGAATTCTGCGTTTCAGACTGATTGAAATAACTTAGGTTCAGTACCCATCTCTGAACCCATTGCTTTCTCCAGGGGAAGGAATTGTACCAATCCGCTTAGGTCTAGACAGCATGCCTGGACAGGACTAGCTCCTCAGAAGCACCTGGGCTGCCTGAGGGAAGGGTGCAGTCCTTCCCAGAAGGAAGATATTTGTACCAAAAGAAGGGAGATTGGATATCAAAGAGAAACTTCTATAGAAGGTCAGACAGGGCTCTTTGTTTTCTGAAAGTGGTTGTGAACCTTGAAGAATGGTGAGAATAAACAAAAATTCTGGGCTGCTTCAACCTTGTACTATATTCTATGAAACCCATTTGCCAAAGAGCTTGTGCTACTTTGAATTATATTTTTATCTTTCATTTTTTGTTTGTTTGTTTTTTGAGACAGTGTCTTGGTCTGTTGCCCAGGCTGGAGTGCAGTGGCATGATCATAGCTCACTGCAGCCTCAAAGTCCTGGGCTCAAGTGATCCTCCTGCCTCAGCCTCCCGAGTAGCTGGGACTACAGGCACACATCATATCTGTCTTTTTTTTTTTTTTTGACATACAGCCTCACTATAAGTTTCCCAGGCTGGTCTCAAACTCCTGGGGTTAAGCGACCCTCCTTCCTTGGCCTCTCAAAGTGCTGGGATAACAGGCATGAGCCACCACACCTGGCTGTATCTTCTCATTTTCCATTGTTATTCAATGACGTGTAGAAAACAAAAAAAAGGAGGTCTCTGCCTTGCTCTCAGAAGTCTAGTAGGAAACAAAATTACCCAAATTACAAAACAAAATATTAATAGCTGTCTGTCTGCCTGGTTACCTAGAGAAAGATGGAGGAAAGGAAGACAGTAGCTGGCCTACTCACTATACTGTATTGATGATTAAATCAATTCCTACTGCCACCAACCTGTAGAATTGGAGGCGTCTGTCCTTACGGCTTTTGATTTGAGCTCCTACTGGGAAACCATTTGTTTTCTTATTTGTTTTGTTTATGGCTTCTTAATGTGTTTGACCTCTGCCTCCCATCTGACATTTACGGAAGTCTCTTATTGGATCTCACTTTTAGCTGCCCTAGAAGGTAACTCTTCCATTTGTTTTCCTGGGTTACAAAAAGAGAATTTTCTACACACTCCAAAGCTTACAGTTTTCAGACTATCCTTTGTGTAGCCTAGAGTGCTGATGTCTGTCCTAGTCATTTCCAGTGTAGCAGTACAAGGATGGCAAAGTCGCTGTGAGCATTTAATTCCACACACAAATAGAAAGCTGTGGATTTTATATGGGTGATACAGGTACCTACAACATGTCATGGGAGAATGGAGGAAGACATACTTCCCTTTGAGAAGGACGGCTTAATGGAGAAAGTGACATTTAATAAGTCTTTTATAACTGAATTGGGGTTCTCCAAAGGTATGGGAGGAGGTGGCTTCAACACTCAGAGGCTTGCTGGTCCCCGAACCAGCAGCATCAGTATTGCCTGGTAGAAGGTGAGAAAGGCAGAATCATAGGCCCTACCCTAGACCCACTGAACAGAAACTGGCATTTCAGCAAGATCCTCAGGTCATCCGTAAGCATACTCAGCTTAAGAAGCACAATTCTAGACCAGACAGTCTCAGCCTTGAAGGATGTTGGAATCACTCCAGAAGCTTAAAAGAAAAAAAAAAAAAGATGCCTTGGTCCTTCTTGCAAGGATTCCAATATAATTTATGTTAGGCATGGCCATCAGTAGAAAAAAAAATGCAAAATGAAACAAAACAAAATGCTCTTCAGGTGATTCCAGTGAGCAACCAAGGTAAGAATTAGAGCTCCATCTGGGTCTCAGCACTATGAGAGAAGCAGCATGGTGCACTCAGGGGCTCGTGGGTAGGTCAGCAGCCTGGATGTTGGACAGGAAGGTGGCTTTGGGGCTGGGATGGTTGAACACGTCAGGCTGGAGAGAGAGCCAGGTAGAACATAAAGGCCCTGTTTGCTTCACTCAATGCAGACCATCGGGTAGATGACAGGGGCTGTGGAAAGGTGTAAAAAGAGGGATGGGGTGTCAGCCTTGCACTTGGGAAGGACCACCTCAAGAATGGGCCGTGGCAGGGAGACCAGTTGGAAGATAAGCCTAACATTTTGCAGATTAGCAGGGTTGGCTTCATAATTGGCCAGGCCCAGTGCAAAATAAAATTGTGGGCTGCTTGTTTAAAAAGCAAGAAAAATGTATTCTTAAAGGTACTAAAAGGTAAAACTTTTTCCTTCTTTCTGTGGTCTCTCTTGACTGTTCATGATTTTTTTATTTGCCATTTTAATATTGTGCTCCTTCAGACACAGGGCTGCACATTGGCCCAGTGCTTAAGGAGCCCTGCCCAGTTACCTGGTGGGGTGCGCAGCTCAGCAGCCGCAGGGCTTCTCCCTCCCACTAGCCACAGGACCGAGGTGCTGTGTCCTGGCTGGAGGAGGGGACTGAATCTCCCCTTGCCAGGGGCTTGCTGTCCCTACTCATGGGGCACAGCCAGTCTACAAGGGATTTCAATCTTTGCATCAAATACCAAATACTTAGTACCTGGATCAGGGTGGGCGGGAGGTTTGCCCCTGCTAAGTCACCCACTGAACATGCTGTGGCACTGCCAGTCACTCCCAAGCCTTGACCCTCTGCTTGCCTGGCCCAGGCCCAGCCAGGTGCCGGTGAGGTGGGGGGCAGGGCTCTAGTTGCTGGGCTGAGTGCAGGAGGGGAATAGGTAGCTGGGAACACCCTGGGGAGATGGAGGAGAGTGCAACTGTACATGAGGCAAGCCTCAACCACCCCCTCCTCACAGCCCTCCTCTCTCCACTCCTGTGCATGCCCCATTGGCCTCTGGACTTCACTTATAAAACACAAATTCAAAGACACAGTTAAGAATTTTAAGACAGCCATGCCTGCAGAACACTGAACTCCAAGTGACCAGCCCTTCTGAGAGTAGGCCCCTCTGCAACTACACTGGTCACACCCATAAAGCTGGCCCTGCAGGATGGAGATGGGAGGATGGATTTGAGAGGCATTAAGGACATAGTCAAACCAGAGCATGGCAATGTTCAGGGAGGAAGATGTTCAGAGTTCATTGGAGATCTCTGGCTGTGTGACTGCATAGAGGGTAACACCATTAAGATATATAGGGAAACGGAGGAAATTATTATGGGGATGGGGGCAGGGGCAAGCTTTAGGGACCTGAGAACACTTCCTTCGTTCCAACAGAGAATCATCTGTCTTTTCTCTGATTTAATTGCATAGGCTGGTACTTTTAGAACAAGGTTAAATAACAGAGGAGAGTGAGCCTCCTTGCCTTCTTCTGACTCTAATTAGCCTGCTCTGAGTGTTTTATCCTAAGCATGATGCTAAATTTGATTCACAAAGGGGTGCCTACTTCTGTTCTTTTAAGGATTGTTTTCAGGGATGGGATTTCTGTCCAGTGTCTTTTAGGCACCTACTGAACAGATCCCACAGCACTGACTGTTTTCCCATGCTGTATAGGGTGTCTTACATGAACAGATTTTCTGGGATGTGAACTGGATGTCAAGTGGGGATTTTTTGTAGTCCCAGATTTAGGGGAGGACAAAGTGACACCATGCACCACAAGTTCTAGAGTTGGCTGGCACTAATTTAAAGTTGGAAATCCTACCCCAACCCCCTACTCCCACTCCAAGCTTATTTGGCTTAGAAAACGGGCCTGCCTTTTGTCTGCCATGTGAACACTGGTCAGGGCCTACCCAACAAGAATGTCAGTATTCATGCAAAGAGGTATTTCCTTCCAACAGACACTTTTACCCTTAGGCATGGGTCATGCTCCTGTGGTCCCAGCTCCTTGGGAGACTGAGTGGGAAGGATTGCTTGAGCCCAGGAATTCAAGGCTGCAGTGAGCTACGATTGCACCACTGCACTCCAGCCTGGACGACAGAGCAAGACCATGTCGAAAGAAAGAAGAGAGAGGAGGGAGAGGGAAGGAGAGGAGAGGAGAGGTGGGGGGAAGGGAAGGAAAGGAAGGAAAGGGAAGGAAAGGAAGGAAACGAAAGAAAAAAAAATTGTTTCATGTTTCTATTTTCATTAAGCTGGGACCACTCAATAATCTTGTTCACTTGCATTTCTAGGCCAATCCTCACTGTGGCATGCTATGTTGCTTTTTCAATGTCCTGCTGAAGTTTAGTTACTACATTTCATTTGAGATCATTGCATCAATAATCATAAGGAGAAAATATTTGTGTATTTCTCTTCCTGTCCACCTCCCTCCTACTGTCTCATAAGATGGCTATCCAGTTATGCTAGAACACATACAAAATAATTAAGCTTTCCTTTTAATTTAAACAGTCACCAAATGTTTGCTCTCAACTTATGGGCCCAGGTCCATGTAGGGAAACCTGGTGCTTGCTGGGGCAGGGCAGGTGGGGGATAGGGCCACTTTCCACCTCCAAGGAGAACAGGATCCTGGTGGAGAGCCACAGTCACGTGCTCCATCCAGCCGGGGAACAGGACACTGTGAACAGGGCCAGTGCCAAATTCAGTAGCTCCCTGGGACCGACTCATTGGCTTTCATTTTATCTTTGGATAAAATCTGGAGAATCTATATAAAGGGTAAAAATCTATAAAGGGTGAAATACCTCAGTCTAGGGTCAAAACGTTTTAAGATTCTATCCTGACCAAATATTTTTCAAGCTACAGTTTTGTACCCATTTAATGAAAGGCAAGCCAAACAAGCTCTCCACATGTGCAATCCTGTGGTCCTCGGGGGATCTTATCCCTGCGTTCCTCCCCATCCCGCGTGCTTGTTTGGAGGGAGTATGAGGGAGGCATGGTGATCGCTTTCATCATTTGCTCAGGAAAGCCCCTCTCGGAAGATAGTGTGCGGCAAATACTCTGTCTTGTCACGGGAGGCTGTCTTGAAATCGCATCATCTTTTTCCCTCCAGTTCTTCCTCTGTCTGTAGTGAGTGGGAAAGGGAGGACTGGATTATTTCAGTTCTGGCAATGGACACATCAAAATTGCTTCCCTCTCCCAACTCCCTTTCCCTCGAGGACCTAATTTATTTCACGCATTTTGACCTATCCCTGCTTAGAAACAACCGCTGTGATTCTCTGCTGAGGCATTTCCCTCCTCGCCTTTTTTGGCCCCCAGGCAAACCCACCAGGCCACAGCCCCTCTGACTATGATGTCAGCCTGGCTGCTGGGCCCAGCTGGATGGAGGTGTGTTTTATGAAGTTCAACCCTGCACCCTGGGCCATAAATACACATTGTACACATAAATGTACAGCTAACATTGCCCAGGCCCCTCCGAAGCACCATGTTAATAAGCAGACAGTAAGTCTTTAAAATATGGAAAAGTAGTTAATCTTTCCGCTGGCAATCTTTTGTAGCGGGGGGGGCTTTTCTCCTCTCAGTGTAGCTGCTTTCAGGGCTTTTCAACTCCTAGGATTTGGGAAAGAAAGAAGGAAAGTTGGCTGTGGGACTTTGAAAACAATGCTATCTTGCATTTGCTGTCATTAAGCATCTGCACTGAGTGATCACTCTGGGTCTGTCCTCAAGGAGTTTGAGCTCTAATCGTTCCAGCACGAGACAGACAGTCTGCTGCCTGTGGCAAAAGAACCACACTAGCCTGGGCTCCGGAGGGCTGCAACTTTGGGTTTGAACCTCTGCTCTGCCCCGGTTACTCTAGGTACTTAGTTTTTTGTTTCCCTATCTGTAAAATGGGCATAATTTTATCTTATTCATATAGCTGTGGTAAGAGTTTACTTATCCTCGTTGAGTTTCAGTTTTCTCTTTTGTAAAATGGGCTTGACCCTCACAGTTCACTTTATACTTGTTTTAAGAAGACATTAATACATTCTCCTTGTAGAGAACTTCAGGGTTACAGATGGAGTTCAAGTGTCCCTTGACAGTTACTCCCTGTCACAGTCCTTTCTTCAGAGGTAACCACTGTTGCTGGTGTGGTGTGTAACCTTCCTGACCTTTATTTATACATCCATGCATTAGATACATACATACATACATACATACATACATAAAGACAGAGCGATAGATATATAAAGAATTTATAGAAATGTGTCTTTTTTTTGTACTCACTTTATGTATAAATGCCAACTACTTACCAGGCAAGTAATCCTAGAGGTTACAAAACAAAAAGCCTTACCAAGAAATTAAGATGCTCAAATCACTTGGCTGATTGAATTCATTTAAAGCATATGGCTAGAAGCAAGGGGAAAGAGGACGGAGGATCTCCCTCCCTGTAACCTGTGTTATGCACTGTTCCTCTATTCTCCTCTTCTCTCTCCCATCTTCCCTTCCTTTCCCTTCCCTTGTCTCCACCCTCTCCTGCTCTGTCTCCCACTGATGGTGTAGCGAGGAGGACCACACTTGAGGGTCCTCAGTCTGGAACAGGGCCTAAGCAGGCAGAAGGTGCCTGCAGCCAGCACACACTTGCCTTATTGGAGAGGTGCAAGGGCAAGTGTGTAGCTTGCCTGTAACCTCCTGAGCAGCCACACATTTATCTGTGTGTCTCAGGCAGAGAATGGATGTTGCCAGTGAGTTAATTTAAGGATGAGCCAGGAGAGAGCTATCATCAACCTAGAGACAACAAGGTCTGTGCCTTAAGAATTGAGCGCATTTAATTTTACGTGGTCCTTCCCTTCCTTCTTCTCTATAGGAAGACACTTCATATGTTCTTCCTTTACTATTTCTGTTCAACTTGCATACGCTCTACTTATTGAGTCCATTTACTCTAGTCTAACATGAGTCATGGGTCACTTAAGTGCTATCTATACCTAATACATCTTATAAGTTTTATCCATCTCATTTATTTTTCTTGTTTCTCTGTAGCAGAATTAAATATTCTTAAATAGTCCTAAATATTCTTAAATACTGGTACTTTACGTATAGTTTTACAACATTATTTTCCCACTCAACGTCTTGGGTCTCCTTTCATGACAGTAAATAGAGATCCTCTTCACCCTGTCACCTGGTGCCAAGAAGACCACCGAGTGGACATATTCTTGCTTATTCAATCATTGCCCCATTGTTGGACATTTAGGTGGGGTTTTTGCTTTTTCTTTCTTACAGTGAACGTTGCTACCAAGAGCATCTTTGTACATGACTTCTTGGGTTCTGAACATGAGTTTACTTTACTGAGAAGTAAAACTACAGAGAAATAGGGTGTAAAAGATTTCCACTATAATAATAACAAATTGTCCTCATAGTAGCTATAAGTTTCACTTTCCCACCTGTGGTATAGAAGAGTATTCATTTCTTCAGACTTTCTCCATTATTTGATATTATCATAGACTTAAATTTTTACCCATGTCCTAGTCAAATCATTATTTTCACTTATACTTCTCTAATTTTTAGTGAGATTGAACCCGCTTTTACCTATTTGTTACTCATCTGTGTTTCCTCTTCTATGAATTGTCTCACGAGTTTCGATGCTGGATATGGCAAGCAACTGCCCTTCCCTTTTTTATAAAACCCAATCTTTTATGATTGTCCAGACTATTCTCTATATTTACTCTTCTGAAAGAATCCTAGAATCATGTTCTCAAATTCCATAAAATATCCTATTTTTATTGAAATTGCTTTGAATTAAAAAGTTAATTAAGAGAGAAATGACATATTTAAAATATGAGTGTTCCTTTCCACCACCATTGTACTTCCCTCCAATTTTTAGCTAGTATTTTTATGTTCCTCAGTAAATTTGCATCATTTTCTTCATTAAGGCATATGTTTTACTAGATTTATTCTTGGGCCTTTTATACTGATTATTGATACTATCAATGGTTCTTTATTTCACAAATATTTTTCGTTGGTTATTGCCAGTGTCAGGCTGTGGTTTTATATGCTGATTATGTAACTAGCCAGCTTGCTGAGTTCTTTTATTAGTTCTAGTAGTTGGTCAGTGGGTTCATGTGGGTTTTCTATGAACACAGCAATATCTGTTCTCTGGGTGATTGATTGGGTAGAATTCACCTGGGGGTAGATTCTCAATGAGCATTTCAGTTTTGTTCATGGCAATTGGTCTGCTCATGATTTTTATAGCTTGGCCAAATGTAGATAATTTATGCTTTATCCCCAAAGGCGTGTTTTCTCTTAAGTTCTCAGATTGTTTACAATGCTATACATAATGGTCACCAAAAAATGTTGAAAATGCTCCCGTATCTTACAGGTTATAATGATACTTTGTGACTTAATTTCTTGATCATGAGTGCCAAAGTTAATTTATGTCAGTAAGCTTTTAAACCAGAGTTTGATTCTGTTGGTTATCTTCACAGTTTAATTTTTTATTCTTCTGCCTTTATCATTTCAAGTTCTGTCACTGACTCAACAAATACTTACTGAGAAGTTGCTCTATCCCAGGCACAACCCTAGGTGCTAGAGATAACTCACAACCTCAGGCAGTCAGGTGCAGCCCTGTTGCCTTGGAAACTACAGTCTTTTATGAGGGGCAGACAGTAAACAAGCAAGGAAGAAG
Source organism: Homo sapiens (assembly GCF_000001405.40). Lineage (NCBI taxonomy): Eukaryota > Metazoa > Chordata > Mammalia > Primates > Hominidae > Homo > Homo sapiens. Next base: position 55,070,202 of record NC_000003.12, read on the forward strand.
AGGCAGAAGGAAAGTGGTGAAGTCATTGGTGTCCTTGGCAATAACTGATTCAGTTGGAGTGATGAGGACTACAGCCTTGTTGGAATACAATTTCTGAAGGAGGGAGATGTGTGAAGAGAGAGAGTTGGAGGGAGAGAGAGAAGGATTATAGATAATTATTTTTAGGAGTTGTGCTATAAGGAAAAACAGAGAAATGGGGTGGTTGCAGGAGGGAGGGTTAAGAGACAGTTTTGTTTTTCCTGAGCTGGGAGATGTGACAGCATGTTTGCCAACCTCCAGGAAGGGCTAGTAGATGAGGGGAACCATTTGTGCAGCGGTCACCTATCTCTTCTTTTCCACCAGTCACATCCTTGAAGAAGCCTGAAAGATAGGCTTTGCAGAGGGACATTAATACTCAATCCAGTGGACAAGGGGGAAGACAATGTATAGGGCACAGGTGCAGGTTTATCTTCTTATTTTTCCAGCTTCTTGATTTGAAAACTGAGTCAAATATTTGCGACCTTTATTTATTTTTTCTGATGAAAATGTCTAAGGTTCTACCGCACAAATGTGAATCTGGGCTATTATCAAATCTCAAGGATTGATGAAAGGTGTTTTTTAACTTTTAATTTTCACTGTTTATATCTTTTTGGTATTCATTTCTAATTGGACTCTACCATAAAAGAAGAATGTGTAATCAGTACTATAGGTTCTTTGGAATGTGTTGCAGTTCCCTGTGTTTGAAAATAATTTATATTCTGTGCTGTTTATATCTGAAGAGTTTTGGGTCCATATTTTTAACAGATCATGCTTTCAGAAATCCCTTTTGTTATTTCTTTCAGTTAGTATACTGTGATCATTATGTGACTAAAGAATCATATTTTATCTTGTTAGTGGATTATAATACTTTTTGGTATGAACTCTTATTTACTATATTTTAATGATATTTATTTTACTCTGAATATCTGTATATTACTGCTAAACCTGAACCTGTTTCTTTTTTTGTTAGCATATTTTTGATATATTTTCCCCTTCTCCTGTGTCATTCTGTTTTAGGAGTGTTTGTGGCAAACAAACATCATAATGTTTATAAACCCAATTTAAGAGTCTTTGCCCTTTTAATATGTGAATCTAACAACCTCACAGTTATTGTGATTGGTAATAATTTTAGGCTTATACTGGCAGTCATGTGTCTGTAGGGGGTGTTTAATTTCTCATGCTATCCATATTGATCAGGTTTTAAATACTTTTTAATATTTTTCAATGATTATTCCTAATTTGAAAATATAATTTTCTATAAATATCTACAGAGATTTAGAATATAGACACTGGCATACCTTTGACTGACTCTCTTTTTTCCTCAGAACTTCTTTAAATATTTTACTCTGTTTCTTCATCTTCAGTACTCCCATTGAGCAACTGGTTTTATTCTCATTCTAAGTAATTTGTTTCTAGGGAAGCTTTTAGGATTGGTCTGTATCTTTGATGATTGATGATAGGAAGTTTTTTACTCATGTTTCAGTGGGCTCACTCATTGAAAAGAATTGGATTTGTTTTTTCAGTGCAAGAAATATTTTCTCCTTTGGATCTTTTATGTCATATTTTCATCTCTTCTCCTTTATTGTTCATCTGGCAGACACACTTGGCTTAATCTTCTAGTCAGCCATTTGTTCTTCAGAGTGTTTTGTGATCTTGGTTTTGTACTTGTCTTTGAGACTCTGTTAACCTGCCGCCTCAAAGGTGGAAATTGTTGGTTCTCTGATGAGAGCTAGCTATCTCAGGTAGAATATATTTATGTTGATGGGCAAAATCCATTCAGTAGAGGCCAACTGCTGGAGTAACATTCTTGCATAGGCAAGAAAGAGTCTAGTGTTAAAGAGGGAAGGTAAAGAAGATACAGACAGATATAGATGAAATTAATTAGCAAAACAGCAAGACTGAATATTTTTCTGAGGCCAGATATAGTTCTAGACAAGAGTAGGAAGAGCAGAGAGTAGGTGTCCCAGTGTGGATAGTGGTTAAGGCATTGAGGAAACATCTTTGCACAGTGGCAAGCCCTGTGAACATAACTGTGGAATATTAGATGGGCATTGGGCATTTATAGAAAAGAAAGAAACCAATTGTGTTGCAGTCTCTCTGAGAGGCATTCATGGATCATTCTCATGGATCATTCAACATATGAGGTGGCAACAGGTTAAAAAAGGGGGAGTCCCTTTCCCTTCTTTATAACGTCCCATAAAGCAGAAGAACTTTTCTTCATTGCATGATTTTAGTTCACCATGGTGATATACTCAAAAGAATGGAACAAATTTATTGCGAGAAAGGCAAATGAAGATAAAACTTTGGAGAAACTGACAATTTTGTTAATTTCCATTTGTTAAGTTAAAATCTATTAAACTGAATTTAATGAAATATTATGCGATAGGGGTTCTAACCCTGGAGTTAAATATTTAGCTAATCTGGTTCTGGAAGAATATGAGATTTTGATCCCTCATTTGTTCCTCCAAAGAAAGAGTCAGTAGTGTTTTGTGTTTGTTAAAGGATTATTTTATAGTGTCTTTCTTTGTCACTTCACCATGTTGGGCAATGTGAGAAGGAGGCACTGCCAAGCTTGTTTAAGTTGGACTAACTATCCTGATGGATCAGAAGGTCAGAGCAGATATACAGCCTTGGCTCTTTCTTATAGAACTTGGGCTCTGGGAAGTGTGGGACCTCATAAATGACTAGCATTAATCTCATTCAAAACACTGTTCCTGTATACTGGGCAGACGTTGTGCAAAGCAGTATAAGGAAGGCTCTAAGAAGTTCACTATCTCTTTTGCCATTGGTATGACATAGTTTCAGTCTATCGTTGAGGGAAGGAGGAGAGAAAACGCCACTTAGAGGAACATCAAATGTAACTTGGGGTAATGTTTAGGCTCTGGGAGAAGGAAATTAGGCTTTGAAAGTCTGACCTCTTAAACCTTGGGAACAGGTGATTCAGCCAACTCTGACTCTTGTGTTTTGTACATACAGCACTTCAGTCTTTCCAAGGTGAGTTGTATGAGCCGCATGTCGTCATAGCTATTGTTGTTTTCCTAGTGAAGCTAGGTATTTGTAAGTGAAGAGCCTCATGGAGAAAGAAGGTAACATTAGTAGTAAAATAGTCTCCAAAATTTGCTTTACAAAATATGGTAGTTGCTACCACCCAGGAGAGAAGTCTTCCTCATGGCTCTTTAATTGACGGATGGTAAATGACTGCCTCGCTACCTCTTGTTCCAACAGGTCCTTTGTCATCCAGCAAATCCCAAGCAGCAACCTGTTCATGGTGGTGGTGGACAGCAGCTGCCTCTGTGAATCTGTGGCCCCCATCACCATGGCACCCATTGAAATCAGGTATATCCTTTTGTGTGCAGGTCCACTCACTACCACGGAAACCAGTAAGGGGTATCAGTGGTAAGGAAACCTGGGGGAGAAATATTAGAGAAGGAAAATTACATCCTTTCCACTGTTGGAGAGAGAGAGTAGTTAAGAGAGTTGTCATTGCCAAATTTTGACCTCTGAAATGCAGAGTAGAAAAAAGCAATCCTTGGAAACATGCCTTAACTACAGTCAACATAATGAATCCCTTAAGTGTGAACGTCTAAAGGCCCAGAAGATCAGAAGGCGCCCAGAATCTTGTCATGGCTTCCATCCTGAGGTAAGTCTGAGAACTGTTCCTGTTTCCTTTTCCCATCAGAATCACCACGAGAGTCTCACACTGGTCAAAGAACTACAGCTGAAAAGTTCACTCATGAGAAAATAATCCCTTTCATTCAGTAAACTGAATCTGCACCATCATCTAGGTCCCAGAAGACTTCGTTCTTACGTTAGAGAGGGGGAGAGAGGTCTGGGGAAAGTTGAAGGTGTCCTGGAGTCTATTTCCGTCTAACCAACCCCTGCCTTTCCCCATAGGAGAATGCAAGGGAGTGTGGGGGTGCGCCGAGTCTCCAAGCCCAGACAGTCCTCCTTCTGCTCCCTCTGCTTTTGATGCTCTTCTCAAGGTGACACTGACTGAGATGTTCTCTTACTGACTGAGATGTTCTCTTGGCATGCTAAATCATGGATAAACTGTGAACCAAAATATGGTGCAACATACGAGACATGAATATAGTCCAACCATCAGCATCTCATCATGATTTTAAACTGTGCGTGATATAAACTCTTAAAGATATGTTGACAAAAAGTTATCTATCATCTTTTTACTTTGCCAGTCATGCAAATGTGAGTTTGCCACATGATAATCACCCTTCATCAGAAATGGGACCGCAAGTGGTAGGCAGTGTCCCTTCTGCTTGAAACCTATTGAAACCAATTTAAAACTGTGTACTTTTTAAATAAAGTATATTAAAATCATAATCTCCGTGTTTGGATTTTATCATCACTTTATTGCTAAGAACACCAACTGAAAACAATGCATGGGGGAAAAGGTCCCCATTCCAGAAACCAGGAAATGATGGCTGTTGGCAGAGCCTTTGTTCTAAAGCAGATTCTAGGCACATATTTAACAACTGTTTTTAGATGCTTCACTCACTCTCAGTTATAAAAATATTTATAGAAGTATATCAAAATATCATCTACATGGGAAGAGTTTATTACATAGAACCGTGAATTTTGTTGAACTAAACTTCAATGAAAATCATAATTTGGATGCAAACACAAGCTTTCATCATATTCAAGTGGTGAATTATTTGGGAATAGAAATAAAGAAGTCATAAATCCTAGGAATTCGGTCTGAGGAGACTTGAAGGAGGAAAAGAACAATGATTACAAATTTGGCTTCTGGCTTTCCCCATAAACAAGATATGAAATTAGATCTCAAGTATGATGAGATGAAACTACCCAGACATGTAAGCAAGCATTTCTAAACGCTGGCTCTTGACCCAAAGAAAACAGATTTCACTGGATCATGGTTACTAAATAAAGTGAAATAATTTCCATGCCTAGGCAGAGTAGAGAATGCCTTACTTTATAGGACAGACGACATCTAAAAGTTATCCAGAGAATCCTACTTACTTACTTAAACTCTTTTAAAAAGGGGCACATTATCCTCTTGATATTTTAGAAAAACTGATGTCACTGTACTGCTTTATACTAAAATGATTCCACTACATTGTTTGTTGTTTGTTGTTATAACTTTTAAAATTAAATTACTATGCCTCCAGTGCTGTTTGTTTGTTCTCAACATCACAATACTGTAACAGGCAAACTTGCCAAACTTTCAACAGCCATGGAGCTATAGAATTGTGACAATTGATGTTACTCACTCTGTGCACTTGGTAAATGAATAAATTCATTTGTTGCTCATACAAATATAAAGATAGATATATTACATTTACACTGACACATTGATATCAGATAAGGAGCCACAATTTATTAAGCTGGAATGATTGATGATAAGACTCTAAACCCATAAAGTTACAAGTATAAAGACATTCTATTTACAAGTATAAAGACATTCTATTTATACCTAAGGTGATGACCAGAGGAAAATTGAGCTTAATACTGAGAGAGATGAATTTATCACAGATCTAGGTGATTTATAGGAAAATTATTTAGGTGATTTTAAAAGAGAGCAAGTTAGATGATTTATAAGAGAGAAATCATATTTTAATTAATTTTTAACAAAAATAACATCACATAACCTATGATTCTCCATTACAGTTCTTAAAAACTGGCAACAATAAGTCAAGCATATTATGTTATAATGCCCATAATTTAATGCAAATGATGCAAAATACATGTAATATAATTACGTATAATTCCACTCCCAGTCTCATTCTAAACGATGGAGTCATTTTTGTTAAACTGTTTATGGCATAAATATAGCATCCTTGAGTCACACTGCACCTCATGCCCTTGTCACGATTACATTCATGTAACTGACCCACCAGGCACCTCTGATTCGCTGTTCTCACAACAGCTTCAAGCAACTGGACCCTGTTTGTTTGTCTACTTTGAAATTGAATAATTTTCTCCAACTTAATGTGTCCTAAGCACAACTCACGATCCCCCTCCATTAAACTTTTTTCTTCCCACTGACGCAACTCCAACCCCAAACCTTGGGGCCACCCAATTTGCTCTTTCCCCCGCAACCCACCTTGCAGCAAGTCTCACGAGCTGTGCCCTTCAAACACCAAACCTGACCATCACTTTTCCCAGCCCCTCACTGCTGCCATCCTCTTCCCAGTCACCACCCCCGTCCCTGGTCTCTGAAGACCTATGTCCTCATTAGTCTCCTCTCTTCCACTGTCAGCGACCACCCAGTCCCACTCCACAGTCCGTTCTCCACACAACAACCAGAGCAGTTTTTCGGAAACAAATATCTGATCCTAGCCTTGCCCAGTACAATTAAAACAACATACACATCCCTTACTGTAGTCCACAGCAGGGGTTCTCTGAGTCTTCTGTGTGTTCGAATCACTCAGGGACCTTTCAAAAAATCTCTGGGGCAGGCCGGCCATGGTGGCTTATGCCTGTAATCCCAGCACTTTGGGAGGCTAAGGTGGGCGGATCACCTGAGATCAGGAGTTGGAGACTAGCCTGGCCAACGTGATGAAACCCTGTCTCTACTAAAAATACAAAAATTAGCCGGGCATGGTGGCAGGTGCCTGTAATCCCAGCTACTCGGAAGGCTGAGGCAGGAGAATCGCTTGAACCCGGGAGGAGGAGGTTGCAGTGAGCCAAGATCGCGCCACTGCACTCCAGCCTGGGCGACAGAGCGAGACTCCATCTCAAACAAACGAAAACTCTGGGGCAGAACCCAGGCATTTTAGTTTTTGTTAAAACTCCCCAGGTGATGTTAATATGAAGCCAGGTTGGCATCCGCTGAGCTGTGGGACCTACAGGGACTCGGCTAGACTCTGCCTCCCTTTCCCACACCATCCTGTGCTGCTCTGCCCCAGACCCGCTGTGCTCCATGGCTCTGCCTCCAAGCCTTTGAAAATGCCAGGCATGGTGCCCACTCAGGGCTTTTGTTTTTCATGTGCCTTCTGCCTGGAGGGCTCTGGACCCTGGTCTTCATGTGGCTGCTCCTTCCCAACATCCACGCTCCCTTCAAAAATTCCTTCCTCAGAGACCCCTGGTACAGCTGCTCTTCTCCCCTAGCCCCACTCCTCTGGTTTTACTTTTCCTTTACATCAGTATCTGGAATCATTTTATTTTCAGTTTCACCTACTGTATTCCAGCTCCATAGGTCAAGGACTCCTCTATCGTTCGTGACTTCATCTCCAGCTCCCAGAACAGTGCCTGGCCTATAATACAACTAAAACCACCAATAACAGTGACAAAGCTAGCACCTACTGTTTACTGTGATCTGACTCTCTCTGCCTGGTGTTATTTGAAGTGACTTCCATGTTTAACTCGTGGGATTTTCACAGCACACCTAGGAAGTAGGTGTGATTCTGATCATCATTATACACATGGAGAAATGGAGGCACAAGGGGAAAAGTCATGCTCCCAAAGGTCACATGGTTGGAAAAGAGCAGAGTTGGGATTAGAAGCCAGGCAATTTTGCTTCCGAGTCAGGGCACTCAGCCAATCAAGTACTTCGAATGGATGAATGAATTGCCAATAACTTTGTACTACAACATCTCCGCGTCTCCTACCCACTGATCTTATTGCCATCTCTCCAAACTGCTTGGCCTCCACTCCCTGCTCTCTAATACCAGCCTGCCAACTCACCTCCCTGAGTGCGGCTGCTATTCCTGTCCTCCCACTTCCAGGCCACTGTCTGCTGCCCAGCAGCCCTCCCCTGTCTTCATTTCTCCCCGTATCTCACTTAGAATACACAAGTCACATAACATTCTATGGCTACCCGAGCTGCTGAGCACATCTGGGCTGCCTAGCATACCTGGGCAGAGCAGTAAGCAGCCTGACATATTCTTTCCTGAGTCGACTTCTATCCCACTGTCCCCAACAAGTATTTCATAGTTTCTTCCCTCTCTTTAGGATATTCTAGAGTATGTTGTCTTTCTAAAATTTGCAGTAGGAGATTTCTGTATGCAATATTAATATGATTGATACCAAACATATCCAAAGGTAACTTATCAGAGAACATTTTACTAAAATGTACAGTTTATGACTAATTAATGTGATATAGTTTAATAGAGCATTATATAGCACAATTAGTTACTAAAGTTATAGGCTGTGACATTCAATATAATTTGTAACAGATTCAGAAGGTATCTATAGCTAATCATAGTGTAGCAACGTTCTTCCTAAAATATAGAACTATTTCATATATGCATGTATATACTTGTATAATTATAAAATTCATTGTATGTATATACTAGGTAAAATTCATAAAATTATAATAGAACAATTGCAATATTTATTGAGGGTAGAATACTAAAATGCAGCATAGACAAGACAATGCAATGATACCTCCATGTGTCCTAAAATTAAAGACTGGCCGGCTCCATGTGCCGTCCTTTTAGGAGCAGTATTGAAGGGAACACAGAATTAGAATAATGTAGCACACTAAAATAGGATTGTAATGGTGTCGGTAAAAACTACTATTTAATGTGTGAAGTAATTTAGGATGAGGAAATGTACATTATTATTTAAATTATGAACAGTACAGCACTGTAGAGGATAATAATATAGCTCTTGTTATAGGAGACTCTGTAGTTTAGTAAAATATTAAAATTACAGGCAGAAAGAGCACAGCTTTATTACTATCAGTATCAGAGGTCATAATAATTTAACAGACCCCTGAGGGCCATTTGCAGTGTCTGCAATTTGGAAGCTTTGCAAAGATGTCTCTAATTGGCACATATTTGCTGGAGAGTCAGCTGGGGGCATTTCTACTAATAGGACTTCGTCACACACACGCCGCTGGTAGTGACCAAAATTCCTACTGGGGGCTTTGCAGGCATCGTTTCCCTTAATCCAGTGGTTACAGACCGAGACGACTTTGCCCCAGAGGGGTCATTTGGCAATGGCAGAAGATACACTGTGGGGGAAGGGGCAGTGCTACTGGCATCTAGTGGATAGAGACCAGGGATGCTGCTACCATCCTACAAAGCCCAGGACAGCCCCCGACAACAAAGAATTGTTTGGCCAAATGTTTCAACAGTGCCAAAGTTGAGGAACCCTATTCTAATCCTTAAGGATTATTAGGGATTTTGTCTTTACAATTTAATGATGCCATTAACCTTCGGTATCCCTATTGGCATCTAAATTATGGAGGTTGACTGTACCAATGCTGGGAATCTCTTCCATAGTGTAAGAGAGTAAACTACAGATTCAATAAAATAGCAATCTAGCTACATTGTATCTTAAACTATTCAGGTGGTGGCCTCCTTGTCATCCAGGCCTCAGCAGTTTTCCACCGAACACCCAGGAATGCTCTCTCACTACCTACTGTTTCGTTCACACCATGGTACTCACTAGAATGTGTCATTTTCTCATTTACTGCCAGAGTCCCCTCTTCATATCCTATGTGGCAGGGACTCATCTGTGTTGACTGTTGTATCCTCAATGCTTGGAGTAACTCCCCAACTTCAGTGACACCCAGAAAGCATTTGCTGAATGAATAAACCACCCACATGATATTATTTATCAAAACCTTCTGTTTGCAAGGTACCACACAGAGCCCTTTACAACATTTCATGTAAATCTTGGGACCACCAAATGATGCACTAAGTCTCAACAAGCAAGTTACCCAGAGTTACTAGGGCCAGTAAGAAACAAGGCCTTACTCCACACTTTTTACCCTTAACCGTAACAATATGCAGCTGGATACCATAGTCCTGTCTTGTATCAGACACCGGTTCCCTCTTCTAGGTAGTAAGTCAAGATAGCAATACTTTCTAGTTTAGGATATTATAATTCAGCAGCATTCGGACACTGTAAAGGCAACATACAATAGTAGATTATAGCGATACTTCTGCTGCCTATGATTAGAAACAGCATATGGTAATACGACATGATGGCTTCATCTTTACTGCTTTCAAAATACAATACTTTCCACTCATATGCACATTACAGGCAATGTAGTGTTGTTTAAACCAGGGATCAGCAAACATTTTTCTTAAAGAGCCAGAGTAATTGGCTTAGACTTGGTGGGCCTTATTGTCTCTGATGCAGCTGTTTAACTCTGCCATTACAGCTCCAAAGCAGCTATGTTCTAATAAAACTATATTTAAGGACATTAAGGACACTGAAATTCAAATTTCATATATTTTATATGCCAAAAATATTACTCCTTTGAGGTTTTTTTTTTTTTTTTTTTTGCAAGCGTTCAAAAATGTAAACACCACTGTTATACTGTGAGCTATACAAAAGAAGCAGCAGGACAGATTTGATATGTGAGGCCTAATCTGTCAGTCTCCTAATTTAGAATATCGCTGCTGCCAATTTTTGAAGCTCTCATAATATGATGAGTTAGGAACATCCTTGCAACATTACAGATGTGTACACTAGAATAATGTCAGTCCTATGGATATTGGAAATACTATATTACAAATGTGACTATAATTTTTACTTTAACATCACACAAAGTAGCATTATTTCAAACGCTGGAAGCACCCTAGTATAATCTAATGACATATTCATATAACTATTAACATAAACAGCATAATTCACATAGTGTGCTAGTGTTACTGCTACTTGAATTGTAGGGCAAAAAGTATAGGTTGACATAATGCAGTTCAGTACGATATCTTATTTCTGTTCCCACAATTATATATAATAAAGTGAAGCATAAAATCACATTGTTTCTGCCAGCATTGGCCACCTCAAAGCAGTTACTTTCTTTAGGCTATGCTGTAAGATGTGGTCCTAAACCGTAGCATTGTGCGTACTATTACTGCTATATCCTGACTATGTTAGGTTGTCAAAATCTTGTTAATAAAAATTCTACCGCAAGATCCTATACTAAACAACCCATATTTTAATTATCCTAGCTCCAAATGGTTAGCAATAAATTAGTAAAGAGAGAGAAATATTTGAGTGGCATCTTTCAAATAAAATACTGTCACCCATGGCGTGATATGCCCCTACTAGCCAGAGCATCAAGAAGAGTCCTAAATTATAGTCATATTGTCGTTATATTTATAAACGATTCGATATTGTCCTTGAACATGCTATTTAGTTATGCCACCACATAATCTTCAAGCTGTAGCAATCACTGTGGGGCAGAGATGGGGACATTTGTTGAGTGCTGACTGTGGAAAGCACTTCACAGTCATTATGTCACATAATTCCTCACAGTCAAAGCTGGCTCAAGCCGTGAGAAGACAAGCGTTGCAGATTATAGGCCTAAGGTTCAGAGAGGTTGTACTCCTTGACCAAGTCACAGAGGCGGTGATGGACAAAGCCAGAATTTGAAGCCAGCCTAATGGTCCCAGAGCATGTGTTCTATTCACTTAGCCACCTGTCAACTTTCTCCACATCACTTTCTTTTCATGCCACATGCTGTCATCAAGACTCAGGAAACAGCAATTCCATTCAGCCGTATTGAAGTGTAGTGTCTGTAATACTGGTCCAGATTAAGCATCCCAAATCCAAAAATCCAAACTCCAAAATCTGAAAATTTTTGAGTGTGGTCATGATGCTCAAAGGAAGTCCTCATCGGAGCATTTCAGGTTTTGGATTTTTGGAGTAGGGATGTTGAACTGGTAAGTGTAATGTAAATATTCCAAAATTTTTTTAAAAATGTGAAATCTGAAACACTCATGGTCCTAAGCATTTCTGACAGGGAATACTCAATCTGTACCATCATTACTAGTGTATTATTATTCCATATACTGTTTTAGCAGAAAGATCGGCAATATTGCTAATCCACAACACAGTGCCCCAATGCCATTCTAGCATCTATTTCTACAGCAATAGCATTATTATATTCCATATACATTTTAAACACTAACACCACCCTCCCTTGTACATAATCCTACCTTACTTCAAGTTATGAGAACAATACAGCTGCTGTGCTAATGCCACCTGTAGTTTTAGTAGCAACAACAAAAGTGCAGATATGGAGCCCACTGGTCTATACTCAGTGTATGTTGGATCTGAGAAACCACCTTTGTGACTGCAGCTTACAGGGAAATAAGGAAGCATCACTACTCCTCAAAAGTAGAACTTTGGACTGAGACTTCTCCATTTTTACATGCAAATGGCCAGACACACAGGAATCACTCAGGTTCTATGCCATCTCTGATAGTAGAAGTAATCCTTTTGCTATACCATTCTATATGATGGTCCTATGATGTTAGCATTTGTGATGATATTACTACTAAGCCATGTCATACTTACTTTCAAAATGGAAGCAGTTCTGCCAATATAATAACCAGTGTGTCATATCTATAATTTTAGCAAAAACGCTAACACAGCCATGCTAATACTTACATAACAAGTATTTTCTGAAGAGAGATACTACTCAAGTATGTACTGAATTGGTACTATTCCAATATATACTGAAATGATAATGCATTTTAGTTTAGTTTCTAATTGAATACACATGAGAGTCCCAATATTTATAATTTATAGATTTATACCAGTATTGTAGGCTCTGCTGTCTGTATTCGTCATCAAACATGTCATTTTTTACCTTAATATGGTGCAAAAAATATAATGCTTATAGACAGAGTGCAATAATACACGAATAGTGTGCTGTGCTTAGTGATCTACATTGTTTGCATTATTAGCAGGAATATTATAATGCTCCACCTTTGCCAGGGTAAAGAGTGATGTGAACAACATTTTATTTTATTTTTATAATTTTAGACACAACAATGATGCCATAATAAATTGAGATCTCCAAAACGGATGGCAACAATTATATTAATGGAGCTAACTATATTGTAATCATTCATCATCTGTTTGCTGCTAGACAATATGTACTAAAATATAATGTGCACCTTTCCTTGTAGCAATAACAATGGATCTGTTAATAATTTTGGTGTTATTTTAGTTCGTATTAGTATTATTTTTAGTTTTAGTGTTGTTATACTACAGTATGTCATGTTCAACATACTACTCTGACACTGCCAAAAAGCATAGAATGAATATTATATAATGCAAAGTCTTGTTAGAGTCACGGCTTCACGACTTACTCCTTGAGTGATTTTGTCAAAATATCTGGTAGATTTAACCCTCAGTTTTCTCATCTGTATAATGGGGTTAATAAGGAACTCATCTTACAGTTGTTCTGAGGTTTAAATTGAACAATATATCTAAATTGGGTAGTAGTTCTAGTTGCACAAGGTATCAGGATGTGGTATACAGTAAGTTCAATAATTTTAGCTGGTACTATTTTAATCATTTTTACTATTATTTTAATACCTCATACTCATTCTGGTAATACTACTACTACCAAATTACTTAGAAACAATATCACTATACACAGATACACACACACACATATATATATCCAATTACAGGTATTTGGACCAATTTTTTAAAAACAAAGCTACTATATCATTTTATGCTATACTGAATTCCCTTCCTCTCTTCTGCTTTAATACTACTAAAGTTGCTGTAAAATTAGAGAACCAATGGCCTATAACAAGTGTTCTTAACTTTTTTGGGGAGAAAAACCCCTTTGAGAATCTAAAGAAAGCTACAGCTTCCCAGAGATATGAGACACATCACACTTTGCATCAAAATTTCAGGGGTTTCAAGAACATTTGAAGAACCTTCTAAGAATATATATTTCTCTTTTTTTGTATAAATGTAGGGGATATGAGTACAGTTTTGTTACATGACTATATTGCACAGTGATGAAGTCTAGGCTATTCCATTTCTTTTTTCTTTTTTCTTTTCTTTTTTTTCTTTTTTTTTTTTTTGACAGAGTTTCACTCTTGTTGTCCAGGCTAGAGTGCAATGGCACAGTCTCGGCTCACTGCAACCTCCCCATCCCGGGTTCAAGCGATTCTCCTGCCTCAGCCTCCCAAGTAACTAGGATAACAGGCATGTGCCACCATGCCTGGCTAATTTTTGTATTTTTAGTAGAGAAGAGTTTCACCATGTTGGCCAGGCTGGTCTCAAACTCCTGACCTAAGGTCATCCACCTGCCTCGGCCTCCCAAAGTGTTGGAATTACAGGCATGAGCCACTGCGCCCAGCCTGGGCTGTTCCATTTCTAAGCCTCGCCCTCAGTCTACTGAATGAAACCTGTCCCTGGGTTTGCTAACAGTCTCAGTGCAGTAAGAGTTTAATAGGTAGGAGGTGGAGGAGAGATTAAATTAGAGTTGAAAAGGCAGTGGGAGGTGCGGAGGAAATACACTTTACTTACAAAGTTCTCAGTTCATTCATGACACAATCGATACTGGACAAAACATTTGTCTCTTTTCATTTTATAAACTGTTGAATTCTTTAAAGTAATTATTTTTTCTTATCATTAGTATGCCCAATTTGACATATAATTTCAAATTTCCCACATTTTCTTAATTTATTTAATGATGGATGATAGGTAAAAATAATGTATATGTGCGAATGAATTAGGTAAAATAACATTTCTGACAATAAAGGCATGCGTGCTTCCTAGATGGGTAGGTATTTTCTCAAGACCACACAATACCAGTCGCTACTATTGACCACTAAACTGGGGCTCTACATCTGTGATCACACAAGTTCTCACAGTGAACTTGTGACACAGACATTGCTCCATTTCGCAGATTCAAAACAAACAAAACAAAATTGAAGCTAAGGGGTTCAGTAACTGGAAAAGGTTGCACAGCTGGTGCATCTGGAGCCAAGATACCTCCTCAGGTTACCTGTGCTCTTTGTGGCATAAAGTACATGCTTAAAGTGTATCGTGATGATCCTCAGCTGCAGGGAGCTATGCCAGAAAGCTCTTATTTCTGCAACCAAAAAACATGCCAGGAAAATGAAAGAGAGTGTGAGAAAGAGAGAGAGCTAGAGAGAAGAAGGCTGGTGCATAATGTTAAAAATATACAAGGTTGTATTCAAGGCAAAAACAGCAAAATGGACACATCTTATTAGCAAAGGAAGCCATCAAAATGTCTAAAGCATAAGTATAGGGAATACAGCAGGTTATAAAGATCACAGCACGGGGAGACCTTAATTCACCTCTCTCAAAACGTGACAGGTCAGTAAGGGTGATGGGGATTAATTAACTCAATTAATAATGTAGACCCAGTTAAGACATATTAAAGGCTATAATCTGCAAGTGCTCTCTTCCAGTGCCAACATGTCATTTACACAACATAGCCACATGCTTCCTTTCCTTATTTGGTCACCCATCTTGTGAGGGTGCGGAGTACCTGCGACGGGCACTGAGGGGAGCCCTGGATTATTCTCCTGGGGCTGCTACAACAAAATGCCATAAACTGGGTGGCTTAAACAGTAGCTGTGTTTCTCACACTTCTGGAGGCAAGAAGCTCCAGGTTCAGGTCCAACAGTGTCCGTTTCTGGTGAGGGCTCTCTTCCTGGTTTGCACATGGCCACCTTCTCATGTTATCCTCATATGGTGGAGAGAGCAAGCCACATCTAGTGTCTCTTGCTCCTGTATAAGGCCACTTTCAGCTCAGTTCTATCAGATCAGGGCTCCGAACTTAAGACCTCACTTCACTTTAATCACTTCCTTGAATGCCCAATCTCTAATACACATGGGGGATTAGGGCTTCAACATATAAATTGAAGGAGAGGCTATATTCAGTTCATAATACCTTTCATTAGCAAGAGCCCTTCTTTAAGAATTGTCTTCTCTTCTCTCTACACACTCAGAAACCTTCCTAAACCCCATTCAGGAAGATCAGTCCCCTCAGTCAGTATGTCTGTTCCCTAGAGTGATCATGCCTGTGCATCAGTGAACTGCGTTTGTATCAGAGTTACTTTGATATTAACGTACTAACAATTCAATGGTAGTCAAAATAATAGTTATAATGATAATAATAATGAGGAGTGGGAGGAGGTTGAAGAAACAATACTATTAAGCACAGAGCTTAATATGTGCTAAACACAGTGCTAAGTACTTAACACACATAATCATCACAAGTCTTTGAGACAGACGCTACAATTCTCTCCATTTCACAAAGGGTGCCAAGGTACGCAGAGGATAAGCGACTTGTTGGAAGTCAAAAGGCTGAACCTATTCTAGCAGCCCTTGCTCTGAACAACTGCGTCTCATACCATGCTTATACTACCACTATTCCTTCCTGCTGAGCCAGATTAATTTGCATTTTGGACAAGAAGTACATAAATAAATGATGCCTCAATCCAACTAGCTCCTTACAAAACTGTCAATTAAAAAATAGTGTTGCCACCTTCAAAGGCCAAATGATGTTCCAGCCCTCCTGCCGCTAGGATATGTGCATTCCGTAGTTTTCTTCAGAGAGTACATAACTCTTGAGGAGCCCTCTGCCCACTTACTCAGTTTACTAACTGGATTCTGAGTGGGGTACTGACTTCTTTAACTCAAGGCTGGGCTGAGTGTGTCAGGTAGAGATCTAGGAAGCTTCCGCGACCTTAAAAAGAATGCCACCTCTTTCCTGCTGTTCAGTGAAATGGAGTCTGGTTTGGGCTAGATCGATCCTTTCCACCTGTCTTAGCTGTAGAGGGGAAAGGAGCTTCCTTGCTGTAGTTACTTGGGCAGCATAATTTGGGTAGATTTCTAAGTGGCTGCAGTGTCTGTTCGTTTGCCAGGGTGGTGATGTGAAAAGGTCAAACCAGTGATCCCCTCACACCTGGTTTGGCCAGCACAGGTGCTAATAGCCTAAAGAAGCGACACCCAACTATGCCTGCTCAACCCTCCCTTGTGCTTAGCCACTTGTGGACTGGGATCCCATGGCACTGCCTCTTCCACTGCTCATCCTTACAATATTAAAATCATGCACAAACTCCCTTCCACCCTTAATCACACCCAGCTGACTAAACCTCAACTTCTGGTTAAAGGCAGATTTTTGTTTACTCTCTGCCTCCCTCCAAGCAGCTAAACATGGTTGGAGCAAAACACCCAACGAGCTCACCAGTCACATTTGAATTCGTGACGGTACATCTGTTTCAAATGGGCACTACCCACGACCGGATGCTCTCACTCCACTTCCACTGTATGTCACTTTCTTGATCTCCAAAACACCTACCTCATACCTTCCCTCTCCACCTCTTCAGCGCATGACCCCATCTCTTCAGTGCATGCACTTGTAGCTTCACCAGCATCACAAAGGGGTGCCTCCATCTTCCCACAAAACCTACTGACCTGCCTCATCTGTACTCCCTCTCTCAGTCCCCTCCTCTGATGCCCTCATGCAGTGTCCCTGTGCTGTCAAAAGCAGTCCTTCTGCATGTGCCCCCTCCTGCCCCTCTCTCACCTCCTCAAGGACTTTGCTCCCGACTTTATAGAGTTGATACCTCCCTCTCTTGCATCAGTAGTCCTTTCCCCTCTACGGGATCATTCCCAAGCACACAGGCAATCCTTAATACTTTTATTTTAAAAGACCTTCTCTCTCGAGTCACCTCTCTGAACATCACTCACTTTTCCTCCTGTCCTGCACAGTAAAACTCCTTCAGTTACTCTCCAGTGCTCCTGGATTATGCTTTCTAGTGACATTCTTTCCTCAAACAGATGCCAGGGTGGATTCCTTCCCCACCATAAGAGGGCTCTTCTTGAGGCCAGCAGGAGCCTTCTTGAGGCCGAGTCAGATGTTTGCCCTCCCATTCTCATCTTACTGATTCACCCAACCATGAGTTCTTGAAACCCATTCTCTTAGCTCTCCTGGACCCCTGGCTCCCTCGGTTTCCTATTCCCTCATGGGTGCTCCTTCTTCCTCCTAGCTGGTGATTCCTCCTCTCCCCACCTTCTTCCATCTTTGCATGCCCTAGCACTTGTTCCTGAGACCCCTTCTCTCTCCACTGCCCTCCCTCCCTAAGTCATCTCTTTCAGTCCTCCAGCTTGAAAAGTCACCTATGTGCTGATGACTCCCAAGTTCACCACTGCAGCCAAACTCCTCCACTAAGCTCCAGACTCATAGATCCTGCTGTTACTTTACTTACCCACATGCATGTACTAGAGGTTAGAGGTGTCTCAATCTTAACACGCCCCTATTTTCTGTATTTTCTCCTTCTATTCAGCTTCTCCCTGTTTTCTCATCTCAGTAAACAGCCTCACCAGCCCCAGCACCATCACCCCGTAGCATAAGCCAAATGATTATGAACCACCTTTGACTCCTCTCTTACTCACCCCATGTCCAAACTCCCAGAAAGTCCTACTGACTATACCTCCAGGACACATTCAGAATTTTTCTGCTACGTTCTATCCCCACCACTAGCCTTAGTAGAAGCCATGAGATTCCCCCCAACTCCAGCAGCCTGATCAAGGGTCTCTGGGCTGCTCCTCACTGCCCCACCCTGTCCCTGAATTCATCTTCCTTATGAATAACAGGTGTGCTGTGTCACTTGGCTCGTCTTCCAACTTACTTTGAAAAGAGGAAAAAACATAAGATTTCTCAATGGGTGAGTGAAATGGCTAGGTATATGATCAAGAAAATTCAGTCAAATGTTAGTTGTGAATTTAGGTGATAAATATATGGAAGTTCAATTGTAAAATTCTTTCAATTCTTTTTTATATTTGAGAATTTTTCATAATAAAATTCTGAGAAAACAAACTTTAAAACAAACCTTCCCATTGTACTTAAGAAAAAAAAAAAATCCAAGCTCTTTCCCTGGACTTTGAAAATCTATAGGCTCTTCTCCTGCCTTCCTGTCCAACCCCCCAGCAACCACCGCCCTTCATCTGCAGAGGGCTTCGTTCCAGCCTTCAACACGCCAGCCTTGTTCCTACCCCAGGGCCTTGGCACTGGCTGTTCCTCTGCCTGGAATGCTCTTCCCCAGGGCCTCCTCCTGGATGGCACCTTTTGCTGTTCAGGTCTCAACTGATATGTCACCTCGTAAAAAAACAACTTTCTTGGCCACCAAAGCTGAGTATTCCCCCAGTTTCTTCCTAGCACATGATTTTATTTTCACTGGAGCACTTACCATTACCTGCCTTGTCCTGTCTTCATCATCTGTCTTTGACAATGAGAATATAAGTTCTATAACAAAACAAAACAAAACAAAACAGAAGTTTGGTCTTTATTCACTCTTGTGCCCCGGTACTCACTACATGTCTGTGAATAAGTAATTGTCACAACAGCTGCCACTATGAAGCAAGTATAAACATCCTCATTTTACACAAGAAGCTTAACCTCTACAGCCCCAGTTTCCTTGTTTGCAAAGCAAGGCTATCAATACCTACATCATTACTGAGAAATTCCAGGGCTTGCATTCAAAATAGTTTATTTGGTCATTTCCATTTGTTACACATTTATCATATTCCAGGCGCCAGGCCAACATTTAATTTAGCCTCAAAAGGTCCCTGTGAGGTTGATATTGTTTCCATTTTACTGAAGAGAAAGTTAAGGCGTGTGGAGATGAAGTCTGGGGCCCGAGGTCCCGCAGCCAGTCAGCAGCAGAGCAGTGTTCATATCCTTCTCTTTGTCTTGGTAACCTCTACACTCAGTTGCCCACTGTCTGTGCTCCGCTATCAAGCTCATCAAGCATGTAAGTGTGGACGCAAGGCACGCACGCCATTTCCTTCTTTCCTGGTTTTATCTACACCATCTCAGGATCCTCCATTGATTGCCTTTGCCTGACCTGTTCATTCCTTTCTTGGAAATATTCCTTTTTTTTTTTTTGAGACAAAGTCTTGCCCTGTCACCTAGGCTGGAGTGCCGTGGTGTGATCTCAGCTCACTGCAGCCTCAACATCCTGGATTCAAGTGATCCTCCCACCTCAGCCTCCCAAGTAGCTGGGATGACAGGCACACACCACCAGGCCAGGCTAATTTTTGTATTTTTTGTAGAGACAGCATTTTGCTATGTTGCTCAGATTGGTTTCAAACTCCTGGGCTCAAGTGATCCTCCCACCTCAGCCTCCCAAAGTGCTGGGATTATAGGCGTGAGCCATTGTGTCCAGCCAGAAATACTCCTTGACTCTCGCTTTAACCTGTCTATACAACACACGCCACTGGGGCTCAGCAAAAGAAAACATCCAAAACACCTTCTGCAAAGTCATCAACGTTTTGTGTGAAATGAAGGCTCTTTCCTAAGAGCCTTCCGGATCCAGTAAATCTGAACATTTGGAAGGACAGCCCTGGATTAGCACGAAGGAAAAGAAAATCTGCCCAGGCCTGGAAGGAATAATGGTTACAGGAGGAACAAGAATAACAGGAAGTGATGTTGGTTATGTGCTTCTAATGTATCGAGGATGTCACTAAACATTCTGACTGTTCCCAGTGGCCAACTTAATGGCCGGGCAGGGTGTGAAGCAGTTGGCCTCATTTCAAAACCCAGCACCTTACTCACCTCCAACACCGACTTTGCAGCAGGAACTCAGAGCCCTGCCCTTCCAACCGGTGTCATCTCTCCAGTGCAGTGAATGCAGCACTGATGTTGCCTGACTATGCTAGAGAGGAAGTCCCTTGAGGTGAGGGGAAGACCCTTGCTTCTGTATTCCTGTGGCTCACACAGTGGCTGGGACAGAAAGATCTTCAGCCAACCACCCGCCCCTTGCTTACCATCCCCCCACCTCCATCTCCTTCAAGCTTTTATCACCCCTCACTGGAGGGACAGCCTCCAGAGCCACCCAGCCCTCAGAGGTAGGAATAAATCTTTAAGTTAGATAGATGGGAATTTGAGTCCTGGCTTTGTGATTTATAAACCATGTAGCTTTGGCTCAATTCCTTAACCTACCTGAAATCCTGCTGTCTTCTCACCTATAAGCAGGGATAACAGAAGGCCTCACAACAGGATGATTGTAAAGAGTAAAGGATGGAATGTAGGTCAAGTGTAAAGCTGGTGTCTGGCACACAGGAAGCACTCGCTAACACAATCCATTATTTGCGGCCGAGGTATGGATGCTATACGATAGAAATACATTTCACTCATAGACATCTTAGAGTATCTCGTGTTCCTATTAAAAACCTCAAAGGGCTCCCTGTGTCTACCAAATAAAGCTCAAAGTCCCCTGGGCGTGGTGGCTTACTCCTGTAATCCCAGCACTTTGGGAGGCCTAAGCGGGCAGATTGCTTGAGGTCAGGAGTTTGAGACCAGCCTGGTTAACATAGTGAGACCTCCATCTCTACCAAAAATACAAAAAATTAGCCAGGTGTGGTGATGCATGCCTGTAGTCCCAGCTACTCGGGAGGCTGAGGCAGGAGAATTGCTTGAACCTGGGGCACAGAGGTTGCCGTGAGCCAAGATCGCCTTACTGCACTCCAGCCTGGGTAAAAGAGTGAGACTCTGTTAAAAAAAAAAAAAAAAAAAAAAAAAAAAGCCTCAAGACCTTAGCTTGTAGCCATGTTCTGACTCATCTTACCCTCCCAGAACTCCTGCAGAACCAGCTCTCGTGCATCCCCTCCGTGTTGCCCACAGACTCCAGTCTGAGCAGCAAGGCCTGAGCCTCACACTGCCCCTTTCCAGATCAGCAATACAAATTCCCAACCACATGGTAGGCATCTTAAGTGGATGCAGACCATTGCCCCATGGACATGTATGAAAACCGTTTTGGTGAAAGCATGTGGCACGAGGCCTGACAAACACCATGGAACTCTCCTAATGAACTGCAGTTTGGAACTAGGACTGCTTTTTGGTTTTAGAAAGAATGAAATTATTCCAAGATCTGATGATGGAAAACCATCTGGCGTGGGGAGGTGATAGGTGCTGTTATTCTTGAAAGGACAAGGTTTTGGAAGAAAACTTCTAAACCCACCAGAATTAAAGTGCAGGCTTTGTTTGTAAACTCATAAGATTATGGGTTTAGAATTAATTTGAGTTGAATCCTTTCCAGTTACCAGTAACTTAATGCTTGGGCCCATTATGCAATCATGACTCAGTATGTCCTTCAGAATGCCACTTTCAAACACAGTAGGAATTAAAAGACAGACTTTGTAAATATCTGAAATTGCCAGTTTAAGATTAATTTGATTCATTTGCTTGCTGGTTGGGTGTAACTTATGAGAGTTGGAGTTTTTCTGTAATCTTATATATCACTCAGGAGTCTTTTAAAGAATTCATTTGGAAAAAAAGGAGAGAGGAATTTAGTGAATCCACTGCTGAAAATATTATTAGTAAGTAATAATAGAGAAAGGGGGAAAAAAAGACAGAATAAAATTTGCTCCTGTTGTGTCAGTTAAACTTCCCAGTCCTTTTTTTTTTTTTTTTTTTTGAGATGGAGCTTTGTTCCGTTGCCCAGGCTGGAGTGCAGTGGCACAATCTCGGCTCACTGCAACCTCCACCTCCTGGGTTCAAGTGATTCTTCTGCCTCAACCTCCCGAGTAGCTGGGACTACAGGCGTGCACCACCATGCCTGGCAAATTTTTGTATTTTTAGTAGAGACGGGGTTTCACCATGCTGCCTAGTCTGGTCTCAAACTCCTGCCCTCAGGTGATCCACCCACCTCGGCCTCCCAAGATGCTGGGATTATAGGCATGAGCCACCGCACCCGGCCTAAACTTCGCAGTCTAAACACCATAATTTATAGATATAGACTGCTGTATTTAGTTATATTATTGTACCTGATTAATTTTTGAAAATAGCTTTATTGAGATATAATTCACATACCACACAATTCACTCATTTAAAGTGTACAGTTCAATAGTTGTTGTATGTTCCCAAAAAGAAACCCCATATCCATTAGCAGTCACTCCCATTTCCCTCCTCCTCTCCACTCCCAATCCCCAGCCCTAGACAGCCACTAATCAACTTCTTGCCTCTATAGATTTGTCTGTTCTGAACATTTTATATAAATGTAGTCTTTCATGTCTGGCATCTTTCACCTAGCATAATGTTTCCAAGGTTCATTCATGTTGAAGCATGTAACAGTACTTCTTTCCTTTTTTATTGCTGAATAATATTCTATTGTGTGACTCAACCACATTTATCCATTTATCCATCAGTTCATAGAAATTTGAGTTGCTGCTTTTTGACTATTATGAACAATGCTGCTATGAACATTTGTGTACAAGTTTTTGTGCAGACATGCTTTCATTTCTCTTGGGCAGATACTTAGGAATAGAATTGTAAGATCATATGGCAACACCATATTTAACATTTTGAGAAACTGCCAAACTGTTTTTCAAACTGGCTGCACCATTTTTCATTCCCACTAGCACTGTATGAGTATTCCAATTTCTTCACATCCTTGCTGTTACTTGTTATTATCTATATCCTTTTTATTATAGCCATCCTAGGAGGTATCAAGTGGTATTTTATTGCGGTTTTGATTCACATTTCCCTAATGGCTAATGACACTGAGCACCTTTTTTTCATGTGCTCATTGGCCATTGTATATTTCCTTTGGAGAAAAGTCTGTTCAGACTCATTGCCCACTTTAAAAAAAGGGCTATTTTTCTTTTTATTGTTGAGTTGTAGCAGTTCTTTATATATCCTATATATAAGTCCCTTCTCAGATTTAAAATTTACAAATATTTTCTCCCATTCTGTGGATTTGCTTAATTTTTTTTAAATATTAAACTCTGTTGCTTTCTTCTTAGAATTTCTAGCAACTCTCTGGCTTAAATAACACTTTAACATTTCTCTGTGGATGTTTTCAAGAACTTCAAACCTCTTGTGTCCATAACTGAACTTCTTATCCTCCTTTCTATTTCTAGATCTACTTCCTTGTAAATCTTATCTATTTAGCCAATTGGCCAGCCAAGACAGAAACTAATTCCTCCTAATTCTTCTTTCTTTTCATCACTCCCCTTCAAATAGCCTCCTACCCCCTACCCCCCCAGATTCTGTCAAACACAAAGTAGTGTTGTTTAATTTCTGCCTGTATTCAGGTCTTTGAAATTGTGCATTCTGCTACATCTACTATGAAAGTAGGTCATGTTTTCATCATCTCTCTTCTGAACTTTTTCAACAGCCTAATTCACAACCTTGTCTCCATTTGGGCCCTTCTAAATGCAAACACAAAGATGATACTTCCGTGGAACACTATAGACTAACGGCTACAAGCACTGGGTCTGAAGCCGTACTTCCTTACTTTAAGTCTTGGCTCTACTATTTAACTTCTCAGTATCTCAACTTCCCATCTGTAAAATGAGAAATGATAATATAGGGTTGTGCGAGGATTAAATGAATTCTTATATGAAAATGCTATGAACAGTGCCTTCTGTGAAATAAGCATTTGGTAAATGTGAGCTAATATTATTATAATAATTAGTTATTTTTTAAAAACTATGAATTAAATATTTTCCAAAGCTTTTTTTTTTCCTAACCTACAGAATAAAGTTGGAATGTTTTGCTTGGTACATAAGGCACTGTGAACCTTACATGATTTGCAGTATGAGCTGAGAAGAAGTTACCATGGCTAACAAAATCCTTAGAACAATTTAATATCTTCACTTTTCAAAATGTGACACTGAGTTTAGAATTGTCAGGTCTAACTTCTTTCTAGGTACTGTTGTTCTACTACTACTAGTGAACACGTGATAATGGGTTAGAGTAGCAAGCATTTTCTATGTACTGCCGCCTTAATTCTCAATTCTCTGAATTGCTATGCCCAACTTCAGAGTTGAGATAAATGAGAGGGTAAGCCTGTTGTCCAAGATCATACAATGAGGAAGAGGAGAACCCTGGAAATGGTCCCTAATTCTCTTGCTTACAAAGTCCTAAGCTCTTGGCCCTGCCTCAAGAAATTTCTGAAGAGGTGTCCACAGACAGACATTCTCAAAAGCAGTGTGGGAAAGAATTTCCAGTGCTTGTTTCATGTTTATAATTCCTGAACAGAAGAATACATCTTCCATCTGGGAAGTCTTCACACTATTATCCAGACATCTGAAAATTCCTGGGACTATTAAATTGTAAATGTAGCTTCTGAAAGTTCTTGCTTAACAGAAATATATTTCTTCTTGGGGGTAAGTGTCTTCCTTTGCTGGCTAGACTACTGTCGATTAACTCATTTGGCTGAAGCCAGTGGGTCTTAGACCCAACTTTCTTCTTTTCCCAGACAGCTCCTCACATATGGTGAGGGACCAGGGGAGGGTATAAGCAGTCAGAAGAGCCGTCTTTCTCTTTGAGATGTAACTACGTATTCAGGAATTGATGAGTAACTCAGGGCCACCATCTTCACATGCCGAGGCAGCACATTCTTAACTGTGAGCACAAGAGGTGTTCATTATCCAAAGATAATCGGTGCTGGGAAACTGCGACTTAATATGAGTCCATCAAAAATTGGGACTACATTTTCAAAATAAATGGTGAAAGACAGTTATTTGGGACTTTAACTTGAAAAACAAAGCTGGCAATTATGAAAACAAGTTTATTTATTTAACAAAATACAGGGCTAGGTTAAAATTCTGCTGTCCTAGAAAATACACAACAAGAATTGCGTGGTTTTTTTCCATTTTCTGACAAAATTTTATAATAGGAAAATTCAATTTGCCTTGAACTTTTGTGATATTGTCATAAAGTCTATGTCTCTCCATCAGTCTCTCTCTCTCTGTCTCCCTCTCTCTTTTTCAAAATTATTCAAAGATTTCATAAATTTTCCTGAGGGATTCTCTTAATCTTAACCTTTGGTATTCAAATCATTCTCCTTTAAAGCCCCAATTATATTCTCAAATCTGATTGATTTTCTCTTTTGGTTTAACCCTAACTAATCCTCCTTGGTCCATGGCTTTGGGTACAGCTAACTTGATTCTTCAACTCTGAGGCACTCCAAGAACTACTGCATCAAATTTGGCAATTCAATTTTCGAATTTGCCTTGTATTTACATTGTGTTGTCTGATATTTACATTATACAATCACCGCCATGAGACAAACCAACAAAGATGTTGACTGGATAGGTTGAGACAGGAAATGGTGTTGAATGGAGAGGGCTGTGTGAGAGCAGACGATTTTTAATGATCAGTATTTTAAATGTGCTATGCCTTTGCTTTCTTATGCAAACTCATAATTTCGGCACTTCTGATGTGACTCTCCCTTTAATGGCATATGGCTTTCCAAATCCCAGCACAAAGGTTCATTTTGAACTCAGAACTTGAAGGCCTTCATATTACCTAGAGTTTGCTGAAATCCAAGCTTGTTTCCATGACCAACAAGTCCCAGCTGGGTTTCACAGCCCCTGTATTCTGCATCTTTATACTCATCACACGCTTTGCCCCTTGCTCACTCTGCTGCAGCCACACTGGTCTTCTTTATTCCTTGCTAAGCCCTTTCTGGCCTCTAGACTTCCATCTTGTTTGTTCCTTCTCTCTCATTGCAACCTCTGCCTCCTGTGTTCAAGTGGTTCTCCTGCCTCAGCCTCCTGAGTAGCTGGGACTGTAGGCATGCACCACCACACCTAGCTAATTTTTGTATTTTTATTAGAATCGGAGTTTCACCATATTGGCCAGGATGGTCTCCCTCTCCTGACCTTGTGATCCACCCGCCTCGGCATCCCAAAGTGCTGGGATTACAGGCCTGAGCCACCGCATCTGGCCTGTTCCTTCTATCTTGAACACCCTTCCCATCAACTCTCTTCCTTCAGGGGTAGTTCACTATCAATTTCTTGGAAGACTTCTGCTGACCGCTGCACCTCAAAAGGCAATATCCCCCTCAATCACTCTTTTGCACACTCTTCTGTTTATCTCCTTAGCAGCATTTAATAAAATAAATAGAGATCTTGTTTACTTTTTTATTTCTCTGAGTCCGGGGTATGTTTCAGAAAAGCAAGAACTTTGTTGAATCCTCCTTCACACACGCAAAGCCTATCTTAAACTTTGTTAAGTGGAAAGATGCAGTTTATAATTTGCAAAGAGGTATATGGGAAGAGCTTAGGAGCAGAGCACCCAGACTCCCTGATTTGAAGAATTTAATCGAATCTTTTCCTTGGGGCCATTGGAAGAATCTTTGCTTCTTCCTCCTGTATAGAAGCCAACTGAGATATTTTAGACTGTGGGGAGAGCTTCACAGAAAGATATCAAAGATGAGGGATTAAATACAAAGGAAGTTATTAATTTATGTACATTCCTTTGACCTAAGGTTTTTTGCCTTATTATCAAATTAATTATCTTATTTTGCCACTGAAGGGGAAGAGGGATATTAGAAGTGGTTTGGGGCTCATTGGTCATGATTTTTGTCAACTTCTGCTCCAAGGTCTGTAAGGTTTACTTCAAGGGCAATTTTTCCTACTTTTCTAAAGGCTAGTGAACATTGGGAATATCATGAGAAAAGTAATTTGTGAGCCATACTGGGTGATCCAAATCAAGTTCTGGTTGGTTCCAAAGGGAGACAGTCTCTAAGTCCTTGGAACAAAGGAATGGTAAAACTAAACAAGATACAGAAAGATCAGAAATCCATGTTTTCCATTGCTAAGGCCTCAGAAACCTATAAAAACAGTTGTTTTACGGGAACACTTAGCAAAGAACTGCCCAAGTCCATTTTAAAGTCCCAAAATCCTTTGACATATGGCAATCATTATGTGTGCTCAGCTCTCTATCTTGCACAACTCTTTCTTCTTCCCTCCCTCAAGGAAAGCATTACTGAGGCCCTACATTTACCGTATTTTACAAGAAGCACTTAGCAGCAGCAAGGCTCAAAAGCAGTCTCAAGAAGAGTAGCCCCAGCCAAGGACGCTGGGAGCACCAAAGCATTTCTTCTCAAGATGGAAGCCTTGAGGCAAAGCTGTTTCAGATTAGAAGGGGCATACATTCCTCCTTGGGGCTTTACTTTAGAAGAAGGTTTAATGACTCAGATGTCCTAGGCAGCAAAGTGGGACACATTGTCTTGCTTGGCCCTTTCTAAAAGCATGAGGATATGTGGGCCTCATTGGCCTGTTGGGTTGTGTTGGAGTTTCCTAATGACCAGGTGATGGAAGTGACAGAAAAACAAGTCCAGGTGAACTGTTCAACATGTCTCCATGGTTCCCTTTGTCTCAAAGATGTGCCCTATTCTTCAGCACCAGCATACTCAAAAGAAGGTATTCCTGAGTTCCTGGAAGAACAGGTGGACGCTTTCCCCCACAGCCATCTTCCTCTGGCCTTCCTATAGGAACAGATGGCAGAACATATCCATGCTGTATTCTTGGAAAAACCTCCCCAATGCGGCTTTGATGTGGTTCTTCTCAGGAAAACCATCCAAAATGTCCCAGGGAAATAAAGATAGTTGAATCCAACTGTGTAAGGCCATGCAGCCCAGACTCACCTCTACCATGGAAGTTATAATATGTTCTCTCTCGACATTCCTTCTTGAACTTAGCCCAAACCAGGATGGGTGAGACCTACAAGAACCATATGATGTCCCACTTCAGAATTTGCCATCTGTCAATAAAATCCATCTTCCACAACACAATGCATGGGGAAAAAAAATCATGTGGATATTTGTTTTCCAAAAATATTCAGAGCTTCTATCAAAAGAGTACACAACATGCTCTAATTGTCTGCTAATGGAAATGCAAATTCCTACACCCTTCCTGGATGTCACAGTAGTCTTTTAAAACTGCATACTTTGTGATGCAAAAATCCTCAATAAAATACTGGCAAACCAAATCCAGCAGCACATCAAAAAGCTTATCCACCATGATCAAGTGGGCTTCATCCCTAGGATGCAAGGCTGGTTCAACATTCGCAAATCAATAAATGTAATCCAGCATATAAACAGAACCAACGACAAAAATCAGATGATTATCTCAATAGATGCAGAAAAGGCCTTTGACAAAATTCAACAACGCTTCATGCTAAAAACTCTCAATAAATTAGGTATTGATGGGACGTATCTCAAAATAATAAGAGCTATCTATGACAAACCCACAGCCAATATCATACTGAATGGGCAAAAACTGGAAGCATTCCCTTTGAAAACTGGCACAAGACAGGGAAGCCCTCTCTCACCACTCCTATTCAACATAGTGTTGGAAGTTCTGGCCAGGGCAATTAGGCAGGAGAAGGAAATAAAGGGTATTCAATTAGGAAAAGAGGAAGTCAAATTGTCCCTGTTTGCAGATGACATGATTGTATATCTAGAAAACCCCATTGTCTCAGCCCAAAATCTCCTTAAGCTGATAAGCAGCTTCAGCAAAGTCTCGGGATACAAAATCAATGTGCAAAAATCACAAGCCTTCTTATACACCAATAACACACAAGCAGAGAGCCAAATCATGAGTGAACTCCCATTCACAATTGTTTCAAAGAAAATAAAATACCTAGGAATCCAACTTACAAGGGAAGTGAAAGACCTCTTCAAGGAGAACTACAAACCACTGCTCAATGAAATAAAAGAGGATACAAACAAATGGAAGAACATTCCATGCTCATGGGTAGGAAGAATCAATATCGTGAGAATGGCCATACTGCCCAAGGTAATTTATAGATTCAAGGCCATCCCCATCAAGTTAACAATGACTTTCTTCACAGAATTGGAAAAAACTACTTTAAAGTTCATATGGAACCAAAAAAGAGCCCACATCACCAAGTCAATCCTAAGCCAAAAGAACAAAGCTGGAGGCATCACGCTACCTGACTTCAAACTATGCTACAAGGCTACAGTAACCAAAACAGCATGGTACTGGTACCAAAACAGAGATATAGACCAATGGAACAGAACAGAGCCCTCAGAAATAATGCTGCATATCTACAACCATCTGATCTTTGACAAACCTGACAAAAACAAGCAACGGGGAAAGGATTCCCTATTTAATAAATGGTGCTGGGAAAACTGGCTAGCCATATGGAGAAAGCTGAAACTGGATCCCTTCCTTACACCTTATACAAAAATCAATTCAAGATGGATTAAAGACTTACATGTTAGACCTAAAACCATAAAAACCCTAGAAGAAAACCTAGGCAATACCATTCAGGACATAGGCATGGGCAAGGACTTCATGTCTAAAACACCAAAAGCCATGGCAACAAAAGCCAAAATTGACAAATGGGACCTAATTAAACTAAAGAGCTTCTGCACAGCAAAAGAAACTACCATCAGAGTGAACAGGCAACCTACAAAATGGGAGAAAATTTTTGCAACCTACTCATCTGACAAAGGGCTAATATCCAGAATCTACAATGAACTCAAACAAATTTACAAGAAAAAAACAACCCCATCAAAAAGTGGGTGAAGGATATGAACAGACACTTCTCAAAAGAAGACATTTATGCAGCCAAAAAACACATGAAAAAATGCTCATCATCACTGGCCATCAGAGAAATGCAAATCAAAACCACAGTGAGATAGCATCTCACACCAGTTAGAATGGCGGTCATTAAAAAGTCAGGGAACAACAGGTGCT
Source organism: Homo sapiens (assembly GCF_000001405.40). Taxonomy (NCBI): domain Eukaryota; kingdom Metazoa; phylum Chordata; class Mammalia; order Primates; family Hominidae; genus Homo; species Homo sapiens. Next base: position 55,100,412 of record NC_000003.12, read on the forward strand.
GGAGAAGATGTGGAGAAATAGGAACACTTTTACACTATTTGTGGGACTGTAAACTAGTTCAACCATTGTGGAAGTCAGTGTGGCGATTCCTCAGGGATCTAGAACTAGAAATACCATTTGACCCAGCCATCCCATTACTGGGTATATACCCAAAGGACTATAAATCATGCTGCTATAAAGACACATGTACACGAATGTTTATTGTGGCACTATTCACAATAGCAAAGACTTGGAACCAAGCCAAATGTCCAACAATGATAGACTGGATTAAGAAAATGTGGCACATATATACCATGGAATACTATGCAGCCATAAAAAATGATGAGTTCATGTCCTTTGTAGGGACATGGATGAAGCTGGAAACCATCATTCTCAGCAAACTATCACAAGGACAAAAAACCAAACACCACATGTTCTCACTAATAGGTGGGAATTGAACAATGAGAACACATGGACACAGGAAGGGGAACATCACACACCGGGGACTGTTGTGGGGTGGGGGGAGGGGGGAGGGATAGCATTAGGAGATATACCTAATGTTAAATGACGATTTAATGGGTGCAGCACACCAACATGGCACATGTATACATATGTAACAAACCTGCACATTGTGCACATGTACCCTAAAACTTAAAGTGTAATAATAATAAAAATTTAAAAAAAACTGCATACTTTGTGACTTGATAATTCTACTTCTTGCAGCATTTCCTAAGGATATTTAACCAGAAAAGGAGGGGCAGGGGTGTTTTTCTCATCATTTTCTTATCTCCTGACAAATCCTGTCTTTCAAAAGAAAAATAAATCCAACTCCAAAACCCCTGAATTATAACATGTTGCTTTTTTGAAGCTTCTTGGAGAGATGGCAAGGGAGATGCAATACACAGCAAGACTAATTGAAAATCCTCTTTGGGCATTCCCTCTTCCAAAGGCTCACACATCACTTGAGTAACTCACATACAAATTTCTCTTTCCAAAAACCAGCATCTCCATCGTTCAGACAACTCCTCCCAAATTTCCCATGTTTTCTTTCTTGAATACCCACTTGTCTTTTTGAAAAAGTAAATGAATTTAGCTCATTTTTCTCCTTCCAATTCTTCTCTTTACCCATTATCCTCATCAGCACAGAAAATCAAGCAGCAAAAGCCTTAGAATACAAGGTGGGGGGAATAGGCTTGCATACTCACACACACACACACACAAAATACCTATCACTCACAATTTCTTAAAGACACATAAATATTTATGTAGCTGTATGTTTTTTACAGCATTCTGTAAATAGTGAAAAATTAGAAACAGGATCTCAAGAATTATTTGAATAAATTACACCAAATCCTTATGATAGAATGTCATACAGTTGTTAAAAATTGTGTTTTCAACTGATTTTTCTGTCTTGGAAAATGTGTATGCTAAAATATTAAGTGGAAAATAAAAGCAAGATAAAATCTGAACAAACATTATACTTCCAAATATAAACAATTATATGCATCTTTACATAGGAAGAAAAAAGGTACTATACCAACATTTTAAGAGTGATTATTTTTGGATTAGGGGATTATAAACACATTTTGTTTTATTGAATTCTTTTTGTATATTTCTAGTTTTCTAACATTTTCCATCATATTTACTGAGGGTCTTCCAAGTGCCAGTACCACTCCAGAGGCTGGAGACAGAGCCATAGACAAGCTGGAGACAGTCCATGCCCTTTTGGGTAAAGCATTTTTTAATGCAATAAACTCTTTGAGAGTAGTAATATACACCTGTGTTTATCTTTTTGCCCAGCATTCATTCACCCTTCTTCTAATAAAACACTATTCTAATTTCTCACTCGGAAACCACTTCTTTCTCATCATCTGCTGGGTTGTTTATGGGGAACTGACCCACTCCAAGCTCCAAGAGGTGATGTCGTCTGAATGCTTGTTTCAGCCTAAAATGTTGAAATCTACTTCCCAATGTGATAGTTTTAGGAAGTGCGGCCTTTGGTGGATGATTAGGTGAACAGGATTAGTACTCTTATAAAAGAGGCCCCAGAGAACTGCCTTCCCTTCTACCATGTGAGGAACCAGACAGAAGGTGCCACCTGTGAACCAGAGACTGGGGGTTCACCAGACACCGACTGTGACAGCGCCTTGATCTTAGACTTACCAGTGTCTAGAACTGTAAGAAATAAACTTCAGTTGTTTAAAACCTACCCAGTTTAGCGTATTTTGTTAATAGCAGCCTGAGTGGACTGAGACAGGCCCAAGCCCTGACTGGCTTAAGCCATCAATCTCCCCAACTCACAGTAGCAACAATGATAGATTTAAGGAGAAGCCTGTGACTTAATAAGCCAGTTGAATCCAATTGTGTAAGGCCGTGCAGCCCAGACTCATCTGATGAGTGAGAGAATGACTTCCAGGATGTGCAGTAGCTATGCAGCAACAATGTTTATTCCTATGAAGTTCATGGTTTAAGGACATGAAGTCAGAAATTTTTGCAGCCACATAGGGACTCCCTAGAATGGCAAGAAGGGCAACTGTGCCTAATGACACTATAAAGGAAATCAGATCCTGGGGAATGACATGCTTTGGCCACCTGAATGAAGCCTTGCCTGAAGCCATACTTTGAACTTTTCCATTACCTGAGCCAATAAATCCTTTTATTGTTTAATCCAATTTAAGTTAGTTTTCAGTTGATTATAACCTAAAGAAATCTAGCTGATAGACCTATATAAAGCTAACTGCTGGGTGCAGTGACAAGCACGCTGGCTTAAGACTTCAGAGACCTGAGTGCAAGGTCTCACTCTTCCCTTAAATGGCAGCATTAGTTAGGGAAGTCCCTACTCCACTCTGAACCCAGCATCTGCAGAATGAAGTAGCTGGAATAGAACAGGATTTTCCAAACTCTAGTCAAGCAGACCAGGCTGGTCAATGAAAACATGTCTACCAGTCCTCAGTTTTGAAAGAAACATAAGGAATGGCTGTAAGTTTTCATAAAGTTACATGTATTTTATTTAAAGGACTACCCTTTATTGTAAGACTATAAAAGTATAAGGATAATGTTTATTTTATTTGTATTTTATGCTCTCAATTGATGAAAGTAGAAATCATAAACTTTCTATAGTTCTTTCTGATTTAAGTCATCCAATTGTTTCTCCTTCATGAAATCTCAAAATCTGGAGATCCTTAGGCCAGATAATATTCTAAGGAAACCTCTAAATAATTTTTTTAGATTCAATAACTTTTCTATTTTATAGGGATATGTATTCAACACATGCAAATAATTTAACAGAATTCAATGCAATTTAAAAAGTAATTATAAAATACTTAAAGTTAACCATAGTTATCTGGATGCTGAAGACACAAATGTCAGAGAACCATTCCCTATGGAAGGAATTTTCTTTTTCTTTAACTTAAGGAAGGAAGGGGTTGGTTGTGTTGTGCTTATTTCCTTTTTCATTTAGGTGTAGATATTGTAAATGTTGTCAAAAGTTCTTCCTTTGTAATTCTTTAAAATCCATAATTATCAAAAGGCTGAGAATCTAATTTTCATTTCCATACAGTTGTCCCAAGAGAACAGTTGACTATTTTTCTTCACAGAGGAAATCCTCTCCACAGCTACAAAATCAGTATCTACTTCTCTAGGGGCTTTATTCCACATTCCTGGAGTGAGTTTTAGAAAGTTGGTTTAGAAAGTTATAAATCTTTTTTTGTTTCCCTGAGATAATTGTCTGAATGTTAAGATTTACTAATATGTTTCTCGGCCTTTATCCATGGCTTGCAATCCTCATCACATCATGACTTCATAGGCAACTCCTTTTTAATTTTAGCTTACTTTGGAGGTAAGGGAAACTCCAATCTAGGGGATAAGATAAAAATCATGGAAAGATGGCAAGCAGGTACTCCTGAAGTGACAATTCTTTTTTGGTGTTTTTTTTTTTTGTTCTTTTGAGACAGAGTCTCGCTCTGTCACCAGGCGTGATCTCCACTCACTGCAACCTCCATCTCCCGGGTTAAAGCGATTCTCCTGCCTCAGCCTCCCGAGTAGCTGGGATTGCAGGTGTGCGCCACCATGCCAAGCTAATTTTTGTATTTTTAGTAAAGACGGGGTTTCACCATGTTGGCCAGAATGGTCTTGATCTCTTGACCTCGTGATCCGCCCACTTCAGCCTCCCAAAGTGCTGGGATTACAGGTGTGAGCCACCACACCCAGCCTCCTGTAACAACAATTCTGCCATCAAAAGACAAATCCCACCAGCCTACAAAGAAGGGAAAAGGACACTGAAACTCTACAATTGATTTTAATTTAAGATTCAACTTGGTTCTGGATCTGAGGCCATAAGAGCTATATTTTTAATGTTTTTCTTAATTTATTTTTTTGAAATTTGGAAGCAATCACAAGTTACAGAGTTACAAATAAGGTACAAAGAGTTTTTTCTCTGAACCATTTGTGAGTCAGTTGTCCACCTGATGTTCTGTTGCCATGCAGTGGCTTTCCTAGTATTAAGGATGCCCTCTTACATAACCACAATAAAACCACTGAAAGCAGGAAACTAACAAGGATATCTTACTACCATCTAATCCTCAGATCCCATTCAAGTTTCACCAATAGTCCCAATAATGCCAATTATGACAAACTGATCCATTTCAGAATCACATATTAGATTTAGTTGTCATGTTTCTGTAGTCTGGAAAAGTTGCTCAATCTTTCCTTGACTTTCATTGTCAACCTTTCCTTGACAATATTTGAGAGCTGTGCAAAGAGTGTATGCTGTGAGGCTCTGCCTGTCTGGCTTTGCATTTCCTGGCTGTGTGTCCCTAGGTGAGCCACTTCACTTCTCTGGGCTTTTGGTTCCTCACCTCCAAAGTGGGAATGGCAGTGCCCACTAGAGAGTTATTATAAAGATTACAAATGAGCATCAGCATACTACGGCACCTAGTTAGAAGATCATAAATCTCCCCTCCAGCATGGGAGCTGGCACAGTGAGATCAGCACTGAGATTTTCAGAGTTTTCTGACATTGTGAGCTTTACTGTTACTTTAGGCACATTTGGTTTTCTGAACATGGTGCAACCAGAGGGCCCATGGCTGACCATACCTTTTGATAAATCTTGTGTTTGCATTTGAGAGCCACAAGCAGGCCCCATCAATGAAAGAAAAGCATTCTGCGTGCCACACCACATGAAAAACAGCTTCAAAATGAGTTATAAAGGAAAATGTGTTCCCAGATGGCATGGGAAGAACATTTCATGGTCAAGCCAGACACCTCTGTTTGAGGTTTAAGGGTCTTATCAACCAGCCGAAGCAGAGATGGTAACACAAGAGAACAGAACAGAATGGAACGTAGCAAAGGAAGGAAACTCCAAAGTTGGCCTGTCGCTCCTGGATGAAAGGCTAAGTCGTCTGCTAACATGCAGCCTGTGGTTAGCTGGATGTCAACGCTGCAGACATGGGGGATGACCTCACTGGAAAACAGAATGACGACCCTCCTCGGCCTCGGGAATATGTGCACTAGACAAATGATCTCGACTCAGCTAAGCTAACTTACAGATGATATAAGCCCAATCAGTTCCTCGTTTTTCATGCTAATAGATGGAGAGTCAGCCTGGGGAGGGGGAATGAATGAGGGTGGCTGCTGGCCAAGTCCCCTTCAGAAGATCCCACTAGCCAACAGAGTCTCCTTGAAAAGATTTTCTTGTCCCAGAGAGCGGCCAACTTTTGTGAACTTGAGCAATAGTCATCATAACAAAATTCTAGGTTATCAAAGCAGGCATATGGTCCTAGAGCTTGCTGCCATGGAAAGTGACTTCTGACTCCACACAACAAGAAGGATATGGGTTTGCAATGGACTCAGAGACACTTCTTGAAGGCTCCTCGCCTCAGATCTGAGCACCTCTGTCACTCACCCATGGCTGCTCTTCCAACCGCTGATACCTGAGACCTGACTGCATGTGAAGTTAGCAAAACAGCAAAACTTGGCATCACAGTCCTGATACAAGCTTTTTACAGTTCACAAAGTGTTTCCACATTCATGATCTCATCTGTCCCCACTCCGTGAGGTAGGCTGGCCATGTATTGCTCTCTCTCTCTCCCTTCAGAGACTAAGAAATTGAGGCTCAGAGAGGCTAAGTGATGAGCCCCAGAACACACGGCTAGGTAATGGGAGAGCTATGATTTGAATCCAGGTCTATGACCAGAGTCCATGCCCTCTCTATTATGCCACAAGTGTCTTACTTCAATTAGTGAGGTTTACGCTGTCATTTTTTTTTTTTTTAAGAATTGAATCACTACTATCACCTGAGATCTCAGATGTGGCTGAAAAACAAAATTATGAAAGTCATCCTGATGTGCTAGTTAAACGTGAGGTCCCTGGAGCAAGCCAGTTGGGAATTTGAAGGCCATCAGTTACCATATACCCTTGGCTCACCAAAAACAGCCTCAGCATGACTGCTGATTAGAAACTTAAAAGGAGGACGACGGGATGAGAGTAAAGTGGAAATCTAATGGGAGTTACCAGCAGGGTTGTACTCCTGTCCCCACATCCCTTTGTGGCTGGAGTGACCCGCCCTTGGTAAATTGAGGTAAATCCTCCAATGTGTTGGCAAGACCCCCAGGCAATACATTCAAACACATTCATTATCATATGGAAAAGATGCATGTGTGTTTAAAAAGTCAGGTTCTTTAACTTCTATGACTCTTACAACTTCCTAAAGGCCCCCAGGCTCTTTGCTGAGCTGAAGAACCAAATTAGGCTTAATATGATCTAACGTGAAGGTCTGAATTATGCCTTGAATATACTTTCAGGGAGATGAAAGGACCAATATGCTTATAAAGTTCTATTACTCTTTAAAAAAAGACATTTAAAATTTTGGAAGTACCTCCTGGCTAGGGAAAGGATTAGATGCCCGGCTTTCAGTTCATTACTTCTAATATAAACACCCGGTATGCCCAGTGTTTTGCATCAGCTGACTGTCTTTACACAAACCGAACATGTGCAGGGCCTTGGGCCTTTGTCTCTGAAGTCGGTTTAATGACTAGGGCAAAGTGAGATGTTTTGTCTGATTAAAGGCTCAGCTCTTCAAAGCCATACCTTCTTCCATTTGGGAAACGACAATGTTTATGGTTCCCGTGCCCAGTTGGTGGATGGATGGAGTGGGTAATGAGCAAATCTCTGTGCCTGAAAATAGCAGTCCTGGTTAAAAAAAAAAAGAGAAGAGGTCCACTGGCCCATATGCTGGGCAAATCGCCCCTGACTCTTCCATATAATGGAAGCCCAATGGCATATAAGTCCTTATTGCCTTATTGGGTGCTATCTATCAGGCACAGGCACCAGTTGCATGAGTAAAAATAAATGCAAAGGCATGCTGCTTGTATTTTTAAAGTATTTCTAATTTTAAAAGTAACATGTTTATTACAGAAATTTGAAAACTACAGAAAAACAAAACCAAGAAAAATCACCCATGATCTTGGAATCTAGGGATCAACCTATTATTGTCTTGCTATGTATGTTTGTATTATTCTCCAAGTGTTTATTATAAGCATTTAAAAAAAATGTGACCCTGTAGACTTTGTAGCTTTGATTTTTTTCACTTGTCTATATATTGTGAACGTCTTTCTAAATCAATAAATATAGATCTATATCATCATTTTTGATAATTCTATCATGTGGATATATTATTTATTTTAATTTAATTAACCAATGTGCAATTATTGGACATGTAAGATGTTTTCAATTTTACAGTATTACAAAGGGCTAATTAAAAAATATTCCTGTACAGGAATCTTTTCTGAGTATTTCCTCTGGATAAATTTGTACAGGTAGAATTGTAGGATCAAAGGGAATACACATTTCTGATTTGACATTTACTGTTAAGTCAGCAGTCACTCACACTTGGTACCAGCAATATATCTGGGTTCTTTTTTTTTTGCATTCTGATACACGCAAGATACCGTTTTCATGTATTTTTTTTTCAATTTTAGAAGGAGAATGATACTGTTTTTCTGACTGGCTTATCCGAGTCCACATGAAGATAAACATGCTTTAACTGTGTGGATTAGCCATCAATAGTCTCCTTATTGAAAATTTCTTATTCAAGTTTTTGTTTATTTTCTATTGGGAAAAATAAGTTGTTGTATGGAAAGTTATAGTATTCACCCATCACATACATTTGTCATTGTCATTTGTTTCTGCTCATTGTGATTTTTTATGTACTACGTTTATATAAATATATCTTTATAACTCTACATTTCTTCATGGTTTTTGTGTTGGCTCCTATGCTGAAAAAGGCTTTCTCCATCCCAAAGGCAGAGGGTAGCTTTTATTGCTTCCAATTTTAAAAATATTTCCTTTTTTACATTTTATACTAATTCACCTGGATCTTAATTTTGTCATTTATATTTTTAAAGAGTAATAATGGCAAGATATCTTATAATTTATAAAACTATTGATCAAGAAAGGTAAGATAGTGTTCAACTCTCCCTTTCTCTGGCAGCAAAAAGACAAACTATCATGATACAAATGCAAAAGAGGCCAGACCGAATACGGCTTCTGTATTGCACTAAGATGATGTGCCCTTAATGAATTAACTGTTAATTCATTGTCATGCTAAAAATCACCTCAGCAATGGGGATTGACACAATTTGATCCATTAGCAAGAAAGAGTGTCCCTATGAACATGAAGAGCCGAGAATTACAGTGTTCAGTTACCTTTCATACCTCTGAGCAGTCTTCTTGAGACATGAACGGGTCAGAGAGAAAGCTGTGCATTTGTGGAATAGGCTGACCTGTGTTGGACGTGTGATGAAGCAAAGTCAGTGAGGACATCCTGAAACGAAAGGACTTGAGCAGAACTTGGAAGACTGGGTGGATGTCATTGGGTAGAACAAAGGGAAAAGGAAATCAGGCAGGAAACCAGAGTGAGTGAAGATACAGAGAAGAGGGCCTGACAGTGACGAAGTCCATGATCCTGAAGGGAGTTTACTGGTTTTTTTTTTTTTTTTTTGAGACAAAGTCTTGCTCTGTCACCCCGGCTGCAATGCAGTGGTGCGATCTCAGCTCACCGCAACCTCCACCTCTCAGGTTCAAGCAATTATCATGCCTCAGACTCCCAAATAGCTGGGATTACAGGCGTGCATCACCAGGCCTGGCTAATTTTTGTATTTTTAGTAGAGACAGGGCTTTGCCATGTTGGCCAGGCTGGTCTTGAACTCTTGACCTCAGGTGATCTGTCTGCCTTGGCCTCCTAAAGTGCTAGGATTACAGGTGTGAGCCGCCGCACCTGGCCTGCAGGCAGTTTACATTTTACTCAATGTTTAGACAGGTTTTACTACTCATTTCTGAACCTCAATTTTCTGTAAAATAGGGAAACTATATGAAGAGTTTCCTTTAAAAATTTCAGCTAGCATTACTTAATCAAAAAATGAAAAGGTTATTTATTGATTTAGCTAATAGAACAGTCCAGGTATAGTCTTCAGGAGTGGCTTAATCAGGGAATTTAAATGATATCAACAAGACCTGTGCTAACCATCTTCAGGTTCTGTGTCATCTCTGCTGGTTTCATGTCCTGACTCCATGTGATGGCAAAGTAAACAAACAGCAGCTCCCTACCTACATCTTTTTGGCTTTAATTCCAGGAACTACTTGGATTATATTGGGTCATATGCCCGTCTGCAAGCCAATCCCTGTGGACTGTGGTCAGGGGGATAGAATATCCTGATTAGCCAGGCCTGGATCCTAAGTTTCATTCCTGGAGCCATGATGAAGGCCAACCCAAAACTCATAACCTGAGTGTCAAGGAATTGTGTTTCTCCAAAGGAAATGTGGGCTACTGTTCCCTAGAGAAGAAAGGGAATCTATGCTGATCAGGCTAAAACAACACTCCTTTAGATCAGGAAGCTTAATATTTCTTGATTCTGTGATTAACCCTCTACAGTTGATGTATTAGGTATCATCTATCCCCACATTACAGATGACAAAATGAAGGTTCAGAAATATTAAATTTCCCCAAGTTCTCCCAGTTGATAAAAACCATGGCCACAGGTCACACTTGTTCTTTCAACTCCAAAGCCAAACCTCAGTGAAAATATATCTCAGCCAAGGCTGCTTTCTATACCCGTCTTCTTTAGGATCAAGCCTGGGTCAGGCAGCTGCTGTGTCAACGTCTGAATGGCTGACCGGGACACACTGTGGTCACCTTCACTCTGCCCCCTTCTGACTATATCCTGAGGACAGACTGAATGAGCAGCCAGCTCTGTGTCTACTGGGGGTCTGTAGGGATTAATGACCCCGAGAAACTGACCTGACAGGTGTAAAAGGGACATTTCTAACTGTACCGCCTTCTGCTGTTGGCAATCTATTCAGGAGTCAAAATGAAGTAAGATGACAAATTAACCATTTTCCGCTCCTGTGTCACAAAGGTAATAAATCCAGTTTATCTCTCAGTTGATATTGCCTACTAAAGAAAAAACTAAGCATTTCAATGGGTTGTGTAATGGTTGTTAGGCCAGTAACAGTTCAAAACTCTTACTTTCCAAAAAGATCCAATTCACAATTGAACCTAATATGGGTGGTGGGACCTTAGTGTTACCAAATACATAACCCATAGTTACTTTCATGGCAGCAGGGTACAGCAGCCAAGAGCACTGATTTTACAATCAGATAGACTGCAGAGCTATTGCTGACCAGCTCTGTGATCTCCCTAGGCCCCCAGTTCATCATCTGTAAAATGGACATATGTAGAAGTACCTTCCTCACATAGTTGGCTGTACATCCATTTCTATTTTATGCTTCATTGATACTTATTATATCTAGCATGTGTCATGCACTGATCTAGGAGAAGGGGTACAGGGTAGGCCACATGGTCCAGCCTCTGCCTCCTTATACCTTGAAGCTTTTAAATAATGCTATTAATGCATCAAGATGATACTGAACATGCATATTAATCAATGAATGACCCATATACATCTAAAATTTCTAACAGTGATGAGTGTTGTAAAAAGGAGAAAGAAGGTAATATGACAGTGGATCATTGGGAAATGCGACCCAGTGATAAGATGACTAGGAATTAATCAGGCACAGAGGTAGATTGATGGTATCTTTCCCATCCCTTTGTATCTATCCTATCCTTGTCCTTTATAATGTGCCTGCAGCTCTTCTCATCAAGCAGTAGAGCCTAGTTCTCCATTTCATGAATCTGGGCTAATCTTGTAACTTACTCTGACTCTACTTCCCAGGCAAAGAGACAGGACTATGGAACCAATATCCAGGAGAAATAATAGACCATAGAAATAAATCCAGAGAGCATTAGAAAATGGAATTCTTAGACATGGGCTTTTATTCAAAAAGATAATATCAAAAATTTTAGCAGGCAACAGGAAATTATAAAATTGCATCAAATGGAAACTCTAAAACTCAACTATAAAGTAACTGAAATGAACAGTTTAACTGCATTTTAGACACAACTGAAAAGTGAAGTGGAAGATCTCAGTGAGATAACTACAATGATGCCTGGAGAGATAGAAAAATGGAATGCAAATTCCACCAGAGAACAGAAAGAGAGAATGCTTACTAGTGCATTCTATGAGGCTAAAATAGTCTTAATATCAATACCCAACAAGAGCATTATTGGAAAGAAAATTATAAGCCAGTCTCTCTCATGAACATAGATGCAGAAATCTTAAGTAAACAAAATCTACTGATTTATGAGAAGGATAACACATCACAGCCAACTTGGGTTTGTTCTAGGGATTTATGGTTGTTTTAACATTTGAAAATCAGGCCAGGCACGGTGACTCATGCCTATAATCCCAGCACTTTGGGAGGCTGAAGCTGGCAGATCACTTGAGCCCAGGAGTTCAAGACCAGCCTGGCCAACATGGCGAAACCCCATCTCTACAAAAAATACGAAAATTAGCTGGCTATGCTGACGCACTCCTGTAGTCCTAGTTACTCAGGAGGCTGAGGCAGGAGAATCTTGAACCTGGGAGGCAGAGGTTGCAGTGAGCCAAGATTGCACCACTGCACTCCAGCCAGGGTGACAGAGTGAGCTTAAAAAAAAATTAATCAATGTAAGTCATTGTATTAAAAGGGAAAAAATAAGCACCTCAATATATATTTCTAAAGTGCTTAATAAAATTCAGCACCTATTCATTATTAAAAACTCTTAGTAATCTAGGAATAGAATGTAATTACTGTCATCAAAGTATCTACATAAAACATATAAGATATATTATCATCAATGGCAAAATGGTAAAAGCTTTCCTTCTGCAATGGGAAAAGAGACAGGAAGACCCATTAGTACCACTTGATTCTACATTGTCCTAAGTATCATAGTCAGCACAAAGATGAAAGATAAATAATTACAATTTAAATGAGTAAAAAGTAGAAGTATTATTATTTACAGGTAAAATAGATATACATGTATAGAATCCAAAAGAATCTACAGACAAACTATTAGAATGAATTAATCAAGACTGCTAGATGCAAGGATAATATGAAAGGAATTTCTTGCTTTTCTATCAACAATTGACAGTTACCCAACATAATTTAAAACTTTGCCATTTATAATAGAATTTAAAGCATCAAATACCTAGGGGGTAAAAAAAAAATCAAACAAATCATGTATAAGACATCCATACAGAAAACCATAAAACAATGGGAGTTAAATTAAATGAGATCTAAATAACTTGAGGACTACACAAACGTGTGTAGTCTTCATAGATCAGAAGACTTAATATTTACAGAGATTGATTCCAGTGATCCATATAGTCAATGCAATCCTAATCAAAATCCCAGCTACTTTTGTGAAAATTGACAAACTGATTCTAAAATTTATGTGGAAATGCAAAGGGCAAAGATAAGCCAAGACAATTCTGATTTAAAAAGTGGGAAGATTTGCTCTACAAACGTTAAATGTGCAGTCCACAAGACAGGGTGGCAATGGCACTAGGACTGCCAAATCGGCCAACAGAGCAGAAAAGAGAGCCCAGAAACACAGCCCTACACGTGTGGACACTTGGCTCATGGCAAACTGGCACTGCAAATCAGTGCAGAGAGCCAGTTTCAATCAGTTGTGCTGGGTCAACTTTGCTTTCTACATAAAAAGTTATATGTTGTCCAAAAAGTTGTGCTGGGTCAGTTTGCTTTCCATATTAAAAAAAAAAAAAAAGAAGTTAAACACTATAAAACATCATACACAAAAATCAGTATTAGGTGGGTTGTAAAGCAAAAAGTAAAACAGTAAATGACACAATATAGCTTCTAAAATACAATATAAGACATTCTATATATACATATAAGGCATTCTATGTATAGAATGTCTTCATGACCTTGGAATAGGGGAAAGTTATTTAAACAGGACACTAAAAGCATTAATCACAAAGACAAAAAGGGGTGAAATGTACTCCATCAAAAGCTACCCTTATAAGAATGAAAATGTAACAGAATACAAGGTATTAACAACATATAATTGACAAGGTATGTATAGAGAATACATAAAGATATCTTTAAAAACAGTAAGATTACCTGATAGAAAAATTGCCAAAAAACTCTACCTCATCAAAGAGAATATCAAAATGGTCAATAAACACACAGAAATGTGCTCAACCTTTTTTGTAAACAGGAAAATATTAATTAAAATCACAATAAGTTTCCATGACACAATCCATCACAATGGCTAAAATTCAGAATTCATATAGTAGCAAGTGTTAGAATGGATGAGAACCAATGGGAACTCTCAGGTGCTGTCAGTGGGAGTATAAATTAATACAACAGTTTTGAAAATCCATTTGGCATTGATTACTGAACTTTATCATACAATTACTATATGACCCATTAATTCCACCCCTTGGCATATACTCAATAGAAGTGTGAGTGTGTACCTGAGGCACACGCAGGAATGCTCACAGAAGTGTTTCATGTATGCTCAGAGATGGAAACAACCCAAAAAAGTCTATCAACACTAAGATGCATAAACAAACTGTGGTGTATTTTTTTTTTTTTTTTTTTTTGTCTGTAGCCCAGGCTGGAGTGCAGTGGCACAATCTCGGCTCACTGCAAGCTCTGCCTCCCGGGTTCACGCCATTCTCCTGCCTCAGCCTCCCGAGTAGCTGGGACTACAGGCACCCGCCACCGCGCCTGGCTAAATTTTTTTGTATTTTTAGTAGAGACGGGGTTTCGATCTCCTGATGTTCTTTAGTAGAGACCGTGGTCTGGATCTCCTGACCTCGTGATCTGCCCGCCTTGGCCTCCCAAAGTGCTGGGATTACAGGTGTGAGCCACTGTGCCCGGCCACTGTGGTGTATTTCTAAAATGAAATACTGGCTTAGAACAAAGACAATGAGTTAACTATATCAATTAAAATACATCAACATGGATGAATATCTGAAACATAATGTTGAGTGAAAGAAGCTTGACCCAAGAGAATGTGTGGGTGAGCTTATTTAAAGGGGGAAAAACAGGAAAAGTTATATCATTTAGCAATACATGTTTAACTGATAAAACCATAAAGGGAGAAAAGGAAGGGATTTCCATAAAGGCCAAGATAGAAGTTTCCCCTGGGACAGGAAGAAGGAATGAGGCATGAGGTGGGCCTCTGGGGGCTTGAAATGTTCTGTTTTTCGGTGTGGTGATGGCTACCTGGGATTTTGCTTAGTGATAAATCAGCGATCTGGCATTTCCAATTAGACACTCTTCTGTATTTATTACATTTCACTATGAAAGTGTTATAAATAAGTCACCAGTATGCGATGGATGAGAACTATTGGCCTAAATTGAAACAAAGAATTTGAAAAGTGTTCTAGACCAAGAGATTTCTTAACTTGCTCTCATACCCGTCCCTGCAAGAACTTTGGAAGGCTAGATATCATCTTTCTTTTTAATATGACAACTAACATTTCTCAACATGTTAAAATAGTTTCAGCATTAGAACTATTAAAATTTTTCCTGTAATCCCAGCACTTTGGGAGGCCGAGGCAGGCAGATCACGAGGTCAGGAGATCGAGACCATCCTGGCTAACACAGTGAAACCCCGTCTCTACTGAAGATACAAAAAATTAGCCGGGCATGGTGGCGGGTGCCTGTAGTCCCAGCTACTCGGGAGGCTGAGGCAGGAGAATGGCGATAACCTGGGAGGCAGAGCTTGCAGTGAGCCGAGATCCAGTCACTGCACTCCAGCCTGGGTGACAGAGTGAGACTCTGTCTCAGAAAAAAAAAAAAAGAACTATTAAAATTTTAGCATAAAAATGTTCTCCCATTCTAAAATACATCCAATAGAATGGAAATATGAAGAAGAAATTTTGTATTTTTCCTTGAAATTGCATTCTACTCACCTTCCTATGAAATTTTACACTAACGTAATGTGTTTCTGTGTTTAAAATGCTCTTACTGACCTATCATAATTCATGACATAAATATGCATGTAAACTAGAATTTAGAATTTCCTGTATTTCTTGTGACCTTAAACTTAAAAATAAAATTCTTCTGGGTTGAATTATCATTATAAATTACTAATACATAATTGATACAAACATAAATATAAATTTCAATACATTATCAGACATAAAATGTAAAATTTTATTGTCATTTCATCTCTTAATGAAATGCATAGGGGTAGATTTATGGGACATTCATTAAAGAAGACTCTATGGACATGAAATTAGAGCACCTCGAGCTGTTCCTTTGGCACCCTGGAACACTACACCTTGGTTGGTGCACCATGGCAGGAACAGAGGTTGGCAAAAGACAGGCCCTTTATTTGTAATGGAGCAGAAGAATTACTGCACTGGGGCAGGTGGGAAAGGTGTGCTGGTATGGTGTCTTTTATGAGAACTGCTGATGCTCTGCTCGTATCCATGCCCTCCATGGCTTCACCTGATGCTTTCTCTGCACCTGGAGCCTGCTAAGCCACACAGTCCACATTTACATTTCCTTCCCGATGCACGCCCTACGTGGGATCCCAGAGTACCCCCAGCAGAATGAGAGATTGAGAGCACACCTTTCATATGCTTCCTTTCCTTCTCCATCTCAGGTCCCACTCCAATACAGTGTTTCCCAGGATCGCCTTCCAAATTGACTACTTGCGCTAAAATCTTTGTTTCTGCATCCACTGACGGGAGAACTTGAGAGCTCACCTGCCTCCACAGCAGTGATCAAGTAGATCACTTTTAGCAAAGAGTACAGTAGAAGCTGGGGAAGTAGATTCTCCTAAAACTCCCCGTGCATATACATACTACTTGGGAAAAACTTGTGTACTTCAAGGGAGCACAAAACCCAGTTTGAAGTCACAGAGATTCATACCTCTGGAAAAGGGGCAATTCCATACCCTCCTGCTTTGAAAGCACTGATCATAGGCCTTTATGAGAAGACAGCATCTGTATTAATGGATACTAAGAATGTGAATATAATTTATACATTATAAAGGGGAGAATCAAGGGCTCTGGGTTGCAGTCCCAGCCTGATTGTTGACTTAGTTATGCCTCCACCCCACTTTTCTCCCCAGTTTCTCAATGTGGACAATAAAAGAGTTAGACAATAGCTGATTTATTTCCAGATAGCTGTGTCTCCATTCTCTTTGATAAGCCCAAATGAATATGTGTTCAAATACCTCTATACAGATAAGAATGAGAGACCACGTTGGCTCAGGGGGTAGAGAGTTCTCTGCCTCTATAGCCCTTACTTAGTTTCAATGTGGGGTGGTTCCTTATCCTATTTAAAGAAACTGTTGGGGCTGGATGCAGTGGCTCACACCTGTAATCCCAGCACTTTGGGAGGCCGAGGTGGGCAGACCACTTGAGGTAAGGAGTTCGAGATCAGCCTGAGCAACATGGTAAAACCCCATCTCTACTAAAAATACAAAAAAAAAAAAAAAAAAAAAAAATTAGCAAGGCATGGTGGCACACGCTACTCAGGAGGCTGAGGCAGGAGAGTCACTTATACTCAAGAGGCGGAAGTTGCAGTGAGCTGAGATCGTGCCACTGCACTCCAGCCTGGGTGACAGAGTGAGACTCCATCTCAAAAAAAAAAAAAAAAAGAGAAAAAGAGAAAAGAAACCATTGCTATGACCTAGATATAAATCAATACATACACCCTGAATTTTTGGATAATGTTTTTTGGGAATGGGCCATTGCTAATGCCATCTTACGTAGCAGAGACACATATAAACTATACAGCATAACAACATCACACAACATAGCAACACCATACAATAAAACCATCCTTTTTTTTCTGCGTGTGAATAAACCCCCAATTTCTGAGCCTCCAGTAAACTTTGAGCTACTCAAATGGCCCCCAAGTATTTGCAACACCAGTTTCCTGCACAAGGATTATCACGTGGCATATGCTTAATAAATATTTGTTGAATTAAAGACCCCCAGAGTTTGTTTTCCAGCTTTAGTTGCAGCTGTCTCTTGATATACTCTTGAATTTTCTTCTATCTTAACCAGCAGTTCTTGATCTTTCTTGAGTCAAGGATCCTATTGAGAATCTGATGAAAGCTATGAACTGCCTCCCCAGAAAAGATACACATTTGTACAGGCACACAGTCTTTCAAGATCTGTAAACATGGACCCAGGAAATCCTCGGGCCTCTGGTAAAGAATTTCTGTTGTAGTGCTAAGACATCATAACGTCTCCTGATTGGCACTGGCTATTTGGAGGGCAATTCTGAGAGGGACTTGAAGGTTCTTTCTTGTCAGAAGGAAGGAAGAGCATGTGCCTTGAAAGGGCATGTGGCAGCTCAATGCCAGGTATCTGACATCATCTTCTAGATTCATAGGCTCATTTCTTAAACATACTCTGCATCCCCACATCTCTACACCTTCCCTCCAGGTGTCTACTTTACCTAGAATGTCATGCACTCTCATGAGAGGCAACAGAGATGAGACCCGGAGCCCAGGAGAACAAATCCTTGATCGACCTCTTGCTATATATATGCCCCCTCTTACAAGTTACTTTATCTTTCCTTGCCTGTTTCCTCATCTGTAGAACAGGGATTATCACATTCTATAAAGGCACCTACCTCATAAAAAAAGTGTGCAAGGATTAAACAAGGCAGTGCAACTCACTTCACATGGTGAACAGCATCCCAATCACACTGAATAAATATTCGTTATTTTCTAACTGCCTGAATACCTTTCTCTCAAGACAGAGCTTCTCATGGGAGCTCTGTGTTTCCCTGCAAATAAGAGTCAATACATTCCTTTTCTATGTCCTCGAATGTGATGATGTTATCTCTATTATTATTGCTTTTCTCAAAATGATTTGTGTTGGGTGGTGTCGCAACAGCCCAGGGCTCACCCCATGGTATAAAGTGAATCGTGCACGTAATTGAAACTATCTTTGAAAATCTTTTAGATCCCCAAGAAACTGTAGCACACATGGCTTTGGGTACCACACAGGAAGTGTAATTATTTTGTATATCTAGGCATATATACAGATGACTCTCTGCCTTAAGACAACATCTTCTCCTTAGTGGTAAGTGAGGGATTGTGGAGAATTCGGAAGTGTTCTCACTCCATCCTGTTTTAATATTGAACCTCAAACATTTTTGATGCAGTTGTAGAGTTCTCTCTGTCATTTTGCTTAGCACATGTAGGTGATGAATAGGTGAATAATATGTTCAATTGAACTGACCCATATAATCAGACCACTGAATTTAGCATTATTAAATTCTCAAAATGGTCCATTTTTAGAACTCTCTTGAGGAGTAATAGATTCATAACAGAATAATAGGAACAAAAATAATTTACCTAATTCAAGAATAAGTTTGTTTCTGGATATGCCAAAGGGTTAATATTCAATGAACCGAGAGACCAAATAGAAGAAATTAAACCACCTAATAAAAAATACGTAATTAATTAATTCACAGAATATGAAATACAAATAATCAAACTGATACGAAAAAGGGTTCCTCTCATTAAACAATGAGATGTGAGTTCAGTTGTAATATATCCTTTTTATCTATCGGATTGGTGGCAATGGAAAAGAATCCCTGTTATTCAGTGTAGGTGTGCACTTGGCATTTGCTTACAGGCACTTTCCTGCACTGTTGGGTGATGTAACATGGAGCCTGCTTTCAGAAAGATCGTTCACAAATATGACTCCAAAGCCTTACAATGCTCATTGGTTTTGGATTCAACCAATGAACTTTTAACCTGCAGAAATAATTGGCTAAGTGTACAAATATCCACACACAAGGATGCCGATCACCAGGACAACCCTGCCATGGCTTCATACATTAGGGGCTCTCCTGGCCCTCCTCCAGCAGCCTTGTCCTTCATGTCAGGGTGAGGAAGCCTCACATCAAGGGGTTGTGCCTGCCTAGAGCCTGTACCCCTCCCTCTAGAGACCATACCGCAGGCTCACAGGACCTGGAAATGTCTCTGAACTCCCAGATCCATCTCCCAAGGGCATTCAGCTTATGAGGTGGCTGTAGGATAAGCTGAAGCTGGGAAGCAGGTGCAGGGCCAGGGCCAGCTTGCTGTGTTCTGGCACAGAGCTCAAGGGGTCCAAGGAGTCTAAATTTGAACCTGGCCCTCCTGAGAATAAAGTCATGATTATCATAGTTTGACAATAAAATGTTTTTTCACTTAATGGCTTATAGGTGACTTTGTAACTTTAAAATATTTAGACCCATGCTATGTCAGCCTTCACTTTTACTCTCCAACCAGGTGGCAGATTCACAAATGTTAAGGGTAGGACTGCTAATCCCAATTCCATTTTAACAAAGGTTAGTAGCAAACTATACTAATTGACCTGGAAAGAGCTTGTAAGCTATATCAAAGGGAAAAGGATCTAAAACATTTGATCCAATTTGTGTGGGGAGAGGAGTATGAAAATGAGTATGGATGCATTGGGGGGAGTGTGTATTTACTCCCCATTTAAAAGCAAAAAGATCTGAAAGCATTCAACAGAATGAGGATAGAGGTTATCTCTCAGTGGTGAGGAGAGTAGGGGGTCAGGACTTGAGGTAGTACTGAGCTTTCTACTCTTTCAACAATGAAGGAATTATTTGTGAAATAAAGTAAATATTAAATCAAAAATATAGATCCTCAGTAGTTGGTCGCAGCCAGTTTTCTAATGCAGTTTCAAGATGCCTTCAAAATGAACAAGGGAGGACAAATTTGGCTTTCCAGCAGGGTTCCTGGGTGCCATCCCCAACTTTCAGAGGATATCATGGAGAAGGATGTCTCTCCTTGCCCACACATGGTCCCTAGGGGTAGCATGTAAGTGGCCAGCTGAGCCACAGTTCCCAGCTTTGCACACAACTTCTCATGCCCTTCTTGCCATCGCAGCTGGCTTTGGTTTCTGAACTAGAAAAAAGAAAGGCTCAGAGTGCCCCTCAGGATTCTCAGGGGTAAAAGGCATGTGGGGACCAAGGTCCCCCATTCTGACCTGGAGCTCCTGGCTTACCAATTAATTCATGCCTACTCATGCCTTGATCCATTGTTGGGGCAGGACTTCTTTCAACAGAGCCAGAGTGGAGGCGGCATAGGTGAAAGTAACACAAGGGAGTTTAATGAAGTTCTGCTGGGATGCGGGGTCTCTATAAGAGCCGGTAAAGAAGAATGGGATCCTACCAGGCTGTTTTCTTTCCTGGGATCTTACAGCCTGAGTAATATCATTTAAAGTTAAAACAAAATGCTGAAGCTTAGTTAATTTATGTCAACTTCCTACAGTCTGTTTAATACATGAACTACTTCTGTAACTTATTGGGTGATTTTGGAGACTGGCCACAGAGTGTATTGTCCAGATGACATTTCAGCTTTTTATTACCAGTTTTACTTTGAAAACAAGCAAAAAAAATATGATATTAAACCAATCAAAGATGAAAACTTTTATTAGTGGAAAAGGGATAAAGAAACCCACACAAGCATCTTTGTGACTTTTCTGCACTCATGAGCTGGCTATTTCAAGTGTTAGTTGTATATAAATGATTTGGTCTAAGATGCTCTAGATGGACCTCAAAACTGATTATAGTCTACGAAA
Source organism: Homo sapiens (assembly GCF_000001405.40). Taxonomy (NCBI): domain Eukaryota; kingdom Metazoa; phylum Chordata; class Mammalia; order Primates; family Hominidae; genus Homo; species Homo sapiens. Next base: position 55,121,369 of record NC_000003.12, read on the forward strand.
CAAGAAACGTTTCTACATTCTCTGAGTCCTGAGAAATGGTGTGCATAAGTTATTGGCCACTGTAATATATACAAATTTCAAGAGCAGATGGCTTGGAGTTAACTGCCTTAGTATTGTTGTCTGAGAAAGGTGATATCCATCAAGACCAATGGGAGGATTAAAGAGCCAATTTGATGAGTTTCAGAAAGGAAGGAGGGCTTGGAAGGCAGGAGCATGTGAGAACAATATGACTGCCATAACCATAAAGTTTAATCCATGGAAGGTTCATGTTCCATTGTAAATGTCTTGGGAATTGCTACTGCTTCAATAACACCCAGATACAGCGCTGTTAATTCTATGATTTTGAGCAAATCACTTTGCCTCTTCATCATTTTAACTTCTTTGTCTGCAAAATGGGCACAATGATAGTATTAACCTCAGAGAACCATTGTGAAGCACAAACAAAAATGTGAATGAAGGCCGGGCACAGTGGCACACATCTGTAAACCCAGCACTTTGGGAGGCCGAGGCGGGCAGATCACTTGAGGTCAGAAGTTTGAGACTAGCCTGAGCAACATGGTGAAACCCTGTTTCTACTAAATATACAAAAACTTAGCCGGGTGTGGTGGTATGTGCCTGTAGTCCCAGCTACTCAGGAGGCTGAGGCCGGAGAATAGCTTGAACTCGGAAGGTGGAGGTTGCAGTGAGCTGAGATTGTGCCACTGCACTCCCAGCTGGGTGACAGAGTGAGTCTCCGTCTCAAAAAGAAAAAAAAAAAGTGAATGTAACATGCATATTTACAGAAAAAGCAAGTCACAAACCCCCCTTTAACACAAGCTCTTTTGACTCTTATTATTAGAAATAATATAATTAGCCTAAAGTTAAGTAGACTTCAACCCTAAGCATAGATGACACATACTCTAATTCAGATCCAGATTAGATCAGTATATACCAGGCAGTATTGAATGCATCTCATTAATTCATTCCTAAAGCATGAACTTTCCATATCACATGGCAATTAAAGGATTATATGAAAGAAACTGTTCAGATTAGGGTCCAACCCCAAGCAGATGGCTAAGTGCATCCTGCTGTTAGGGAAGTGAGTGTACCCTCACTAAGCAGTAATGATTGATCTGTCCCATGGAAATAGGTAGGTTGGGTCCAATGATGCTACACAATGCAGAGGCTCAGTTGATTAATGATCTACCAAAGCCCATGAAGGGACCACTAATTAATCTTGATTGTTTTCATTGACGATAAGAGCATTGCCAATTCAGTTGGAAAAGACGACTGCAAAGGGGTGTGAAACATTGAAACAGAGACAAATGTTACATGCCCAGAAGCCAGCTTTCTTCAGCAAAAGGAAGATATTCATCATAGGATTGCAGTCACCCCAAGAGAAAGTCTTCAGTATAAGGGTTAAGAGAAAACTAGCTTTCTCACAAGTTCATAAAGCCATGCCCAAGGGGACAATAGAGACAACACTGTTCTCTAAAAAGACAGGGCCAAGAATTAATGAGGGATTCAGCTAGGGCCAATGGATCCAAAATGACGCAGGAACCATGGCAGTTAATTGACATTAACAATGCCTGGGAAGCAGCTCTGGAATTATCATGGAATAAGCCAAGAGAAAACACGAAATAGGAGCTCTATGTAGGTCTAGGTCTGGGCACATCATAAAAACTGGGGTATGTGAGAAAAAAATCTTATTTACTATGCCAAGGACAAGAATTCAGAAGCATTCTAGATTTCAAATCTGGAAAATAAACATTACATAAGAATCAATGGTTGAGCCAGCTGCCTAGAAGAAAAGATCAGATTTAGGGATGTTCATTCCTTCCCAGTTGGGCAAGATCAAAGTCTATTCATCACCTCTTTACAACATGACTAGAAAGTAGTGAACGGCTCATGTGAAGTCAGTATTGTACTGGCCTCTGGGTACCAGTTCAGATGAAGAATAATGCATTTATATTCACCCATGGAATAAATACTCACTGAGATATTTCTTGCATTTATATAAAGTTTTATATTAAGAACAATGCAATTGGAGAAATAAAGGGCCAAAAATCTGAAGTCAGTTTGATTGGAGCTTTATATAACCCCCAAACATTCACTCCTGTCACATTTCTGAGTGCACATTACTGACATACCACCCAATGAACAGTAATATTTGCATTAAAAAATTTTCATTCACAATCTCTTTGCCACTGGGGCTTGGAAAATCCTCAAGTCTAATCCAGATGCCTGCTCATCTAACTTGGAATGGAGCCTTTGAATCATCTCAATTATTTTAGAATCATTTGGGTTTTCTTTAAGACTTTTGCTAAAGAAAAAGGTCGAGGCAGGATCTAAAACCATTGAAGTAGTCATAGTCCCATGTGTTAGGTGGCCCAGATAAAGGCTGGGATATTGCAATACAACATCAGCGCTACTCCAACATCATTAGCTGACAAAGATAACATTGCTAGTTACTCAAGGACTTTAGGTGAAATCCATCAGAACAAACCAACTAACCTAAACATCTGAAATCCACAAATGAAAAGTGTCTAAACTTCCTTTCTAACCTAGCTGTGGATTCTTAGGAAAAATAATTCCTATTCTTACTGGAGTAAGTCAGGTAGACTTAGGACTGCACAGATAGCTGGGTGGAGGGCAAACATTTCTTCAAAGCTATAGCTATATAAATTAAGTATTTTCTTTTGTGGAAGACCTGGGAAGGTTATATCTACACTAACAAACAACCTGAGCCCAAAAAAATCTGCAAGATGGGAAAATTATATATATACACACATATAAATATATATATTATATATAATATAATATATGTATCCTCCCTTCCTGATTTTTTAATTGGCTTTAGGACTAGAAAAAGATTGCCACACATGTTGAAGATCTTGGAAACAGCCTCTATTGCCAAATTGAATTTGTGTACATAGGCAAAGCACACCAATCTTTATGTTTGCAATTTCGCTTGAAAAATCTGGGTACTTCAAATTATACCCAATATTTCCTCATGAATTTATATCTTGATGTGTTTAAAATGAATTGCAAAGAACAAACATCAAGGCAATGAACAGTCTTGTTTATTAAACATTGCTGAATTATATTTAAAATAAATATAATGGGCTGAAGGTGGAGAACTGCAAGTCTAAATCGCCTGGGTGGCTTTCCCCGCAGGGTGGTCATTGGTTGAAGGGGCTGCTGGGATGAACTGTTCTCCCACAGTCTCATCTAGATCGACACCAGCCAACTCCCTTCCTTGCCAGTGTCCCTCAGAGTTGTCTGGTGAGCATTTCTGACACTACTAACTTCAAAGGCATTTTCTTGAAAGCATGGGGAAAGAAACTACAGTGAGTGCGACTCCCTTAAAGGAAGGAGTTGTGCTTTTATCCCTGAGAAAAAGTTTCTAAATACTCTCCCTGTATGCGCAAATGTTCTGAGTTACTATTGAAAAAATGAGGTACATTTATTTTCTCTGCCTTTTTTGTTGCTTTCCTACAAATATTGGTTGTTTCTAGAAATCCTTATCCTGGTCATCATGACAGTAACCCAATGAAGGACCCAGCTCAAATATTTTTATACGTCCTTTACAGAGGAGGAAAGCAGAGCACACCAAGGGTCCATGGCTTGCTGAGGTTTCGAGCCTGAGGGACCAAAAATTAGTAAAAGAATCGAGTCTCCTGGCTAGTATTTTATGACACTGGCACAGCAATGACCCATCAAGACTCCCAGACTATAGTCAGGCTACAGTGAGACTCTTAACGTTCTCAGTTGCCTGTGGCTACTTTCAGAAGAGCACAGAGAAATGCACAGACAGCCTGGAAACCATTTGTTCCCTGGCTGCATTCTTTGAACACCACCATGGATGGATGCTCTGAGATGCCGTGGAACAGGCTTCAAACTATTGGTGATCTGATAGCCGGACCTCCAAATGAACTCTAAAAATAGTGTAAAGGTTTTTAATGAACTGTTTTAAATGAATTGCTTGCACATTTTGCATTCAGAATCATATGGGAATTTCTACAAAGTTTGCTTGCTTGCTTGATTGACTGATTCACTGAGACAGAGTCTCACCTTGTCGCCCAGGCTGGAGTGCAATGGCGTGATCACGGCTCACTCTATCCTACACCTCCTGGACTCAGGTGATTCTCCCACCTCAGCCTCCCGAGCAGCTGGGACCACAGGTGCACCACAATGCCCAGCTAATTTTTGTATTTTTTGTAGAGATGGGGTTTCGCCACATTGCCCAGGCTGGTCTCAAACTTCTGTGCTCAAGCCATACTTCCGCCTCGGTGTCCCAAAACGCTGGGGTTACACATGTAAGCCAAGGTGCCTAGCCTCACTTCATTTATTTAATACTGCAGTATTTTGTTTTGGCAGTGGAGGGGATCAAGTGTGTATCACACTTTGTGCTTAGAACTGGTGTATAATAAGTGTATAAGAACTGATGTGCAAGAATTGGCATAAACAATGTGGACCTGGTCCCTGACTCCATAAAGCTTGCCTTCCAAACCAGCAATGTCCAACAGAAATAAACTGCAAGCCACAAATGCAAGCCCCCACGCCCCCATGCAATTTTAAGTTAAAAAGCAAAAAGGAACAAGATAAATTAATTTTAAGAATATCTTTTATTTACCCCCAAATGTCCAAAATACTATCATTTCAATATATAATCAATATAAGAATGTTTAATAGAGTATATTATATATTTTGCTAGTAGCTCTTCAAAATCCAGTTTGCATTTTGCACTTATAGCACATCCCAGTGTAGACCAGGCACATTCCCAGTGCTCAGTAGCCACATCGCACAACACAGGTCTAGAGAGGGTATGGACAAATTAATTCAGAAACAGAATACCAAATACCATACGTTCTCACTTCTAAGTGGGATCTAAACATCAGGTACTCATGGACATAAAAATGGCAACAATAGAAACTGGAGGTTGGGCGTGGTGGCTCATGCCTGTAATCCCAGCACTTTGGGAGACCGAAGCGGGTGTATCACGAGGTCAAGAGATCAAGACCATCCTGGCCACCGTGGTGAAACCTCGTCTCTACTAAAAACACAAAAATTAGTTGGGTGTGGTGACGCGTGCCTGTAATCCCAGCTACTCGGGAGGCTGAGGCAGTAGAATCGCTTGAACCAGGGAGTCGGAGGCTGCAGTGAGCCGAGATGGCACCACAGCACTCCAGCCTGGTGACAGAGCGAGACTCCATCTCAAAAAAAAAAAAAAAAAAAAAAAAAGAAAGAAAGAAAAAAAATAAGAAAAAAAGAAACTGGGGACTACTAGTGGGGAAGGGAGGAAGAAGGGAAGGGTTGAAAAACTTAATTCAGTACCTGGGTGACGGGATCATTCGTATCTCAAACCTCAACATCATGCAATATACTCAGGTAACTAAGCTGCACATATACCCCTGAATCTAAAATAAAAATTGAAAATAAGTTAATTTGTTCCCGATGAAGTGCCAAAGCCTCAGAGTTAGATGTTTTATGTTTGTATTAAATTATTATATTTCCATTTGGAGGATGGAGGACGGTTAAGGTTGAAACGTAAAATGCTCAGAAAGATCACTGGGAGGGACGACTAACTACTCCAATAGATGTTTTAAATCAATGACTTGTTTTGTGATTTGGGAGGCTCCTGAGAGATAAATACACTGAAAACACATTCTCCCAAAAACCTTTGTTTTTCTTTCTCATGTTTGAAATGCTGAGACTCTAACAACTGTATTCAAATTTCTCCAAACTTTAAGATGTTAACATTCAATTAGTTTTCTAAGCTATCAGAGTTTTCCTTCCATTCAGCTCTCGGAGAGTAAATCGTATTCTAGAGAAAGCGGGATGTTTGTAAATGAGTCACCGTTTAAGCCATATTGTCACTACTCGTGCTAAGTGTGTACTTTTTTCCATAGCATGGGTTCAATCTTTCTAAATCCTATGTCATTTTATGAAATTTTATTAGCCATTCATTCAGGCATTAATTCATTCCATCAGTGCTAAGCGAGCATCTTCTCTTTGTCATGTGAAGTAAGGATTAGAGGAGCAGAGCAGATGCCAGGCAAATCCAAGCACCGGCCCTACAGAGTCTACATTCTCCCAAGAGAGACAAATGTTATACCAAGAGTTACACAAACAGATGCCCAAGGACCAGCAGTGCTAGAAGCTAAGGAGGAAAGTCCCAGGCTGCAGGCAGAATCACAGGGACATAGTTTAAATTGTGAGGAGAAGTCACCCAGGTCCCAGGTGATATTTAGGCTGGGACTTGAGCTATGACAAGGACAAGTCTGGCAAAGAGAGGGTGGGAGAGCACCGAGGGTGATGCAATGGCAGGAGTGGAGGGAGGTCTTAGGCAGACTAGAGTTCTGTGAGTTGAAGTAACAATGGAAACCATGCCGCCAGGGCAGTAGGGGCGGAAGGAAGAGTAGGAGAGAGGTCAGGCACTGGGTCATTCAGGGTCACGGGGACATAAGAGGCTTAGATGCCCTGTAAACACAATGGGGAGCCACCAAGGGTTAATCCAACTGATGGTTTAAAAAGATGGCTCAGAGGACAAGAAGTGTCAGAGGCTCTCAACTCTGGGGAGATTTTTTAAAAATACTGATGCCTGGGACCTTCCCTAAACCAATTAAATTGGGATCTGTGAGATAGAGCCAGTGTTCTTAGATCAATACCCAGGTGTTTCTCACATATAGCCAGTGCTGGGATCCACGGATTTTATGTGCGAGAAAAAGTGGATCTCCCGCAGCACGGGAACTGTTTTTTGTTGTGGTGGTGGTTGCTGTTGTTGTTTCCTCTGCTGGCTGGGCTGCGTTTACTACAAAGAAAAACAATTAACTTCTCACACCTATGTGGGTGTTCAGTTTACGCTGAGTAATTCAACCACAAAAACATTCTAATCAATGGCCAGAAATGCGATCACTTTAGTCTGACGGAAGTCAAAGGGGGAAAAATGTCTAAGTAATAGAAACAGCTGGTGATATTAATTACATACCAGCCAAAAATAACATTGTTCAGCGTGCCACACCTCCGCTGTGTACTTTTGGTTGGAAATATGTCATTTGCTATGTACACATCAAAATATTCCTGCTAAAGCCCTATTAGGAAACTATTCCGGGCCATGTGGAATCAGTTAAGTCCCACAGTGCTGTGAACTACTGTGTTGCTAAGCTGCATGAGCCGTCCTCCAGCTAATGAACCATATCATTAACTACAGATACCTCAAATAAAAATGCCTAAAAGGCAGGCATGATATACACAATAAATAAAAAGGTCATGATTTGCAAAGTGGCCAGCTCATTCTGAACCAATTGTCTCTTGTTTTCCTGGGCTGTAATTGGAGACATTAATTTGATTTATCACACTGGGCTGGGAAAGATCTTGCAGTGTGCAGAGATTAGAGAGTTGTGAAATCCACGACCCCCAGGTGCTTTCACCAAGTGCAGACAATGCATTTCAGATCGGGTTTATTATTGAAGTGACTATTTCCAAAGAGAAAGACAAATTGCAGCGAATAACACTCTCAAAAATATTTTCCATCCATTTTCCAAAATGACACTCTGGTTTAAAGGGAAGAGCTAATGAAGCAACTCCCGTTACTGCTAACAAAATCAAAGGAAAATGCGTGAATTATTTTATTTAATGATAGTAGTTGTCAAGTTCTTTAAGTAATGCTAACTTTTTAAAAGAAAAAACAGGCTGGGCACAGTGGCTCACGCCTGTAATCCCAGCACTTTGGGAGGCCGAGGTGGGCAGATCACCTGAGGTCAGGGGTTTGAGACCAGCCTAGCCAACATAGTGAAACCCTATCTCTACTGAAAATACAAAAAATTAGCTGGGCGTGGTGGAGCATGCCTGTAATCCCAGCTACTTGGGAGGCTGAGGCAAGAGAATCACCTGAACCCAGGAGGTGGAGGCTGCAGTGAGCCGAGATAGCGCCATTGCACTCCCGCCTGGGTGACAGAGTGAGATTCTGTCTCAAATAAGTAAATAAATAAAAGTAAAGAAAAAACAATCTCCATTGTTAATATATATTTTTAACAAAGATGTATGGATATTTATCTTTTCTTCTTTTCTATGGCTTTATGTATGTGTAGTTGACTTTTGGCTATATATATGTACGTATGTAACAAGACTCCCAAAACCAATTAAATGAAATTCCTTAATTCCTATCTATTAGGGATTAATAGAATTATAGAACAGAATTTCTGTTCTATAATTTCTAATTCCTTAATTTATCTATCTAAATATTCATAGGATGAAAATTAGCCTGTTAAATGTATCAGTGTAGCAACAGCAAATAAAAAAAAACATTGTAGTAGTCTGATGATTCTCATTTTATAAATGAGCATCAGCAGTCAAATATCAATTATTTACTGGTCATAAGAAAAAAGTAAGAGAAACAATATTAACCAGTTTGTTCAAAGTCAAGAGGCAGTCTGTACTAATGTCGGAAATGAATAACATTAATAATGACCTTTTTTTTTTTAATGACTACAGTGTGCTGGGGGCTTGGCATCTGGCAGCACCTCCAAAGCACCTCTTTACACCCTGTGCTAGCCCAAGCCGGGAGTTCTGGGAGGGCAAGGACCAACATCTGCTTTGTATACAGTGAATCCTTTTGCCCGGCACATCGTACGTGTTTAATAATATTTGTTGAATGATGGACTGAATAAATATCTTGGGTCCAAGGCTTTCCAGAGGTTGAGAGTGAGCTGGGGTGTTTTCATTTTTTTTCAGATTCCTTAAATCGTGAAAAGGTAGACAAGATGTCATGGTACCTAAGAACTTTTCATAAAATCTCCTGCATCCTCCGCCCTAGCTGTGAGGTTATATTTGTCTATGGTGGCAAAACTCTAAATGCATTATGCTTTATGACTATGAGACCTGAGCCCAAGTCCTCATCCCTCTCTGTTCTCCCACTGCCCCTGACCTGCCCCGTGACAGGGGTAGGGAGACTGACTTGGACTCCACCCAAGGGAGTTTTAGAGCAGCTCAATCCTGTAAACAGTCTTCCCAGAGGCCTGCCTTTGACCCAGGCCCTGTGCCTGATGTACCCCGCAGGGTTTTATGATCTGATAATCTGGAGCATTATCACCATTTCGAGGACAGCTTTAACCAAAAAGACATGATCTGTTTTAGCAGAAAGTCCCATTAAGCAGATGGACTGGGAAAAGGATGGTATTGGTGATTTGCAGAGAGGAGTGGGAACCTTATGCCAATAGAGTATGAACCAGGGTTATAAACAGGGAGACCACCCAAATGAGGACCTTTTGGATGGTAAAAGAAAGTGTTACTCATTCCACTGGGACAGGAGGCTAAACCAAGGCTGTCATCTGAGGAGGTCATATGGTGAGGTTTATTTTGTGTTTCAGTTCCTTTCCATTTAGTGTGTCTTGCTGTGATTTCCTGGGCACTGAAAATCACATTAGTTTGTTGGGTCATGAACTCCTTTGCAGATCTGGTGAAAGTCGTGACCCTTCTCCCCAGGAAAATGCACAAGTGCAAAGACCCGCAAAACGGTGCTTATGATGTCAAGGAGTGTGTGAGCCATCTGACCCCCATTCATGGTCCTGAAATCAAAGACCCTGTGGACTCTGATGCATCTTTAATGATTTTCAAAACAAGTCTTTTACACCATAGTTTGGCACTCCACTTCCCCTGTATTTTTTTTTCCTTTCCTTTGCTAAACCACAATGTTACCTTTGCAGACAGAATATTAGACCAACATACTAAGCCAAGGGATGCCAAGCCCGTGGTTTTCCAGAGAAAAGAGCCACATGAAAGTCCCCTGAGCTGCATCCCCTGTATTTCTAACTGTTTAGTGGTTGGGGAAGTGGAGAAAATAACAGCCAATAGGTATCCAAGCTAAATTTACAGAGGGGATAAAAGCGACCAAAATGATAAAATCTCTCCACTTTTGGAAATGAACAAATACTTGAATCCACTGAAGAACCCAATTATATTCATTTTGGTTTTATTAGAGGATTATATAATTTCCAAATGTACAAGGAAGCTTAACAAATAGTAAAAAAAAAAAAAAAAAAAAAAAAATTTGGGAAAAGGTTACCATCTCAGGGAGTCCTCCCAAGAATGCAGGGAACATTTCCATCGAGTTGAATTGGAATCAATAATTGCCTAGAAAATGTCTCCTGGAAGCACAGTGGTATTTAATTAACAGAGTCTTCATTCAAAAGGATAGTATGGGGCAGCTCTGCCAAGAGTCTTCCTCACAGAGGAGGAGGCAGTGACATTGACTGGGTGCAGAGTCCATGAAGAAGAGGGATCATCTGTCAGTTCAGCTTTTCTTTTGCCTTTCACGGGAAATATTTTCAGTTGCCACGAGCAAACTCTGGAGTCCCAAATTAGAACTTCCTTCCTTGCCCATAACCTTAGGGCCACATGAATCTTCTACCCATCATTCCTCCTCAGCTGGGTGCGCCCCATAAAGCAAACAGGAGATGGGCAATTGACTGCCCTTGTGACAGGGCCATGCGTGTGAGAGGGGGCCCCATGGGGGCCTTAAGCTTCCTGCCACCTCGGACACCTCTGCTCTTGGAAGTTGGCTGTCTGGCTACAATTCTGTCAGTAATTGAAAGACAACCTCAGTTGTTGTCTGGGTATGTGTGTGTATATGCATGGGCTGCAGAGAACAGAGGTCTGACAACCTTGAACATGTCTCTTCCGGACAACACCCAGAGAAGCAGGATTGTAAGAAAACGGGGGACATTAGAGGTTAGCTGGTCCTCCAAACAAAAGAGTTGGATCGTTCTCATGCTTAGCCCATCTCTGGATCAAAAAGCACATGATCATTTTGCAATCTGTGAAATAACTCTATTCAAATAAAAATAAAAATAGACATAAAAACCTTTAGGCAAACCGTTAGTGGAGAACTAGGTATACACATGGTGCCAATGAATTATTTCCATAGACTTGTATCTCATAAGAAGAAAACCTCTCACTGTCATTGTCTTAAGTAGAAATTAATCTTGACATATGTCATGGTGGGGCCACCAAATATGACATGCCCCAGCAAGATGCAGTACGAAGTACCTGGCATCACTTATAAAATGAGCATACTGAAAATGCTAAGGGGATTCTAATCAAGTGTATATATTTAATCTCCAGCTTATTGGAAACAGAGATAAGGGAGCAGAGGAAGAAGTTTATCAACACCGTGATGAACCAGTTAAACAAATCCAGAATGTGGGACAGTCTACAGCAGGGGTCCCCAACCCCTGGGCTGTGGCCTGATACCAGTCCGTGGCCTGTTAGGAACTGGGCTGCACAGCAGGAGGTGAGTGGCGAACCAGCGAGCATTACCATCTGAGTTCCACCTCCTGCCAGATCAGCCATAGCATTAGGTTCTCATAGGAGCAGGAGCCCTATTGTGAACTGCGCATGCCAGGGATCTAGGTTGTGTGTTTCTTATGAGAATCTAACTAATGCCTGACAATGTGAGGTGGAAGTTTCATCCTAAAACCATCCCCCTCAACACCCTGTCCCTCCAACCCCACTACCCCCAACCATCCCTGGAAAAATTGCCTTCCACGAAAACTGTCCCTGGTGCCACAAAGGTTGGGGACCACTGGTCTATAGGACAGTTGGCCTGGCCCCTTTAACAAGTTTAAATGTCTTGGGAAAATAAAGTAAAGAACCAGGCGTGGTGGCTCACGCCTGTAATCCTAGCACTTTGGGAGGCCAAGGCCAAGGTGAGTGGATCACCTGAGGTCAGGAGTTTGAGACTAGCCTGGCCAACATGGCAAAAACCCGTCTCTACCAAAAAATACAAAAATTAGCCAGGTGTGGTGGCAAGCACCTGTAATACCAGCTACTTGGGAGGCTGAGGCAGGAGAATTGCTTGAACTTGGGAGGTGGAGGTTGCAGTGAGCTGAGATCACACCACTGTACTCCAGCCTGGGTGACAGAGCAAGACTCCGTGTCAAAAAATTAAAATAAATAAATAAATAAATAAATAAATAAATAAGGGTGGTGGTGAGGGTCTGTTGCCATTAAAGGAAACTCAAGAGAAACAATAATCTAATAAAATACACGACTTTGATTGAGTCTTAAATGGAACAAAGCAGTTGTAAAGACATTTGGGGACAGTGGGGGAAATGGGAAGATAGACTTGGCTTAGATTATATTAAGCAACTGTTAATCTTGTTAGGAATTATACTGATCTGTGGTATATAGAACAATCCTCCAGGATTCGTACTTAACCATTTTAGGATAAAATGTCTTGATGTCTGTAATTTACTGCAACATACTACTGAACAAAAATTAGATGAATCAAACATGGTAAAATGTTAACAATTGTCAGAGGAAATGGTCTGTGAGTGTGAGTAATATCATGCTTGACTTTTCTGTTTGTCTGAAAAAATTTATAAGAAGTAAAAAAAAAAAAGTGCAGAAAAGTATAAGAGAAAAGTATAAGAATAGTGCGGGCAGCCCTGCCAAGGGTCTTCCTCACAGAGAAGGAGGCAGTGACATTGACTGGGTGCAGAGTCCGTTAAGAAGGGGGATCATCTGTCAGTTCAGCTTGTCTTTTGCCTTTCACAGGAAATATTTTCAATTGCCACGAGCAAACTCTGGAGGCCCAAATTAGAGCTTCCTTCCTTGCTTGTAACCTTAAGGCCACCTGAATCTCCTACCCACCATTCCTCCTCGGCTGGGTGCTCTTCTTCCCAGAAGGTCAAGATGTAGAGAGGGATGGGGAAGCTATTACATCTATGTTATAACCAGGGAATACTGCCGGAGAGAACACAATTAAGTGTGAGTCCCCTTCCCCTTTAAACCTTTCATAGCTCCTCATTGCCCTTTGGATGAGGTCCAAACTGCTAGCACAGCCCTATGGACCCTACACCAGCAGGTCCTGCCTGCTTCCCCAGTTTCCCTTTTGCCACCTGCAGCCCCATCCCTGTGTCAGACTCTGTGGTTTCCTCTCATGTTCTCTGTGCCCATGATTTCTATCTTCATTACTGGGATTTGCACACATAGTTCCTTCCTTATGGAACACATTGTCAATGGAGCTCTGCTCAGCTCCACTAAGTCCTGCCTCCTTTCACGTGAAAGAGGCTCAGACCACTGTCTTTGAGATCTGCAATACATGGGAAAATGAAGAAATGTTTCAAAAGGGTGACAAATCTTTGCAGCATTTAAATGTTTAACAAGTTGGATTATTTCATACACACAGATGTACTCATATTACAATGATCATATGTACATATATGGGCATTTGCCAATAAAGTCAAATTTAAATTTGAGGATCTTTTTGAAGGTGAAGCCAGGGTTAAATCACTCATCTCCCCTCCCCCACCCCACAGTCATACCCTGCTGATTTGTCATGGGCAATGTATGTTTTTGCTCCCTCTTTGGACTCTAAGCTATGTAGGGTGGCATAATCATTTTCTATTGCTATCGTAACAAATTACCGCAAACTTAGTGGTTTAAAACAACATAAATCTATTATCTTATAATTCTACAGGTCAGAAAGTTTGCACGGATCTCACTGGGCTAAAATCAAGGTGGAGGCAGGGTTGCCTTATTTTTCTGGAGGCTCAATCTGTTTCTTGCTCATTTGGGTTGTTGGCAGAATCCAGTTCCTTGAGGTTGTAGGATCAGTTGCTGGCTATAAATTGAAGACCATTCTCGGCCTTTTTTTTTTTTTTCCTATAGACAGGGTCTCTTCCTGTCATTCAGGCTGGAGTGCAGCAGTACAATTATGGCTCACTGAAGCCTTGACCTCCTGGGCTCAAGTGATTCTCCTGCCTCAGCTTCCCAAGTAGCTAGGACTACAGACCCACACCATCATGCCTGGCTAATTTTATTTTTATTTTTGTAGAGAAAGGGTCTTGCCATGTTGCCCAGGCTGGCCTCAAACTCTTGGCCTCAAGCAATCCTCCTGCCTTGGCCTTCCAAAGCACTGGGATTATAGGCATGAGCCACTATGCCCAGGCCTATTCTCAGTTTTTAGAGATGACCAAATTTCTTGGCTGGTGGTCCCATTCTTGCATTTCAATGCCAGAAATAGCAGGTTGAATCCTATTCATGTTCCATTTTTCTGTGTGAAGCTGAGACAGGTTCTCTACTCTTAAGGACACTGTGATTAGATTCAGCCTACCTGGAAAATCCAGGATAATCTCCTCATCTAAAGGACCAAAACCTTAATTGCATCTGCAAAGTTCTTTTTGCCATGTATGGTAGCATATTCACAGATTCCAGGGATTAGGATGTGGATATTTTTGAGGGACCCTTATTCTGCCTACCACAGGCAGAGACCAGAATTTTCTTGTACTATATGATAAAAGAATTACATAGAAAAACAACAAGTACAATAGAATTTAAAAATCCTAAAATATTTCCTTGAGAAGACTGATAAAATTGAATAAACTGCTACCAAGAAGAACTTTGAAAAAGAAAGGGAAACTATCAAGAAAGAGAAAATTTTCACCACAGACCCTACAGATATTAAAAAGCAAATAGTATGTTACAACAAACAGCCTTAGGCCAATACATTTGGAAATTTGGTTGAAATGGACACATTCTGTGAGATATGCAAATTATGTAAGATGACAAAAGAAGAAACAGAAATCTGAATGCTTTGGTATCTACTAAAGAAATGGAATTCATTATTAAAAACCTCTCCACAAACAAAACTCCCAGCACAGAAGACTTCATTGGTGCCTTTTTCCAAAATTCAGGAAAAGGTAAACTAATCTTGTACAAAGGCTTCTAGAAAGTAGAAAAAAAGAGACTCTTGCCTAATTCTTTTTATGAGGCCAGCATAAACTGATTCCAAAACCGAAGGAGTTGTAAGAAAGAAAAACGACAAACTCTTTCCTTCATATAAATGTAAAAATGTTACACAATATTAGCAAATAGAATCTAGCAGTATATGAAAAGGATAATATAGCATGACCAAGTGGGGTTTATTCCACATATGCAAGAGTATTTTAACATGTGAAAATAAATCAATGTAAAGTCGGGGGAGGAGCCAAGATGGCCGAATAGGAACAGCTCCAGTCTACAGCTCCCAGCGTCAGCGAGGCAGAAGACGGGTGATTTCTGCATTTCCATCTGAGGTACCGGGTTCATCTCACTAGGGAGTGCCAGACAGTGGACGCGGGTCAGTGGGTGCGCGCACCGTGCGCGAGCCGAAGCAGGGCGAGGCATTGCCTCACTTGGGAAGCTCAAGGGGTCTGGGAGTTCCCTTTCCGAGTCAAAGAAAGGGGTGACGGACGCACCTGGAAAATCGGGTCACTCCCACCCGAATATTGCACTTCTAGGACGGGCTTAAAAAACGGCGCACCACAAGATTATATCCCGCACCTGGCTCGGAGGGTCCTATGCCCACGGAGTCTCGCTGATTGCTAGCACAGCAGTCTGAGATCAAACTGCAAGGTGGCAGCGAGGCTGGGGGAGGGGCGCCCGCCATTGCCCAGGCTTGCTTAGGTAAACAAAGCAGCCCTTAAGCTCGAACTGGGTGGAGCCCACCACAGCTCAAGGAGGCCTGCCTGCCTCTGTAGGCTCCACCTCTGGGGGCAGGGCACAGACAAACAAAAAGACAGCAGTAACCTCTGCAGTCTTAAATGTCCCTGTCTGACAGCTTTGAAGAGAGCAGTGGTTCTCCCAGCACGCAGCTGGAGATCTGAGAAGGGGCAGACTGCCTCCTCAAGTGGGTCCCTGACACCTGACCCCAGAGCAGCCTAACTGGGAGGCAACCCCCAGCAGGGGCACACTGACACCTCACACGGTAGGGTATTCCAACAGACCTGCAGCTGAGGGTCCTGTGTGTTAGAAGGAAAACTAACAAACAGAAAGGACATCCACACCAAAAACCCATCTGTACATCACCATCATCAAAGACCAAAAGTAGATAAAACCACAAAGATGGGGAAAAAACAGAGCAGAAAAACTGGAAACTCTAAAACGCAGAGCACCTCTCCTCCTCCAAAGGAACGCAGTTCCTCACCAGCAATGGAACAAAACTGGACGGAGAATGACTTTGACGAGCTGAGAGAAGAAGGCTTCAGACGATCAAATTACTCTGAGCTACGGGAGGACATTCAAACCAGAGGCAAAGAAGTTGAAAACTTTGAAAAAAATTTAGAAGAATGTATAACTAGAATAATCAATACAGAGAAGTGCTTAAAGGAGCTGATGGAGCTGAAAACCAAGGCTTGAGAACTACGTGAAGAATGCAGAAGCCTCAGGAGCCCATGTGATCAACTGGAAGAAAGGGTATCAGCAATGCAAGATGAAATGAATGAAATGAAGCGAGAAGGGAAGTTTAAGAATAAAAAGAAATGAGCAAAGCCTCCAAGAAATATGGGACTATGTGAAAAGACCAAATCTACGTCTGATTGGTATACCTGAAAGTGATGGGGAGAATGGAACCAAGTTGGAAAACACTCTGCAGGATATTATCCAGGAGAACTTCCCCAATCTAGCAAGGCAGGCCAACGTTCAGATTCAGGAAATACAGAGAACGCCACAAAGATACTCCTCGAGAAGAGCAACTCCAAGACACATAATTGTCAGATTCACCAAAGTGGAAATGAAGGAAAAAATGTTAAGGGCAGCCAGAGAGAAAGGTCGGGTTACCCTCAAAGGGAAGCCCATCAGACTAACAGCGGATCTCTCGGCAGAAACCCTACAAGCCAGAAGAGAGTGGGGGCCAATATTCAACATTCTTAAAGAAAAGAATTTTCAACCCAGAATTTCATATCCAGCCAAACCAAACTTCATAAGCGAAGGAGAAATAAAATACTTTACAGACAAGCAAATGCTGAGAGATTTTGTCACCACCAGGCCTGCCTTAAAAGAGCTCCTGAAGGAAGCGCTAAACATGGAAAGGAACAACTGGTACCAGCCGCTGCAAAATCATGCCAAAATGTAAAGACCATGGAGACTAGGAAGAAACTGCATCAACTAACGAGCAAAATCACCAGCTAACATCATAATGACAGGATCAAATTCACACATAACAATATTAACTTTAAATGTAAATGGACTAAATGCTCCAATTAAAAGACACAGACTGGCAAATTGGATAAAGAGTCAAGACCCATCAGTGTGCTGTATTCAGGAAACCCATCTCACGTGCAGAGACACACATAGGCTCAAAATAAAGGGATGGAGGAAGATCTACCAAGCAAATGGAAAACAAAAAAAAGGCAGGGTTGCAATCCTAGTCTCTGATAAAACAGACTTTAAACCAACAAAGATCAAAAGAGACAAAGAAGGCCATTACATAATGGTAAAGGGATCAATTCAACAAGAAGAGCTAACTAACCTAAATATATATGCACCCAATACAGGAGCACCCAGATTCATAAAGCAAGTCCTCAGTGACCTACAAAGAGACTTAGACTCCCACACATTAATAATGGGAGACTTTAACACCCCACTGTCAACATTAGACAGATCAACGAGACAGAAAGTCAGCAAGGATACCCAGGAATTGAACTCAGCTCTGCACCAAGTGGACCTAATAGATATCTACAGAACTCTCCACCCCAGATCAACAGAATATACATTTTTTTCAGCACCACACCACACCTATTCCAAAATTGACCACATACTGGGAAGTAAAGCTCTCCTCAGCAAATGTAAAAGAACAGAGATTATAACAAACTATCTCTCAGACCACAGTGCAATCAAACTAGAACTCAGGATTAAGAATCTCACTCAAAACCGCTCAACTACATGGAAACTGAACAACCTGCTCCTGAATGACTACTGGGTACATAACGAAATGAAGGCAGAAATAAAGATGTTCTTTGAAACCAACGAGAACAAGGACACAACATACCAGAATCTCTGGGACGCATTCAAAGCAGTGTGTAGAGGGAAATTTATAGCACTAAATGCCCACAAGAGAAAGCAGGAAAGATCCAAAATTGACACCCTAACATCACAATTAAAAAAACTAGAAAAGCAAGAGCAAACACATTTAAAAGCTAGCAGAAGGCAAGAAATAACTAAAATCAGAGCAGAACTGAAGGAAATAGAGACACAAAAAACCCTTCAAAAAATCAATGAATCCAGGAGCTGGTTTTTTGAAAGGATCAACAAAACTGATAGACCGCTAGCAAGACTAATAAAGAAAAAAAGAGAGAAGAATCAAATAGATGCAATAAAAAATGATAAAGGGGATATCACCAGCAATCCCACAGAAATACAAACTACCATCAGAGAATACTACAAACACCTCTACGCAAATAAACTAGAAAATCCAGAAGAAATGGATAAATTCCTCGACACATACACTCTCTCAAGACTAAACCAGGAAGAAGTTGAATCTCTGAATAGACCAATAACAGGAGCTGAAATTGTGGCAATAATCAATAGTTTACCAACCAAAAAGAGTCCAGGACCAGATGGATTCACAGCCGAATTCTATCAGAGGTACAAGGAGGAACTGGTACCATTCCTTCTGAAACTATTCCAATCAATAGAAAAAGAGGGAGTCCTCCCTAGCTCATTTTATGAGGCCAGCATTATTCTGACACCAAAGCCTGGCAGAGACACAACCAAAAAAGAGAATTTTAGACCAATATCCTTGATGAACATTGATGCAAAAATCCTCAATCAAATACTGGCAAAACGAATCCAGCAGCACATCCAAAAGCTTATCCACCATGATCAAGTGGGCTTCATCCCTGGGATGCAAGGCTGGTTCAATATACGCAAATCAATAAATGTAATCCAGCATATAAACAGAGCCAAAGACAAAAACCACATGATTATCTCAATAGATGCAGAAAAAGCCTTTGACAAAAATTCAACAACCCTTCATGCTAAAAACTCTCAAGAAATTAGGTACTGATGGGACGTATTTCAAAATAATAAGAGCTATCTATGACAAACCCACAGCCAGTATCATACTGAATGGGCAAAAACTGGAAGCATTCCCTTTGAAAACTGGCACAAGACAGGGATGCCCTCTCTCACCACTCCTATTCAACATAGTGTTGGAAGTTCTGGCCAGGGCAATTAGGCAGGAGAAGGAAATAAAGGGTATTCAATTAGGAAAAGAGGAAGTCAAATTGTCCCTGTTAGCAGATGACATGATTGTATATATAGAAAACCCCATTGTCTCAGCCCCAAATCTCCTTAAGCTGATAAGCAACTTCAGCAAAGTCTCAGGATACAAAATCAATGTACAAAAATCACAAGGATTCTTATACACCAATAACAGACAAACAGAGAGCCAAATCATGAGTGAACTCCCATTCACAATTGCTTCAAAGAGAAGAAAATACCTAGGAATCCAACTTACAAGGGATGTGAAGGACCTCTTCAAGGAGAACTACAAACCACTGCTCAAGGAAATAAAAGAGGATACAAACAAACAGAAGAACATTCCATGCTCATGGGTAGGAAGAATCAATATCGTGAAAATGGCCATACTGCCCAAGGTAATTTACAGATTCAATGCCATCCCCATAAAGCTACCAATGACTTTCTTCAGAGAAGTGGAAAAAACTACTTTAAAGTTCGTATGGAACCAAAAAAGAGCCCACGTCACCAAGGCAATCCTAAGCCAAAAGAACAAAGCTGGAGGCATAACGCTACCTGACTTCAAACTATACTACAAGGCTACAGTAACCAAAACAGCATGGTACTGATACCAAAACAGAGATATAGATCAATGGAACAGAACAGAGCCCTCAGAAATAACGCCGCATATCTACAACTATCTGATCTTTGACAAACCTGAGAAAAACAAGCAATGGGGAAAGGATTCCCTATTTCATAAATGGTGCTGGGAAAACTGGCTAGCCATATGTAGAAAGCTGAAACTGGATCCCTTCCTTACACCTTATACAAAAATCAATTCAAGATGGATTAAAGACTTAAATGTTAGACCTAAAACCATAAAAACCCTAGAAGAAAACCTAGGCATTACCATTCAGGACATAGGCATGGGCAAGGACTTCATGTCCAAAACACCAAAAGCAATGGCAACAAAAGACAAAATTGACAAATGGGATCTAATTAAACTAAAGAGCTTCTGCACAGCAAAAGAAACTACCATCAGAGTGAACAGGCAACCTACAAAATGGGAGAAAATTTTTGCAACCTACTCATCTGACAAAGGGCTAATATCCAGAATCTACAATGAACTCAAACACATTTACAAGAAAAAAACAAACAACCCCATCAAACAGTGGGCAAAGGACATGAACAGACACTTCTCAAAAGAAGACATTTATGCAGCCAAAAAACACATGAAAAAATGCTCATCATCACTGGCCATCAGAGAAATGCAAATCAAAACCACAGTGAGATAGCATCTCACACCAGTTAGAATGGCAATCATTAAAAAGTCAGGATACAACAGGTGCTGGAGAGGATGTGGAGAAATAGGAACACTTTTACACTGTTGGTGGGACTGTAAACTAGTTCAACCATTGTGGAAGTCAGTGTGGTGATTCCTCAGGGATCTAGAACTAGAAATACTATTTGACCCAGCCATCCCATTACTGGGTATATACCCAAAGGACTATAAATCATGCTGCTATAAAGACACATGCACACGTATGTTTATTGCGGCATTATTCACAATAGCAAAGACTTGGAACCAACCCAAATGTCCAACGATAGACTGGATTAAGAAAATGTGGCACATATACACCATGGAATACTATGCAGCCATAAAAAATGATGAGTTCATGTCCTTTGTAGGGACATGGATGAAATTGGAAATCATCATTCTCAGTAAACTATCGCAAGAACAAAAAACCAAACACCGCATATTCTCACTCATAGGTGGGAATTGAACAATGAGGTCACATGGACACAGAAAGGGGAATATCACACTCTGGGGACTGTGGTGGGGTGGGGGAAGGGGGGAGGGATAGCATCGGGAGATATACCTAATGCTAGATGACGAGTTAGTGGGTGCAGCGCACCAGCATGGCACATGTATACATATGTAACTAACCTGCACAATGTGCACATGTACCCTAAAACTTAAAGTATAATTAAAAAAAAAGAAAAGAAAATAAATCAATGTAGTTCAGCACATAAACAGAAAGCAAAAACTAATTTAATCATCATCTCCATAGCTGTATGGAAAAATATTTGACAAAGTTTAACATCTATTCAATATGAGAAACTCTCTGCAAACTAAGAATAGAAGGAACTTCCTTGATTGGATAGAAAGAAATCTACGAAAACCTATGGGAGGCATCATGCTAAATGGTGAGATATTGGAAACATTTCCCCTAATATTGGGAAAGAGACCAGGTGATAGATTCTCAATTAAAAGGAAGGTGATAAAATGTATATATGCTTACATGGAAAAGGCTCCAAGGCATATTAATTTTTTTAAAAAGTTAACCTGATATGTGTAAGCTATAAGTATATGAAACAGAAAAACAAAAACATAAATATTTAGTTTAATTGAAAATATTCTGGAAGTGTATGTCAAAAACTGCCAACAGCAATATTCTTCCTGGAAATAGAGGGGATCCATGTTTGTGTATATGGAGAATGGCGATGTTTGAAGGGAATCTTTTTATTATGTTTCATGTACCCTGTATGATTTGAAACAACAGTATATTCATGTAATGCAATTATAATAAAATAATACAATATCAGGTCTTGCTCTAAAAAGAATGTTATTCCAATTTAGGGACTTCCAGGCAATTAATACTTCTGTCATCTATAAAAATGTTTCCTTGTGAGTATTGACTTTGGTGGAGGAAATTGAGAAACCAGCTGCTAATTTATGTAAATTGAACAAACAAAACCATGGTTGTGATGTTTCCAATTGAAGACACCTCCCGTCTTATGGGCATCTGGAATATGTAGCTAGTTATCTGTGATGGTTCTGGAATTATTCTATTTTAACCGATACGTGTTTTTATTACTGGTGGCAGCAAAGGGACTATGACAGCCAGAGCAGAGGGTGCATAGAGTCAAGTATTTGGGATAACCAAGCAAAATAACCCAGCCCTTGGTCTGATTCATTATAACACAGAAACATAGTCCAGGAACAAGTTCTTTTCCCCTCCATGCAGGTACAGCTACAGTCTGATTGGTTCAGAGGAGAGCAGATTCTAGCCATGAACGAATGGGGCTGTGGTTGCTCATCTCTAATTAGATTTGGCTTCAGAAGCCAGGACCCTGACAAGAGCTTCTATAATCAATTTCCAGGGACAGCCCTGGGGCCGTTGGAGCCACAAGCATAAGGAATGCTGGCTATTTGTGTTCTACCCAAAAGGTCACATTCATGCCTCTTCTTCCCAGACAAGCATGGCAGGTACCAGCTTTCAGAGTCCTGCTGGACAGCCAAACAAATTTCTCCCTTTTTCCCTTTAATGACTTCTAAATACAAGTCCAATTTTTAGTTGACCCATATCCATTAACCAAATGATTAACACAGAGTAGAGAAGACAACAAGAAGAAAATATGCTTTGTCTTCAAAGTATGTTTGAACATTTCATGTTCCTGTGCCTTCAGGGTTTCTTTTGGATGGTGTGACCAGATTATGGGTGACATGTCTTAGGATCTTAGGTTCAGAGGATGCCATGGACATCAATCTTCCATCCCTTTAAATGGATTCTGCCAAGAAGACAAGATTGGATTAAAATACTTTACAAAATTTTCCGAGTATGTGTTTTGCCATGGACATCAAACTAAACAATGGAAACAGTGATCCAGGTAATTTGACGTGAAGTTCTTTTCATTCTTCGCCGTTTGTGTAGATGTGAGCATTGCATTACCCCTTACATTCTAATCTAATAACGTCAGTCTGGAAATCATAAGAGCTTCCCACATCCTCTGTAGCTGCTCTGATGAAATTCAGGAGGGTGGGAATAAAAAAATCTCACTTCCTGGATCAAAATCTACCCTCCAGAGCCAGAATACATCTCCTTGTAGATTGAATATCTCAGCATATGTCTGTGGCTTTTGCAAGATGTGTACAAACCTGACCCACTATAGGACTGGATTAGGCAGAAGCACTGTTTGTCAGATGACATCTCCGAGAGCCTTCCTAAGGCTAAGTGTTTAAACTAAGGGACAGTAGAGGAAACTGAGGGTGGTCTTCCTAGGCATGAGTCAGCTTTGTGGTGATCTAATTGGTGTTCCTAGGGATATGAGGTGGTCCAACCAAATTGATCTAGACAGTCTTTTCCCACTGGCAAAAGCACAAAAACTAGATGACATAATTCACAGGATAGGAAATTAGGAGCAGATAGAAAACGCACACCAGACTACTGTATTCCTTCCAAAGGGAATGCACATATTGAATAGATTACTAAGGAGGATCCTCGAAGTTGGCAGAGTCAATTCATTCAAGAGATAGCAGCAGAGGACTGGAGAAGATGATGGCCAGAGCAGAAAGGCAAGGAACTTAACGAGTGGAATATGACCAGGGCTCATTTGTTTCTCTCCTTGACTTTCTGTCTCCACTGTATGTTTGGTAATACTGTAATTCAACATTGACATGTAGGTTAATGCAGCTTGCTGTCTGAACATCCAACACTGGGCTAATGTCTTAATTATTTTCCATTGCCTGTGACAGATTTTTTTTTCCAAAAACTTGAATGAAAGAAATTAAGTTGAAGCAAATTACTTGTAACCACCCAGAAATTTGGGCTTATGGAAACACTTCAGAGAAAAGTGGCAAGAGTAGGTTTTGTCTTTGTCTGTCAAGTCCCAGCACTTTTCTAGTGCAGTGGGGAACTGTTCCCTTCCCTTTTGAACCAGGAAAAAATATATGTTTTTGGAGCTTCATGACTACACCACACTGGCCAAAATTTACTCAGCAGTGTCCACAGGCAGCCATGTCTTTCAACACATCCTCTTTTCCCCTTCTTTGCAGAAACATTGGAAAAACTATAGATAGCCTTGTAATAGAGACTTTTTTTTCTTGAAAGTAAGGATGACAGATGTAGCATTTCCGCAACTACCCCACACCAGTGGAAGACAAAGTGAGAATGACATCCATTGCACAGCTGGAATTGTGAGCACTTGAATTTCCCATAAGGATCCAAGCATTGCTTGCTGCTGGGAGGGCTGTGACACCAGGCGAGCATGATCGAAATTCCCCAAATTGTCTCCTTTGAGATTAGCTCAAGTGCGGATGCAACAGAAGCTTATCCTGATGTGTGTGGGTGAAAACTTATGCCTGGGGGACACCTACTCTCTGGTGTTGTTCCTAAGGAGCATATAACCATAAAAGAGGGGAAGCAAAGGAACTGTGATTTCCAAGTCCTTCAATTCTTCAACAAACCATGTTGGGTTGATCGCAATGGCTCTGTGAATCCTCTTTTACTTCCTGAATTGCTTCCAGAGCATGGCACGGAGGAGTGGATTGTGGCTCAGATCTGGAATGGCAAAATATTAATATGTGGACTCGACCAGTAGACTAATCCTGGTTCCATCTGAGAGAGTGCTCTTTTTTGATTCACTGCAGCTGGAGGGCTCACAGGGGAGAGAGGTGTGATAGAGCCTCATTGTCTCTTTGGAGCCAATGCCTAGCCTGGGAGGTATTAGCACGTTGTGGTTAAAACTGAGCTAGTGTCAAGCCAACTAGGATTCTCATGTGCTCAGAAAAAAGAGAACCCTGGACAAATAATCACTTTAAGATTGGTTCCCTATTTATAAAATGAGGGTGTTAACTACCTCATAGGATTGTTCTTAACGTTAAAAGAGATCATTCTTAAGTGCCCAATTCATTACTTGACACAGTAATCGCTCAAAAGTTCTCTTGATTATCACCAAACCAGAAACCTGGAGAAGAAGCTGGGCTTTTGAATGAGCAACTCTACATTGCTCAAGCCTATGGGAATCAGATATTTTGAGCCCAATAGGGATGCCTATGTTTTGATACTGGGAAGGTTTTCTAAAGTCAGGACGATTTGTACAGGATGGGTTCCATAAATAGAGTCTAATATTTGGAGGCATGAGGTGCACAAGTTGCAGGTGATATTTTTCAAAAGAATCAGTGGTGCAGTCCAGGGCATGATTTGTAGCCTGTCAGTTGTAAGAAGCTACAGAGTGTCCCGAGTGGAGTCTCTGATAAGAGAGTGTAGTTAGAGGCTCATGAACATGATTAAGCACCTTCCACTTACTCTCAATAGAGACTTAATTAAATACGATGTTTATTTCCTTGACCACCTTTGCCAAAGCTGCAGAGATTCTGAATTGTTATTGCTGCAATTATTAGCAAGAATAAATGATTCTAAGAATGATGTTAGGCATTAAATTCGCACTTGCAGAAGCTAAAAAAAAAAAAAAACTATTACAACGCAGACATTAGTTTTTCTCCCATCTTCCTGAACTGGTGGTGGAGGCCAACTATTAATAGCTGTACCTCAACTGTATAAAAAATCCTCTCTCTATTCTATCCACCCTGTAACGAAAAGAAATCCTCCTACAATATTAGAATAATATAAAGAGGATGAACAGCATTATGCCAAAAGTGAGGTGGTAGCCTAGAGTCATTACTGTTTATCTCTGTTTCAAATTTTCCATAATGAAATTTTGGGGAGGAAAAGCTGTGGATCACAAAGATGTTCATTTAAACCCTCTGTGTGCTATTTTTTGTTATTTAATTTTTGTGTCTTAGGTTTTGCATCTGTACAATGGAGGAAGTAACACTCCTCACCTTGTGAGGATGACATGAGACCACAAAGATATTAGAAGTGCTTGATACAATGCCTGGCACATGGAAATGTGGTCTGTAAATGGTAATCATTATCATGTTTCAATTTATTATAATTATTAATTTACTTGAAGAAACAAATCTAAATGAACAAAATTGGAAAATAAATGCACTTTAAAATGTCAAAATAAGAATACATTAGGATGTAAAATGGGAAAACATTTTATTCTCTGAAACGTAAATGAGGGATGGCTTATTCAACATGGATAGTTTTACTCCTATACGATGGTGGGCAATTAACCCAGCCTTTCCCCATGAGTAAGCTCATCTGATCCTTCCCATTGGAGTAGGTCTGATGGGCACCACTTTCTCAATCCGCAGGGGAAGAAACTGAGCTCAGAGAGGTGAAGATTAGTTCAAAAATTAGAATGGGGAATACAATCCAATGCTTTTCCCCCAGACATTTTATGCAGAATTCCAGGGGGCCGGTGGGGTCCATTGTGAAATGTATGTCCTACTGCAAGGGGACCGGGGAGCTACAGTCCAGCACTTAGGCAGGGCTGCATTTCCTGGGAGGCAGACAACTTTCCTTAGCTGAAACCGACTCTTCAGATGTCAAGCCACATGTTCAAAGTGCTGAATCCACCCAGAGGGTGCCTTTTGCTAATTCAGACCAGGGAATGCTGTTGGCTAGCTGGGTCCTCAGCCAGTCTGTGCCCCACACTTTAGTTCCAAGGTTCCTCTTGTGGAGCAAGCAGGAAGAAATTTACTTTTTTTTTTTTTTTTTAAATAGCAATACAACTTTTCCTTTTTATTTTTTTCTTCTTGTTTTCCCTTGGGATACAAAATGGTGATGCAGGTTTCATGATTATATATATATGTGTGTGTGTGTGTGTGTGTGTGTGTGTATAATTTTTACATCCTGTCTTTAAATATTTTTATTAGGTTTTATCTAATATGAAATGCTTCTCCTATCAATTAGGGTACTTAAAAGATTCATTTTCCATCCACATGGTTCTTCATTATTTACAATTCTCTATGACTTGAGCTTATTTGAAAACTTTATCTCACTTCTCAGACCAACATCCAAGTTGTTTCTATAAATAAAAAGCCTGAGTCACTTAATTTTGCAGACTCCTCTACATGAAGTTAAATGGAATAATCTGAAGTTTTCTGGTATTAATCCATGATTTTATTTTAAATAGTAGTATTACATTGCCATCTTATTTTAATTTTTTTTACTGTTCCGGGATCACTCTTGAAATGAGCAAGGTTATCATAATAAATGATAACTCTTAAGAATGCTAAGGCTTCTCTAATTTCTGCTTATTTTTATGAACACTGGGGCAGTACTGTTTGGTTTTCCCAACCTTATCATTTCAAACCAGCTAAAGCCGCAATAGGCTATTTGCGATCCTGAGTGATGAAGCCAGGCATCCCGGAGCCTGGCGGGTCTTGACTTGGCCAGGAATGGAGTTATTCTACACTGAGCTTTGCTCTTGTTGAAGGATGTTGATGTAAGTCAGAATTCTCTTAGAAAAAAGCATGAAGTAGCATTCCCACTCTGTAAATGTACTTTCTCTTTCAAGGATCTGAGAGTCTGACGAGGGAGCTCGAGTGCGTTAGAGGTGAACTCACCAAAAGGGTTTGTGAAAACGTAAAGTGCAGAGACTGGACTGGGTTTTATCCACTGTTGCATTCCCCTCCCTACTCAGCATGGAACTCTGCAATAATAAAAATGCAATTAATGTCTTCTGAGTTGAATTCAAATAGCTACATAATAGCCAATAGAATATAACAACAACCACAAAACGCTTGGGAAAGAATTAGGGGGACAGAACATAGCTTTTAGGGGAAAACACCATTTGCCTATCTCTTCATTCATTCATCCATTCATTAATTTCTTGCTTTGTATCTGAAAAGTTTTAAGGCAATGATGATGAAAGACTTGAAGGAGGTAGCACATGAGCTAGGATCTGCAGAATCGGTAAGATTTGGGGTAAAGAGGTAAGAAAGAAAGGGCAGGGGGAACTGCATTTGAAGAGGCAGAGGCTGCATTTTGCAGGCTGGGCTTGAGGAAGTGTGAGAGATGTCCTTTGGCTGGAGATTGGAGGCCATAGAAGGAAGCAGTGAACAGAGTTTGGAAAAGGAGGCTGAAGCCAGTCACAGCAGCCCTTGTACGTGGTGCCACCCCAGGGAACTGATGATGAGTAAGGGGTACAGCACAGTCTACTAGACTCAGTGGTCAGGCAGTCCTAGGTGCAAATGGCAGCTCTGGAGACATAATATCACTTTTCTGACTCTTGATGCATTTGTAAAATAGGGTGCTAGTAAAGATGCGAGAGCATCGTGTGGGTTAAAGTTGGGTGCCATAGACAGTGATGCCAGTCACTGGATGCTCGTTAAGCATGAGTTTCCTGTTGTTCCTGACCCTAAGCAACTCTGATCAATATAATTGTGTTCTTAAATACATACAAGCTGTTTATTAAATACATAAAAGGTGCATGTTAAAAATACGTCTTAGATATGTTTCTACATAGCAAAATATTTTATTTAATTTCTTACAACTACAACATGCAGTTGGTTATTCTCAGAGCTTTCTGGTTATTTCTTGATTAGTGGTATTATGTTTCTTTTCTTAGCAAACTCCTTGCTTTTCTGTTGTTTGTCCTGCACCTGTGATCTTCCAAATTTATCAATCTGATCCATGTATGCTCACCCATCCCAATGCCTTCTACACAGCCTCCCTGAACATGTACAAACTTTTTCACACATGTCAGTTTCATTTTAAATTGACTACTTATGTCTTCAGATAGAAAAGCTACAGGTACGCTTTGACTACTTACGCCTTCAGCTAGAAAAGCTACATGTAAGCATTACTTCCATGAAAATTCAGTGGGCAAAAGGAGAAACTGTCTTTGTTACATGGGTGCATTTTAACTTACATTTTAGCATTTCACTTTTTCTGAAGAGTGAAACTCAGGCCCAGTACAAAGTTTTATCCACAGTGACAAGTGTAATATTTATTTTTGTATTTCCCTACATTCAATTTATTGCTAAATGGAAGATGCTTATTTAATTGGTCACATGATAATGGCATAAATGTTAAATGCTTTGTAAGTATTTTAACCATTTATATAATCTTAATCAACAGCTGTGACTGTGGTGCTTTTATCAATATTTTGATTATTTTATTTTCAGACACATAGCAAGGCTGAACTTCCCTGCTTCCTAGAAGTTAGTAAAGCCAGAGGATTTGCTTTGACCAATGAAACATGAGTGGAAATGATGTATGTTGCTTATAGCTGGAAGCCTTTAAGAGTCAGGGAGTACAGTCGTCCTTCGGCATCCACAGAGGATTGGTTCCAGAAACCCCTGCTGATACCAAAATCCATGAATGCTCAAGGTGCTTATATAAAATGGGGTTGTATTTGCATATAAACTATGCATATCCTCCCAAATATTTAAAATCAACTCTAGATTACCTATAATACCTAATACAATGTAAATGGTATGTAAGTAGTTCTTATCTTATATTATATTATATTATTTATTTATTTATTTGAGACAGAGTCTTACTCTGTCACCCAGGCTGGAATACAGTGGTGGGATCTCAGCTCATTGCAACCTCCACCTCCCAGGTTCAAGCGATTCTCCTGCCTCAGCCTCCCTAGTAGCTGGGATTACAGGCATGCACCACCACGCCTGGCTCATTTTTGTATTTTTAGTAGAGACAGGGTTTCACCATGTTGGCCAGGCTGGTGTCAAACTCCTGACCTCAGGTGATCTGCCCATCTCGGCCTCCCAAAGTGCTGGGATTACAGGTGTGAGCCACTGTGCCCAGCCTATATTATTTTAAAATTTGTATTATTTCCATTGTTGTTATTATTTTTTAATATTTTCCATCTGTGGTTGGTTGAGTTGGTGGATGTGGAACCCGTAGATACAGAGGGCTGACTGTAATTTGCCAAATCTCCTTCCCCTGGTGAGGTGACGGGTGAAGCTCCAGATGGCAGAAGCTCCAATGGCCTGTGTTATTTTCATGGGCGGGACCCCCAGCCACACCAAGGAGGACATATAGCTTGAGTGAGGAGTAAACCTGTGTTTTGTTGTTGCTTAATTTCTTTTGTGAGATATTTATACACTCATATGCAAGGAGATCCTATTACTTTTTATCCAGTTTTCCCCAGTGATAACATCTTGCATAACTATAATACAATAAGCAGAAAATAGACATTGATAAAATCCACTGACTTTATTCAGATGCCACCAGTTTTACATGTGCTCCTTTGTGCATGTGTGCTTGTGTGTACTTAGTTCCCCGAAATGTTATCACATGTGTGATAAAGAGCAGAGCAGTCCCCGCACAGGATCTCAAGTGCTACCCTTTAGTAATCACAGTCACCTCCCTCCCTTCCTCCCTCTCCCTGACTCCTGGCAACAACTAATCTGTTCTCCATATCTACGTGTTTGCCATT
This sequence comes from Homo sapiens, assembly GCF_000001405.40. Lineage (NCBI taxonomy): Eukaryota > Metazoa > Chordata > Mammalia > Primates > Hominidae > Homo > Homo sapiens. The sequence continues at coordinate 55,151,450 of NC_000003.12, forward strand.
TCAAGAACAGATCAATAGAATCATACAGTATGTGACCTTGAAATTTTTTATTGTAGTAAAATATATACAACATAAAATTTGCCATTCTAACAACTTTTTTTTTGAGGTGGGGTTTCACTCTTGTTGCCCAGGCTGGAGTGCAAATGGCATGATCTCGGCTCACTGCTACCTCCACCACCCAGCTTTGAGCAATTCTCCTGCCTCAGCCTCGGAAATATCTGAGATTACAGGTGCCTGCCACCACGCCCAGCTAATTTTTTGTATTTTTAGTAGAGACGGGATTTCACTATGTTGGCCAGGCTGGTCTCAAACTCCTGACCTTAGGTGATCTACCTGCCTCAGTCTCCCAAAGTGCTGGGATTACTGGCATGAGCCACCATGCCTGGCCATCATTCTAACCATTTTTAAGCGTATTATTCAGTGGCATTAATTACATTCACAATGTTGTGCAAAAAAAATATGTAACCTTTTTTCCACTTGGCACAATTCCCTTGAGATATATTGAAGTTGTCGTGTGTATAGATAGTTGATCCCTTTTTCTTGTTTAGTAGTGTTCCATGGTATAGATACACCACAGTTTGTTTAACCATCTACCCATTGAAAGACATTTGAGTTGTTTCCAGTTTAGGGCTATTATGAATGGAGCTGCTATGAACATTTATGCACAGAATTTTGCATGAATATAAGTTTTCACTTCCCTGGGATAAATGCCCAAGAGTGCAATTGCTGGGTCATATGGTAAGCACGTGTTTAGTTTAGTAAGAAATTGCCTTGCGGTGCCATTTTACATTCCCAACAGAAGCTTTGTTGTTTGAACCCCCAAATTTTGGGGTTATTTGTTACTGTAGCATAACCTAGCCTGACTAATATATTACTAGATCATGTTCTTTGCAAGGTCAATATCTAATCACATTTAATTTCAATTATAAAATAAGAGTGCCTTAATGAGATTTTCTTTTATTCATTTACTCATTTACTCGTTTATTCAATGAATGAGTTGTTTATTAAATACATACTATTCTTGGGAACATGCTATGTGCTGAGGATACAATAGTGGCAAAAACACTTTTGATAGAGCTCAGTGTCTACCAGGAAAAGAGGATGAAATGGAGACAAAGAAAGCAGAAGACAAAACAAGGGAAGTGGTGCTACACAGGAGCAGCACACAACACCATGATGGCATTACAGCGGCACCGATGGAGGGGCCAGGTTGGGAAGACAGGGTTTTGGCCGGCAAAGGAGTTTCCTGAGTAGATGATGGCTGAGCTGAAATCTTAAGGTGAGTTAGCTAGGTAGAGGAGGCAGGTGAGGAGGTGAAGGCAGAGGGAGCATCCTAGACAGATGGAATACCTGATAAATGCTTTTTGGGGTCCAGAGTCTGGATAATTCATGAATATAAGGACGAAGGTGGCTGGAGCAGTGAGAACATGCATCGGAGAGGGGTAAGAGCAGACCAGTGACCTGCAAAAGTCAGAGTGCCCAGGACCACAGAGGCCACACTGGAGATATGGAGCTTGAGGGTCAGAGCAATAGGAATCTCTGAAGAGTTTAGAGCAATGGGAATCTCTGAAGAATTTTAAGCAATGAGGGTAATGTAGGCATATGTGAGCTTTTAAAATGTCACTCTGGTTATTGTGTGGAGAACAGATGTATGGGAGGCCAGTGTGGATGCATAGAAATGGCAAGTGTCTGAAATTACAGGATGCCATAAAGACAGAAGGGAGATCAGTATGGAATTCTCTCACAGCTCCTCTCCTCAAAATGAATCCCACCCTCCAGGCATGTAATATAATAGATAATAAATCTAGAATGTAATAGGATAAAAATAAGATGATAATGAACAGGAGATGATCCAGGGAGAGAGAAAATGCCTTATGGAATAGACCTGGGTCTGTTGCTAAGTACACTGAGCATGAACAAAAAAAAAAAAAAAACGTGGAGTCTGGGAGAGGCATGTAAAATAATAGTAGGATCGCGATGAACAACTGATCTTAGGTGGAAGGGATTTAATAGACCCGATACTCATCCTATACACTGTAGAGCACATAGTGAGTATTGTGGACCGAATGCTGTGTACCCCCCAGACTCTTACGTTGAAATCTTATGCCCTAATGTGATGTTAAGAGGTGGGGTCTTTGGGAGGTAATTAGGACTAGATGAAGTCATGAGGGTTGAGGCCCCATGAATGAGATTACTGTCCTTATAAGAGTTCCGAGAGAGCTTACTTCCTCCCTTCCATTAGGTGAGGACACAGCAAGAAAGTGCCATATATTAACCAGAAAGTGGGCATGAAATTAAAACTGCCAGTGCCTTGACCTTGGACTTCTCAGCTCCCAGATCTGTGAGAAATAAAGTTATGTTGTTTCAAAGCTATCCAGTTTGTAATTTAAAAAAAAAAAGCACACTCAAGCTGACTAAGACAATGAGTTGAATATGAAGAAATAGAAAATATGAATGTCTGGATGTGTTTGTGTGGGAAAGGTGGCCTTATGTCCCCCTTATTCAATGAACTTACTTTATCAATTGCTTTCTTTTTGGTGTTTCTCATGGAAATGTCAAGGATCAGGTATATTCTCTCTGGGATTCTATGTTATTTCTCCCTCAGAATGCTTAACAAAGCCTAAGCAAGTCTCTTTTTTATCAAAGCTCAGGAAAAATACTGGGATGATAACACCCAGTGCTTGGGTGTCTTAAAGGAAGAAGAAAAAGAAGATGATGCCTGAGAAGTTTGCCACCTGCAGCTTGGCACTTCCTCATCCTAAAATTTGGCTGCTAATTTCTGCTGATGCTCATGGAAAATTTCCCAAAGACCCTGCTCCTGAATGAATTGAAAGCCTTTGAGTTGAGTTTGTATTCCTTAACCTGTACCCTGTAAAAGACGGTAGCCAAGTAATGGAACTGTAGTTAATAAAACAGGAGACAGTCTCTCTTCTGGATAGATGGAAGACATTCCTGTTTGCCTCCAAAATAAGCCTCTTTTCCCATCACTGCCCTTGGAGGTTTGACAGTTCATGCCCAGCACGCCTCTCAGTAAGCACCGAGAGCAGAAGAAGATAATCACTTGGCGGGAATTGTGCAGACTGCAATTCTCTCTTCAAGGAACAATTTGCCAGGGGAGCTGCCCATGCTGGTCACATTTTGTTAGTTTCTACCCACCAAGCAGCCGCTTGTGACAAAGAAGCTCCTGTCCTTCACTGGATTTGGTTTCAGGCAAATGAAATGATGCCTTGCCACTCTCTGGCAGACAGAAGTAGTTTCTCAAGATAGAAATTCAGGCTGTAGAAATGGATTTAGAGGATTTAGGGTATGGGGTGTGTGTTGGGCTTTTGAGTGTGAGATGGAGCATGAAGGGTGTAAGAATGTGCGGACACTCAGGGCATTGAAGCCACTTGGAGCTCTGAGACCTGAGTATCTTGACTCTAGGAACATCTGGCATTTCTTACCCACTCATTCAACAATGTTTACTGAGTATCTACAACGTGAGCCAGACACTTTTCCAAACAAAAGAGACAAAAACTGTACCCTCACGTAGCTTGCATTATACAAGGGAAAGAAAGATAACCAAATAGTATAATATACAAGTAACTTTCTACACTATACTAGGAGGTGAGAAACACTACGGAAAAAAGAAAACATAGTACAGAGTGAGTAGAAGAGGGGTGTTGGCAGGTGGGCAAGTGGTGGCATGAGGAAGATGGTTTCAGCAAACCTCACTGAGACTTGGAAGGGTGATGAATTAGCCAAGTAGCATTTGCAGGAAAAACACTGTAGGCAGAGAGAAGTGCTAGAGCCAATATTCGAAGGTGGGAGCCTGCCTGGCATGTTCACTTGAATAGCAAGGAGGACAGGGAGTAATGGGAGGAGTATCAAGACATAAAGTCAGAGGACAAGTGGACCCCAAATCATGCCAGGCCTTGGAAAGAATCTGGCTTTTCCTTGTAGTGAAACTGGGAATCATTGGAGGGTCACAATCTGATAAAATATGTATCCTGAGGTCAGGCGCGGTGGGTCTTGCCTGTAATCCCAGCATTTTGGGAGGCCGAGGGGTGCAGATCATTTGAGGTCAGGGGTTCAATATCAGCCTGGCCAGCATGGTGAAACCCCATCTCTACCAAAATACAAAAAATAGCCGGGTGTCGTGGTGCGTGCCTGTAGTCTCAGCTACTCTAGTTTATACAGATTCTGGAATTCTCTCACACCTCCCCTCCTGGAAACAAACACTCCAGCCTGGGCAACAGAGTGACACTATATCCCAAAAAATAAATTATATATATATACTATGTATTTTATGTTGTTTTCTTGAGACCATTCCATCGGGCATGAGCAGAAGCAGCACAGAGCTCTATTGGGAGGGTATAGCTCTAACCTAGGAATGAGGTGAGCATGGATTGGACTGGAATTGTAGCCAGGGAAGTGGTGAGAAATGGCTGAATTCTGGATATATTTTGAAGATAAAGTCAGCAGGATTTTTTATGGGTTGGATGTAGGAGAAAAGAAGTAGAATGTAGAAGACTGTAAGGATTTTGGCCGGAGCCGCTGGAATGAGGGCACTGCCATCAATTGAGCTGGGAAAGGCAGCAGGTAGAGCAGCTTTTTCGGAAAGATAAAGAGTAAGTATTGGACATATTGAACTTGTGAAGTCTATTAGACTTCCAGGTGGAGGCAGTGGATATATAAGTTTGGAGTTTGGGAGAGAAATCTGGTCTCGTGAAATTGGGGGTCGGTGGCATATAGTTGACGTGAGACCATCAAGAGTATAGAGGCAGAAGAGGTGAAGACCAAGGGCTGAGCCCAGGGCACTCCAACATTAAGAGCCAAAGGAGATAACACATGGCAGAACACATGTTGCATCTGCACGACACAGCGTCAGTGTTCAATGAATATGACCTAGGATGGCTATAATTATTAGAGTATTTATTATATCCATAATGACTGCTTGTTTCGTTATGATCTAAATTAGAAAACAGTGGTCTCAAATATATTTTTTTTCAGGAGTATCAAGAGTGACAATTCAGTTCCCCCAAATTCCTTGCTGTAGCGTAAATGGATAATTATTAAAATTAGGAGGAAGGTTAAGATTACCTAGAGTGTTCGCTAACCATTTATCAAATTTTTTAAGTGCAGCAGGCTCTGTGCTGGTCTGAGAAAGGGCACAGAGAAGATTGCTGTCCTCAGGGAGTGTACAGTCTAATGGGGAGACACAGAACTGTGTATTAAGTGTTCTGGATACAAAAAAGTACTTTCAGAATAAAAGAAAATAAAATTTAATTATGGGTTTATGGCTTAGGATAAGGTAAGTGCAGGTGGATATGGGCAGTTATTCATATGTATAGGTCAGTACATATGTGTGGTCACTTGCTTTTGGAACACATAATCACCTAAGGAATTTCAGGATCAGATGATGGAACTAATGGAAGCTGAATAGGGGTTGTAGAGACTGGGGTGGGAGCACAGGGGCAAGTTCAATGATGTGTCAGACTGAAAAAGTCTGGGAAACAATAGAAAAGAGTTTTCAAAGAAAAGACTCAGGTCCCACCCAATTGTCTTTGATGTTCTGCCAGCTTCCTTCAGAATCCCACACTCATTCACTTTGACCTGAACCTCTGGCTTTCACCAGGATGAGGAAAATACTTTGATCTACTTGAAAACGGGGTCTTGGAAAGGTGATGAGTTTCCAAGGGGGTTCTTGGCAGACAGTTCTTGTGGGCTGCCAACCACAAAGGCAATTTGGGGTCCTGCTGCTATTGGCCCCAGCAGTAGCACCTCGGTGTGGTCTGTATAGACTTGTGCATTATTCTCAAGCCCTGAATCAAAGGGAGAATTTGATATCAGGGGTGGAAAGCGGCATTCCCATTGGAAACTCTGATGTCACAGTCAAATGCGCTACCGTTCACAGTTGGGTTCCCCATTTGACAGCTGAGGCTTGAAACAGAATCCTTTTTGAAATGAGAAAAAAAGGAAAATGTTGGGCTGAATTTCAGGAAATGCCCTAATGATGAAATCTGGGAAATGGCAAACGTGTATAACCAGGGAAGTGGTATGCGTCCCAAAGCTTGAGTCATTCAAAACCATGTTGGCGATATCATTGGAAAAAAGTTGGGGGAGAAGGAGACTGTCTTGGTGGAAAATCTGTGAAGTCCCCCCACAGCGTTGTAGTGGCACTTTTCTGAGTATTTGACAGGAACTGGCTTCTAAATATGCCTTGCTTTCCTCTGCATCATGCACTATCTAGAGCATAAATAAGGCACGCACAAACTTTCCATTTCGCTCATGTCCCAGGCATCATTCTCTCTTCAAGTATTGAAAAAAATAGCTTCAAGAACACAATATGATAAATATGACAGATAAAAATAAAGTATAGTTAGTTACAGATCAATTTTACAAAGTCAGACACATGTATTATCTCAGTTAAACCACAGTTCATCCTCTTGGTGGGCATTCTCCGTTTGTGGGTGAGATCACTGAGATTTAATGAGGTTATGACTGGTCTGAACTTCTGACTTCCAAACCACTCTTGTGGTTATTCCTGCTCCACTCTACTCAGCCTCTCAAGAGAGTTAAGGGAGAAAAATCCCTCCACATTGATAAAAACTTATGAAATCTCATTAAATTATTAAAGGAAAATCTATAGTTTATTAGAAGGCAAAGGTACACCAACATGAACTCCATCAGCTACCAAAGTAATTTTTTTTGTTTGCCTTTAAACCTAATCTTTCTTCCTTGCTCTGGAATCCACATAAGATGAGGTCTTTGTTTGCTCTGAAACGAACATCCTTATAAATCTGTAATTCACACATTTTCCTGACTCTCCTTAGATCAACAATAACCTCTTTCCTCTGGTGCATCTTTAATTTTTCTCCAGTGGATGTTTCCTCTACTCTACAAAACTGTTCAAATCGTTTCTACCCCAAACTCACATTTGTTTCAACGTCCTTACCTTTCTCTCTTACATTCCTTTAACTTCTGAACTTCTTTACAATGAAGCACACACCACATTTCCCCATTATTTTCTCTTTAATGCCTTACAAACTAGCTTCTTCCCTATACTCTCCTGAGATGCTCATGGAAGGTATAATCAAACTAATGACCTCATCTTTGTTTGCTGCGCTGACTACCACAGCCTGTTTGACACATCCATCACTTGGTTTTAGAAACATAGTAACTGCCTAGTAGTCTTCCATTTTTTTTCCTCTATCCTCTCTTATAAATAGACATTTAATAATGTCCATTTCCCAGCAACATTATTGCTCTTAAAGACCCTTTCAGGACCATTTATCATTCCAAAGGCTTGACTTTCACTTCTAAAGGCATGATCCTCCAGTCTAAGTCTCTTGTCCTAAAAATTCTACTGAAATTTGGATATTTGCCTTTGAAATCCCCAGGAAAAAGACCAATCTGAAGGATTTACCAGCCACCTTTGATTCAATACAGCCCAAACTGAGACATTTTCCATGACCTGAACTTGGTAACACCATTTCAAAACTCCTGGTCTCCAGGTTCAAATCCTTAAGTCATCCTTGCTCCCTTCTCACTTCTCATGCCCAATAGCCCTATTCACTTCCCTATTCTGCCTCTGAAAGGTGCATGCATTCCTCCTTTTTGCTTGGCACTGTCCTACCCCAGATGCTCACCATTTCTCCCTAAGCTATTGCAACAGCCTCTTGATTGCTGATGATGACAGCAATGGCTAATATTTATAAGACTGTACCATGCCGAGGAACAGTGCTGAGCAGCCTGTGCACATCCACAGTCCTGTGAGTGAACCACTGCTGTGAGCCCTTCTTTCTAGTGGGGAGACTGTGGTCCAGAGGGTGAAATGTTTTTCTCAGGTCACACCATGTGCACAAAGTATAGCCATGACTCAAATACATTTCAGAGTCAATGCCTGAGCTTCTATTCCCAAGGCATATTGTCTCCCAATATAAATAACAAAATCCGAATCTTTCAGCCTGACCATCAAAACTCTGCAGAATATGGTCTTCTCCAACCTCCTCAACTTTATCTTCCAGTTTATTCCTTTAGTCTACTCTAGGCTACTACTGTTGCAAAAGATGATCCCTTTATCTACATTGTTTACCTCCTCTTCACATCGACATTTGAGGTTCATCTCAAAACACATATCCTCCAAGAAGACTTCACAGATATTCCCACTCAGAATCAGTCTCTCCCCATGTGCCTTGCATGTAGTTTGTTTCGGCACTGGAGCAATGATTTGCTGCATGGTAGTTACTTGAGTGTACATATATTCATCTCACCTGTTCATGTCTTGAATACAGGGCCCATGTGTTACACCTCTCTGTTATATTCATGCCCCCACCTCCCCACCATGCCAGTAGTGCCTGGCATGTGACGAGCCTTCAATACATTTTGGTAGAACTGAAGAGCAAGCTTGGGTATGGTTGGGGGTTGGATTATTAATAGTGTTTCCAAGTGGGAAGTGAGACTGTCACCCTGGCCAGTCTATTCCTGAGTTACCACAGATCCCAAAAGGTCTTTAGGCTTAATCATTCACAGAACACAGCCGGTATTAGGAGCAAGGCTCTCTTCCAATTAATAACTGAAGTCCAGTGTTCAACTTCCACAAAGCATTTACTCTATAATTGGTATTAATTCCTTCAGAAGTAATTTCCACTGTTCTTCAGCTCCCATCACCAACTAAACTTGAGTATCAATGGTGGTAAAAATAACAACGACAAAAGCTAACATTTACCAAACTTTACATTTATAAATCTCCATTTGATCTTCGAAACCACTTAATGCAGTAGAGACTACTATCATTCCCTTTTTCTGAATGAAAAGATTGAGGTTCAGAGGGGCTGAGGAACTTCCCAAGATCACTAAGCCAATAGGAAGTGATGAAGCCGGATGCAATCTGACACCCACACTCTTAACCACTGAGCCTCACCATCTCTCTAGAGGCCTGAAGTTAATAAATTTCAGTTTCCTCTCCTCTCCCCACATGACCAGAAGACTTGAGACACAGAAGCCTTGGTGCAGTGCTGCTGAGTGTTACCCCCCCCCCGCTTTGTTTTTGCTTGCCTGTGCACGGCCAGTTTTACAGCCGGGCTGCTTATGTGAAGACGTCCACTCACATCCTGGTCATCATTAATCCCCTCATTAAGCAACCCATGAGGAAGAAGCAGTGGGAACGGCCGTGGCTCTGCACAGGTTGGGCTCTGTTGGAGATGGGACGTGAAATCTTTGCACGCCACTGGCCATGAGTCATTGGAAGACTGAGCTGTGTCCCAGAGAGGATGACAGGAAACCGCAGGCTCTGGCTTCACTCTTGCGGTGACAGTCTTTGAGAGGCTGGATGACCATGGTGGTTCAGCTGTTCCCCGATGGCTGCCTCCCTACCAGTGCTGGGCTGTGTTTTTCTTGGCCAGTTGGAATGTGGAATGCTTCCTAGCTCAGTCAGTGCTGTGGAAGGAGACAAATCTACTTCCCAAGTCTCCACCCCCCTGCTCCAGCTACTACAATCATTTTGTACAACTCCTTCCTGCTGTTTGGAGACATATTTATGGGCAGTTGGGACACAGGGACTCTTCTCCTTGGCAACAGCTTCCCACCAAGCCAAGCAAACTTTGAAGTGGTCTTGGTTCCTGAGTGAGCAGAACATCTATCGTCCAGCAACATATGCCCTTTTGTTTGGCTCCCAGTTTCATGACCTCTGTGATATAAGATGGGACCTTCAACAACAAGCCCAAACAGGAGTCTCTCATTCTTGTGTTGACAAAACTTCTTTCTTGATTCATTTCTGTCCCACTTCATGCATGGATCACACTCACCATCTGAAAAATCTAGTATTCTGCCTTTTTCATTAAGAAAAAGAAAAGGTTTCATCATGCATTTAGCTGTTAGTATGTACATTGCACTGTGTGATGCCCAAAGAAGGGCAAAACACAGCCCTGATCATCTAGAACCTAGGGGAGACTTAAACAAATATGTGAAAAGCTGGAGAGAATTGCATTACTGTAAGAATGGCTGGAGTTTGGCCTTTAACCAAGTCCTGAATACAAGTCTTGTTTCTGCTGCTGAATAACTGGATGTCTCCTTATTCGCATCC